>NC_000001.11:41372016-41675047 GCF_000001405.40 Homo sapiens
ACAGATGTGCCGAGATGGAGGGCCCCGGGAAGGGATTGAGGGCTCTTAGCCAGACAAGGCTGGGGCCGGGGCTGGGGGAGGCAGTGCTCAGCACATCCTACCCTGGCCTCTGGCCTCTGCCCCTAGGGCTTACTCTGATCACTTGTTCATTTTCCAGTGGACATTTGAGTGCTCCAACATGTCCTGCAAGGACCTCTCAGTCTCTAGGAGAAGACAGATGGCAGATGAGGGCTGGTGCCCCGGTCTGGGTGGGCCGCCCTGGGCTCCTGGAGCCCCTTGGCATGGGGACCAAGGGCAGCCCCTGGGGGCAAGGCCAGTGTCTGTGCGGGTGGCCATGCCCCTGGGAGAGCAGATGGTTCTCTTGGCACCATGCCCACTCTTCCTCTTTCTCCCCCAGGAGCCAGCCTGCAGGGCTGGGGCACAGCTGCTGGGCCCTCCCCAGAGCTGGGCTCAGGGCAGGGCTGGGTGAGGTCACTGCAGCTGCTCCCAGGGCCTGGGGCAGGGGAGTGGGGAAGTGCTGCCTGCAGAGGGAGGGAGGGGCTCAGACTGAGAGGGGAGATGGAAAAGTCTGAATGCTTTGCATTTAGGGGTTCTTTTTAATCCCGAATGAAGGAGGGTCTGTGAAGGGGTTGCTGAACTAGTATGGAGAGTCCCCTTGCCCCTACCCCAGGCTCACGCTGGAGCTTCTGCTTGGCTTTGGCTCCTCTCTGGAGGTCTCTCAGGGCAGGAGAAAGAGCAAGGGCCCTGGGTGTAAATTCCTGCACCACCACTTACACTATGCGACCCTGGGCAAGTCAGTTTGTCTCTTGGAGCCTCAGTTTCTCATCTGTAAAATGGGGACAATAAACCAACCAGAGGGTTGTTACAAAAATTCAATGAGATAATTTTCGAGTGGCAGCACAGGGCATGGCATGTGGTCAATGTCTCAGAAGCAGTAGTCCTTCCCCACTCACTGCCTCACTTTCCCAAGGAGGCAGGAAGTACTGGGGTCAAGTAAGGAGGTGGCAGAGGCAACAGGAGCTGCAGGAGAAAGCAGCAGGGAGGAGGGTCAGACAGGACCCTGGTAGAGGGTGGGCAAGCCTTGGAGCTCTGGCCTGAGATTTTGCTGAACAGAAACTACACAGAAATGCCAGGCATGAGCAGCTCGTGGCTACTGAGGGCTCCATCCTATCTCTTGACTTCTCTTGAGCCAAGGATTGCCCCACAGAGTTCGAGTAGGGAGGCCAGCTCAGACACCACTTTGCTCTGGTTTGCTGTTAGATCTCTACAGGAGCACTAAGGTGGGAGCATCTATCTTTGGGGCTTGCATAGGGGATGAGGAAGGTGCCACAGAGCTAGCCTTGATGGAGGAACAGGAACTGATAGAGCAGAGAAAGGGACAAGAGTAAAGGGAACAGTGTGCAAAGGCACAGGGATGGGGACATCCAAGGTGGTTGGAGGCCCAGATGGCCCTAAGGGAAGGGGGCGATGAGGCTGGAGGACATCAGAGGGCTCTTTAGTATCAGCCTGGTTTTGGACCCAAGCCCGCAGGTGACAAGGACGAATGGGCATTGGAGCAGTGTGAGGTTGGACTTTCGTTGGTGGTTTATTTGCTGCCGAGCCTGGGTGTGTGGGCTCTGCTTTCTCTGGGGGGTGCCAGAGCCTCATGCCTTCCTTTGGATATTGGTTCCTCCTGGCCCCAGGCTGCCCACTCTAGGATCCGCTGCTGATCCTGAGCCCACTCACCTGGAGACATCTGTGTCCCATGGTCCCCAGCTGCCCTTCTATCCCTTCTCCACTGCAGACCCTAGTGCCGAGGATTTGCACATGGCCTCGGGTCCCTGGCATCATCCAGGTCACATCTTTTGCCAGGAAGAGGCCTGGACTGAGAACCTGAACTTCACCCCAGATGGCAGGGCAAGTGACTCTCAGGGTGTCTGTGGCTCTGTCTGACACAGGTGTGTGTTCCTAGGCCAGGCTGGGGCCCCAGAGTTGGGTGGGGGCAAGGGGTAGGATGGGGAGGCTCCTGGGGCTCTGAGACAGGGATGGGATGACATTCTTGACATGTGAGGTTTCATCCAGGTCCCATATGTCCCTGTGGATGCTGGGATTGTTATCTTCGTTATAGTGGAGGCCCACTGTCACATGGATGAAGTTGGGATTCAGTCTCCTGTCTTTGACCTCTCCGTATGCAGGAAGGAAGGCCAGGAGGGAAGGAGGAAATGGGAATCATAGAGGGGATCAGAGCCCTCACCACAGCCCCACAGGAGGTCACTGCAGTAACAGGTGCTGGGTCATTTTCCCCATCAGGTAGTCAGGGTCAGTCTCCTGAGGGAGGGGCTGGGCTGAGCCTTTGACTGTGATGCAACCTGGACAGGCATCCACACCTGACCTTGGGCTTGGGCTGTGATGGGTGGACACAAGATGCAGGGCCGCACTTGGATCCTGAAAGACCCCAGGTACCAGGGAGGCCAGGAGGTAGCACAGGGTTGGTGGTAGGTGGGGGCACAGTCCTTGTCCCCTGTCTCTGATGAAAGCTAGGAGAGCTTGGGCTTGAGCGTCAAGGTGGAGATGGCCACTGGGGTGGACAGCAGAGTGTCCCCTGCCACATTAGGGGTAGGTGTGGGAGAGCTCTGGCTTTGGAATCCAGCAGCCCTAAGACCCAAGCCTGGCTCCGTCATTTCCCAGCTTTGTGGCCTCAGGAGTCATTTAACCCACCTGAGCTTCAGTTTGCCCCCTTTGTAAAATCGCAGTACCTACTCACAGGATGGTTATCAGGATTAAAGGAGCCTAGCCTATGTTAGGCATGTAGTAGGTGGTGCCCTTCTCTGGCTTCAGCATTTGAAGCACATGCCAGTGGTGTGCGAGAGCTGGTTTGCACTGGCTCATGAGGGCTGATCGTGCACACTTCTTCCCAATTCTGCACTCGGTGACGTCATGTGGCAGTTTAAAATTGGCTATGATGTGAGTATCCGTACCACAGAAAGCAGCAACAGCTACAAATCAAATCAGGTAGGTTTTTTTTTTAACTTCCAGAAGAGCTGGTGGTTAAACATTTGCCAGCACACCACTAAATGTGCCCCAGAAAAGGTAACTTCCCCTAGTCCCACTGCCCAGGATCAGAAGAAGATGGCACAGAGATGGCCAGGCAAGTTGGCTCACACCTGTAATCCCAGCACTTTGGGAGGCCGAGGCAGGAAGATCACTTGAGGTCAGGAGTTTGAAACCAACGTGGGCAACATAAGAAATCCTCCTCTCTACAAAAAATATAAAAATTAGCCGAGTGTGGTAGCGCACACCTGTGGTCCCAGCTACTCGGGAGGGTAGGGCGGGAGGATCACTTGAGCCCAGGAGGTCAAGGGTACCATGAGCTATAATTGCACCACTGCACTCCAGCCTGGGTGACAGAGGGAGGCCCTGGCTCTAAATAAATAAATAAATAAATACCCTGGCAAGAAAGAAAGAAAGAAAGAAAGAAAGAAAGAAAGAAAGAAAGAGGAAAAGAAAAGAAAAGAAAGAATGAACGAACCTGGCTATAAATAAATAAGAAGATGGTACAGCAACCATGAGTCCATGTCCCAGAATCCATCCTGTGGGCCCTCTGTAGCCATGGTGGGGACAGAACAGGAGGCAGGGCAATAGTGGAGTTCTGGCTTGGCCAAGCAGCCTAGAACTCAAAGTCCATGGCCCCTTCTGGGCCTGGAGAAATTGGATGGTTATAGCACCAGGCAGCCCTTGTGGGTGGGGGACAGCAAATGAGGGACCTCTCTTTTCTCTACACTCTCCTTTGGCTCCCGGAGATCTGGCAGGCCCTGGCTGGAGGCATAAGATTAGATGAGGTTGAGCTGTTGGAGAATGAAGCTGTGTTGGGAGAAGAAATGAGGTTGTACCGGAAGATCAACGAGGTTGTGCTGTCAGGGAATGAGGTGGTACTTGGGGGCAAGGTGAGGCTGCATTATTAGATAAATGAGGTTGTACTGTCAGGGGATGAAGTGTACTTGTAGTAGAGATGACGTCCTGCTGGATCAGTCGGCTTTTGCTCCATCAGAGAACACAGCCACACCACAGGAGGAAGGAGAGTGTCCGACTCAGAGGATAAATGAGGGTGTCCTGCTGGATAAATGAGGGGGCCCGTCAGGTGAATGGAGTGCTGTTAGCAAATGAGGTTGTACTTGCTGGATAAATGGGACTGGTGTGCTGGATAAATGGGGTTGTGCTGTCAGGTGAATGCATTACTGCTCGTGGGTGAAGGGCATCCTGGGAATAGATGAGGGTGTCCTGCTGGATAGATGAGCTGCCACCACCAAATGGATCAGACCCTGTCCATGAGGGAGGCACCATCAGCAACGACGAGGTTATCCTGTTCCCACTGGGGCTCCTGGAGCGTCTTCTGGCCCAGGGGAGACCTCGGTGTGTGCCAGCCCTGGGTTATCCAAGTCTCTCTGGGGAGCAGGGTGGGGGGCTGGGGAGGGCAGGCAGCTGCATTGTGCACCGTGGGACCTCTCCTTCACCCCCAATGGATGCCCTACTCCTCTCCCTGGCACCCCTCAGTGGGTCAGACTGCTTCGGACATTCTCACCCCACTGCCTGCTTCTCATCCTGCCTGTGTCTTCTTTCTGCCCAGTTTGGAAAAGCCCCTATTATGTGTCAGCCACTCTGCCCAGTCTTATTTAATCTCCCTACAACACAGTATTACTCCTCCTTGCACATACACACTTTCTCTTATTCATTCATCCATTCATTCATTTGACAAACATTTAAGTGTCTAGTATGTACCAAACACATGAGGTACAGTTTTAAAAAGGATAAAAATCACTGCCCTCATGAAACTTATATTCTAATATAAAGATAGGATAAATAATGTATTAATTTAGAATGTGAAAATGCTTTAGAAAAACATAGAGCAGGATCAGGGGGCCAAGAAATTCCAGGGAAGAGGAACAGTTTTTAAGAGAGGTCAGGATGGGCCCCGTTCCAAGAGATGGCATCTGAACAAAGACTGGAAGGAGAGGAGCGATCTCTGTGGATATCTGGGGGCAGGCGGGACCATGCCTGGCAGGTTTGAGGATGGGAGGGAGGGATGGAGCGGGGTACCTGCATGGTCACTGTGGGTCTTGTGGGCCATGGCAAGGCCTTTGTTCCTCACTGTGAGTGAGATGGAGGGTGTCGGAGGGATCTGGGCAGGAATGGACGTGATCTCGGTTATTTGAAGGGTCACTCTGGCTGCTGCGTGGAGTGCTATAAGGAGGTGAGGGAGGGAGCAGGGAGCCATTTGAGGAATGGAGCTTGAAAACATCTTGCCCCAGGGTCATAGCACTCACAGGTGATGGGGCTGAAACGGGGAATCCAGTTCGAACGCTACAGCTGATGTACTTTGCCCTACTCTAGCCTCCTCCCTGGTGGGGGAATCCCTGGGGGCTGGGCTCCCTGGCCCAGGTTCTGAAGGAGAACGGGGTAGGCATGAGATATAACCCACTGTCCTTTCCCTCTGCCCCCAGATGGTCTCCCTCGGGCCCTGAATCAGGTATGTCCTGACTCCCCTAGCAACATGCTCCAGGTCTGGATGTAGGTGTGGGAGGCATGAGGCCCCAGAAGCTGGGCCCAGCTCTGGGCACCTGGGGAGCCCGGGCATGCCAGGGCTGTGGCTGTGGTGGTGGGTTGCTAGGCGACTCTAAGAGGGAGCCCTGGTTACTGCTGCCTGGCAGAGGCATCTCCCTCCTCTGCCTCTTTCACCTCCTCCATGGCCTCTGGCCTCCCAGGAGGCCTTGTGGTGTGAGCCAGAGCTGTGATCAGTGCTTGCCACTGGATCTGGCAGGGAGCTCTGATTGGTACCAGGTGGCTGGGCCCTGAGGAGCCAGACTGGGCTGCAGGGCCTGAGCTTCTCTCATGGGGCACAGCCCTGGAGCATACCTGGTTCAGAGCCCAGCTCAGCAGTCAGAGGCCTAGGTCATCGCTCAGCTCTGAGCCACCTTGTCTGACCCTGAGCAAGGCATGGCATCCCTCTGTGCCTCAAAGACCCCATCCATCTGGCCTGCAGAATCCTCCCCAGGAGCTTCATTTTCTGTGAAAAAGGGTGCTGAGTGCACAGGGATCCAGGTACTCCTGTCCCCACCACCATTGGCTTGAGTGTGTAACGCTTAAGTTTTGCACTAAATCTCATTTACAGAAAGAGTTCCCCTATTTAAGAAAAATGTTTGAAAACCTCTGGACTGAATGATTCTAAGGATTTTCATTGTCAAACTGAAAAGGTTCCCAGAGTACAACTTGCCCATCTCCTTAGTTTATAGTTCAGGACACTGAGGCCCCCAAAGAAGGAGAAACTTCATCTAGGTCAGGCTTGGTAGAGTGGGAGGAACACGGGGCTGGGGGTCGGGAGGCCTGGGCTCACATCCCTGCTCTGCCACCAGGTCTCGGACAGCCTTGGGCAAGTCCTTTCTTCCCCATGGGTTGGGCCAGCCATGGTTTCAGGCTGAGGCCTGAGCTCCAGGGGTACCTGGCTGGATATGGGACAGAGCAGGGAAGGATGCAAACCTTCAGAGGCCTGGAGCTTGTCTTGGCGGTAATTCTAAAACATGTGAATAATGTGTATAAAGAAAATGTGGGTGGATTATGAAGTCTATGCAAAATTTCCTTGAAGTCTAAAAAGGAAGCTTAGACTTGCAGGAAATTTTGACCTGTGCAACATGCCCCCAGACTTCCCCTGCTGCCAGCTTCTAGGGATGGTTTACATGGAAAGTTTGAGGAGCACTGGAATACTGGCTTCCTAAGATTCTTTGGGATTCTCAGACCTGTTTCTGTCTTCCATGGCAGAATGTGATATCCTTTAGACTTAGAATAAGACCAACCTGTAATCCCAGCACTTTGGGAGGCCGAGGCGGGTGGATCATCTGAGGTCAGGAGTTCAAGACCAGTCTGGTCAACGTGGTGAAACCCCATCTCTACTAAAAATACAAAAATTAGCTGGGTGGCAGTGGCACGCACCTGTAATTCCAGCTACTTGGGAGGCTGAGGCAGGAGAATCACTTGAGCCTGGGAGGCGGAGGTTGCAGTGAGCTGAGATCGTGCCACTGTACTCCAGTCTGGGCTAGAGTGAAACCCTGTCTCAACAAAACAAAACAAAACAAAACAAAACAAAACAAAACACCAACCTGAAATCAATACATGGCACAGCACTTAAGCTGTGTGACCCTGGTAACTCACTTAACATCTCTGAGCCTCACTCTCCGGTTATGAGATAGGGATCACAATCCCTGACTTGTGTGGAGTTCATCTAATGATTACATTTGATAAAGTACTTAGAGTGCCCAGGGCTGAATGGGCAAGCGCTTGCTAGGTGCTGGTACCTGGTACTGTCCTTCCTCCAGGACATAATGACATTGATAAAGAGGTGTTGCCTGAGTGACCTCCAGCTGGAGAAATGGGGAGGTGGGAGGTGGAGCCTCTTGTAAGCCAGACAGTCCTATGGGGGAGGAGAACTGAGGCCTCCTAGGAGGCTGAACACAGGTGTTGGGGAGGGGCTGGGGAGCCAGGTGCAGGGGTGGGAACAGGAAGGGGGTATCTACTTGAGGGAGCACTGCTCCCTGGGGGCCCAGCTCCCCTCCCCTCAGGGTCTCCAGAGAACCAGGCAGGGCAAGGCTGGCAAGTCCCAGCTGTTGCCTTCAAAGGCCAGAAAGTGCCAGAGACAGGGAGCCTGGGGCCCTGAGGAGTCAGATCAGTGCCTGGAGCTGGGGGTGAGGGGTGGGAGGGTACCCTGGGCAGCAGGAAGGACCCCTCCTCCAGGAGACTGGTGGGAAGGAGGCAGGAGGGAGAGCCTCACAGAGCAGTGGCTGTGAGTGTGGCTGGGTGGATTCACAGGTTAAGAGCAGGTCCATGAGCTGGGCAGAGCTGGAGTGGTACCGGGCATCGTTGCCTAGCTGTGGGGCCACGGGAAGTTACATCATGCCTCTGGGCCTCCGGTCCCTAGTGTATGAAATTGGAGAATGCCAGCTTCCCAGAGTTGTTGGTGCCCAGCACAGTTGCACACAAGGCATGATGTTAAAGAGATGGAAACAGCAGGTCTGTTGGGGGACCGAAGGGGTGAGAGCTTCTGGCCAGAGTGAGGATATAACCAACGTTTATAAGCACCTGGTGTGCAAATACTTATTCATGCACATGTAATGATCTTACAGCCTTAAGAGGTAGTTACTGAATGTAGCCCACTTTTTCAGAGTAGTTCACTGAGGCTCACAAGAAACTGAGTAAACACCCCATGGTCACATAGCTAGGCAGCCAAAGAGCCAGGCATCCTGTCCCACCCTCTGATACCCAAGCCCCTGCTGTTTCCATAGCAGTACCTGGACCAGGAAGTTGAGGCCACCAGGTGGGAGGCCCCAGAGGTGGGGTGCCGCAGGCCCAGCAGAAGTTCTACTCCAGATTCCAGTGGGGCCAGTGGACTTCCTGCCTTCCTCTGTCCTCAGAACAGGCCTGGCAAAAGCAGGCAGTGACATGGGGAGCACTGGAGACTGGCACAGCAGAATTAAAAAGAGGATGTATGGAGAGATGGCAGAGGTGAAGCCCAGGGAGGAACCGAGGGACAGCAGAAAAGGCCACCTTGGGCAAGCCATTCCTCTCTCTGAGCCTAGGTCTTCTGGCGTGTGAATGGGGACTTTGCCACACACTGTGGGGATTTTGAGAAGGCTCCAACAGCAAGGGGCTTGGAGGGCAGGCAGGTGGGTCAGGAGAGGAGGGCAGGGTGCAGCCCAAAGGGCAGGCAGGAGAGCTGGGCTGGCCTGAAGGTGGGCACTGAAGAGGGTGAAGGCTGAGGTCTCTGTGGCAAAAGGATGTCTTTTGAGGGGCCTGCTGGAATCCAAACCCTCTGTGGAGTTCACAGCAGCTAAGAGGAGTTGGGGTGATACCTCCGAAAAGTCTCAGGCCTGGACCCACCTTGGGGACCCCAGCCTACTCTGTTTCCCCTGGCCAGGCCCTCCCAGCAAAGGGTTAACAGTCTTCTCTACCTGCAGTTGCATTTTAAAGACACGAAATTAAAGCAGGTAATTTATTCTCCCCACACACGAAAGAGCAATTAGTTCTAAACAGGGCTTAATCAGTCACCGCGAGATTGATTTCTGGAGCCCTGGGTTTTCGGGCTCCTGGCGCCACGCCAGGCTGGAGAGGGAGGGGGGCGGACAAATGAGCCGCGGCGGCATAAGCCCTTACGTAATCTGCTGGGGGCCCTGGCAGCCTGGTTAGCCCCGCGTGGGGCTTGGCTGAGCTGGGGAGACGGGGTCCTGCTCCCTGCTGCAGGCCCCCCGCAGGCTCAGAGTAGCCCACAGGGTTGGCCATGCCCCCAGGGAAAGGCTAGGCCCAAAGCTGTGGCCTCACCCTCTGGGCAGTCTCTGTGTGGGAGTGGGGAGGGATGGGGGGTGCAGTTCTGGGGCAGAGGGTGGGTACTCTGGGTTTGTCCAACCCGGTACTTACACCTGTCCCCTCCCTCTCCCAACCCCCTTACCTCATCCTCATCCCTATCTCCCTCCTCCTCCTACACTCTCTTATCCTCCCCCTCTTCTTTCCATCACGTCCCCTCTCTCCCCATGGCCTCCTCACCCCCCGACTCCCACCCGCGTCCTTGTCTCTGGCCACAGAACTCCATCCGGCACAACCTGTCGCTGCACACCCGTTTCATCCGCGTGCAGAACGAGGGCACCGGCAAGAGTTCGTGGTGGATGCTGAACCCCGAGGGCGGAAAGACAGGGAAGACCCCGCGGCGCAGGGCCGTGTCCATGGACAACGGGGCCAAGTTCCTGCGCATCAAGGGCAAGGCGAGCAAGAAGAAGCAGCTGCAGGCGCCCGAGCGAAGCCCGGACGACAGCTCCCCGAGTGCGCCCGCCCCGGGGCCGGTGCCTGCCGCAGCCAAGTGGGCCGCCAGCCCCGCCTCGCACGCCAGCGACGACTACGAGGCTTGGGCCGACTTCCGCGGCGGCGGGAGACCCCTGCTCGGGGAGGCGGCCGAGCTGGAGGACGACGAGGCCCTGGAGGCCCTGGCGCCATCATCGCCGCTCATGTACCCAAGCCCCGCCAGCGCGCTGTCGCCGGCGCTGGGCTCGCGCTGTCCGGGTGAGCTGCCCCGCCTGGCCGAGCTGGGAGGCCCGCTGGGCCTGCACGGCGGCGGCGGCGCGGGGCTGCCCGAGGGCCTGCTGGACGGCGCGCAGGACGCGTACGGGCCGCGGGCCCGCGCCCAGGCCCGGCCCGGTGCTGGGTGCGCCGGGGGAGCTGGCGCTGGCGGGCGCAGCCGCCGCCTACCCCGGCAAAGGGGCGGCCCCGTACGCGCCGCCCGCGCCCTCGCGCAGTGCCTTAGCCCACCCCATCAGCCTTATGACGCTGCCCGGCGAGGCGGGCGCCGCGGGCCTGGCACCGCCGGGCCACGCCGCCGCCTTCGGGGGCCCGCCCGGCGGCCTCCTGCTGGACGCTCTGCCGGGGCCCTACGCTGCCGCCGCCGCCGGGCCGCTGGGCGCCGCGCCCGACCGCTTCCCGGCCGACCTGGACCTCGACATGTTCAGCGGGAGCCTCGAGTGCGACGTGGAGTCCATCATCCTCAACGACTTCATGGACAGCGACGAAATGGACTTCAACTTCGATTCGGCCCTGCCTCCGCCGCCGCCGGGCCTGGCCGGGGCCCCGCCCCCCAACCAGAGCTGGGTGCCGGGCTGAGGGCCGCCTCCCGCCTCCGGGCGCCCCGTCCCGTCCCCAGGGGGCCTCTGTCTTCCCATCCTGATTCCCGGGTCCCTGCCCCCGACTCTAGCTCCCCAGGAGGCGGCCCCAGCCCAGCTAGGGACCCCTCTCGGAGGCCGGCCGCCGGGGAAGGGGAGGGAGGGGCCGGGGCACCCCACTGCTCCTGCCCACACTCCTGAGATCCACCCCCTTCTCCTGGGCAGGAAGCCTGGGAGAGGAGGCTGAATTCCAGGCTGGCTGGGAGTAGGGAGGAGCGGGGTGGGCCGCCTGGTGTGGACGGTGGTCGGGGAAGCCAACTAGGAGATGGGCCAGGGAGCGTTTACAAATCTTCAGTTTCATTTGCGGAGGCCTAGCCGTGACCCCGCGCCCACCCCAAACACGGATCTGATTCCCACTTGACACACTTTCCCACTGGTCTTAGTCTCACCCACCCGAAGCCAGCAACCCTCTGCGGAAAACTCACACCTACCTATATCCATCCACCCTGAGCAGCCCTCCACCCCCAAATCGCCCTCCGACGACCGCCACCCCCACAGTTCAGTCTCCCCCTCCCATCCCTGCCGGCCCTCGCTTCTCCCCTCCCCCGTCGGAGTCAGTCCCTCTCTTCAACCGCCCCCACCCCCTAGTACTGGTCTCAGCTTCTGCAGCGGGCCTCAGCCCCGTCCACCCCCAACCCCGACGCCCCTTTCTCCGCGCCAGTTCTGGCCCTTCTCCCATATTTATAAGTGTCCGGCCGGGACGGGCGGTGGGCGCGGCGTCCCCGGCGCGTATCGTAGGCAGTGTACCGTGGCCGTGCCGTCAGAGTGTGCGTGTGCGTGTGTGCCGTGTCGAGGCTGTGTAGAGTGCATTGTACAGCATATTTTCATGAATAAAATTGTTTTAAATATTTCCCGCGCCTTGGGCTAGAGGAAGGGGAGTGGTGGCGGAGGATAATTGACAGGGAACTTGGGGCAGGGGGAGGGTTCATGTGCCTGAGTCACTATTGTGGCTTTTTGTCTGGGTACTCGTCAGCCTTTGCTAAACTAATGCTCCTCTGCCCGGCACATATTGGTTAAGCGCCTACTGAGTCCCCCGTGCTGAAGATGTGCTTCGTCGAGCTCTGCACCTGTTTCTGTGAACATGTGCATGCACGAAGTTTTGGCCCAGGAAAATGCGTCCTAAATAAGCCTCAGAGATTGGGAGAGGATGCACAAATATTTACTGAGAACCTTTAGTGCCAGGCTCTGTGTTGGGCACGATTTTTGTTCCCATTGTACAGATGAGAAAACAAGGTCAGAGAGAGAAAATGACTTGGGAAGGAGGGTAGAGATGGTGAAAAGAGATCCCTTTGAGGTGCACAGACTGCTGTTGGAATCCATTTTCTACAGTTTGCCAGCTGTGTGACCTCGGGCAAATTTTCAGCCTCTGAAGCCTTGTCTTCCTGGACTACACCATGGAATAGTAGCATCCATCTCATGAACTTCTGTCAGGCATGAGGAAAGGTATGGAAAGTGTTCAGCGCAGGTCCTGCACTCGTTCATTCCAGGAAGATTCGGTGAGCACCTGTTAAGTTCTTATACCAAGCATTGGGGCTGCCCTAGAGCCACACGGACACAGTCTCTACTCTTAAGGAACTTAGAGGCTCCTGGGGAGAACAGGCCAGCAAATAGGCGATTATAGATCAAAGCTGTGCTGATCGGAGGAGGAGCTGGGGGCTGTCGTGGGAATGAATGATGGGGCAGCACTCATCTTGGACTTGAGTCAGGGAAGGTGCCTGGACTGGTGCTGCCTCAGCTAAGCTTGGTAGGAGGAACTGGCATTGGGAAGGGGATTTAGATGAAATGGCATGTTCAAAGGCCCAGAGTCAAGAGGTGTGTGGATTCCAGAACCAAAAGCAGTTGAGTGTGGCTAAAGTTCAGAGAGGGACAGATTACTGATGGCAGGGAGGCTAATGGGCCAGAGGGTTCAACAGTGGAAGAGGGACAGTGTGGCCCAGCCAGAGGTGCTGATGTGGCTCAAACCAAGTTATGGGGGAGGACAGTGGGGCTGCAAGGGAAAGGATGAATTCACATCTACTTTGGATATGGAGTCATTGGGGACTTGGTTGTGGATTGGACCTGGGGGATGAAGGACAGGGAAGCATCAATTGATGCTTGGTTTTTGTTTGGGTATCTGGGGAGACAGGGCCATTCCTTGAGATGGGGCACACCAAAGCAGGAGGAGCCCTAGGGAAATTGATGTGCTCATTTGAGCTATAGTTCATGAGAATCTTTGGGATTTGGAGCAGAGGGAGGGATGTTCAGGAGCATACACACTGCGTGAAATGACATTCTCTGGCACTGGGCAACATAGTGGCCCTGAGGTGTCCACTTGCATAGTGGGGTCAGAGCCCAGAAGGTGTCTGGGCTGGAAAGGGAGGTCAAGAATCAGGAACACAGAAGGTGTCACTGAGGGGTTGGAAATGGCTTGGGAGGGGGAGGATTGCAGAGTTGGAAGAGCAGGAAGTCCAAGTCTGCTTTGATGAACATCTTGGCACAGGAGGGACCCACTGGCTGAGAGGAGAAGAGAAGGAAAACCAGGACCCCAGGGGATTGGGGACGGTGTCCTAGAAAGGAATACCCAATGTTCTTGCCTTCTGGAGCCTCACTTTCTCGGTCTGAAAGATGGGGCAGTAGCACCTGTTTCACACATTTGTTTTGAGGAGTAAATAAGATAGGAATTATTGTGTGAGGTCACACTATTGGCAAGGGCCAGAGCCCCTGAGTGTGTACCTCCAACACCCAGGCTCTCGTGCAGCCCCCACTGCCTCTGATGAGGTGGCTGAGAGCAGAGGAGCAGAGGAACTCAGAGCCAGTAGAATCCGCACAGATTCTGGGCTCTGAGTTGGGGCTGAGACCCAACCTGGTATGGCGGGTGTCCCTGCCAAGTGGGGAGCACATAGAGGCTGATGGCCCCTCCCCTGGGACAGATGCCCCAGCCCCACCCTACAGCCAGCCTCTGAGACAGCCCAGCTGGGTGTGGGCTCCATATGGGCTGCAGAACTGCCCCCACCCTAGGCTGACGGAGGGTGGGCCGCTGGTGTGTGTGCGCAGGGCTGTGTGTTTCCATGTAGTCCCATATGTGTCTGTCTGTGTGGGCCTGTGTGTGTGTGTCTGTGTGTGTGTTAGGGGTTAGTGAGTGTGCTGGGCAGGTGGGGTGGTGCTTGAGGTTCTCCCTGCCGAGTGTGCACATGGCTGGGCGTGTGTGTGTGTGTGCGTGTGTGTGTGGTGGGAATGACAGTGGATCTGCCTCCAAGTGTGCCCACACAAGTGCCGGGGCTGTGCAGTCCATGCCTGTGTGAGGTGCTGTCTCTGTCCCCACATGTGCCATGCACACCCTCCTCTCTGGGCTTGCCTGCCTGTCTTGGCACAAAGCTCTCTCCGGGAGCACCAGCACTGGTGTTCCCCTGCCAGGAGTGTCTTCTGGGCTGCTCTGCTGTCTGTCGGAGGGGAGGGGAGCAGAGGGACACTCCAGACCCTGGGATCCAGCCCAGCTTATGAGCAGGGAGGAGTGGGACCACCTCAGAGCTCTGACCGAGCTCTGCCTGGCTCAGGCCAGGGATCATTCCAGACACAGCTTCTGTCCTGCTGGGTCTCATCAGGAGAAAGGGGGCAACACCCCTGTGGCTGGGGGGCTGCAACTGGCTCTTCCCCATCAGCTTTGGAGCCCAGCAGACGCGCTCCCCTCTATGCCCACTCCCTGGGAGGCGTCTGACACATGATTTATTCATAAAAAGCCATTATTTGTGCCAAAGAAGAACTGAGCCGCTGGCTTTTTAAGTGCTGATAATGCTTTCAGCCTCCCTGCCTCTCCTCCTCTCCCTTCCCCTCCCGTCTTCTCTCTTCTCTCTCACCTCCTTCCTATCCTTTCTCCTCCTCCCCTTTCTTCCCCTTCCCCTCCGTTCTTTCCCTTGATATTCCTTGATTGTTCTCCCCACACCTCCTCTCCTATTTCTTTATAGACCTCCCCTCTCACGCCACTCAGCTCCTTCTCTCTACAGTGAGGCTGGGTCAGGGAGGCTCAGAATCAATTGTCCCAAACTGGGTAAGGCCTGCACTAGCCTGGAGCCCCAAGGACCCCACCCCTCCACCTCATCCTTCACCTCCAAAGGACCAGAGGAAGGTTGGGAGGAGGGGGGCCAGGCTGAGAAAAGTGGCGGGGTGAGGGGGGTCTTTGGAGGCTGTCCTGACCAGCTCCCCCTATGCTAAAGGGTGTGATTTCAGCACTCTTATTAGCACCAGTACCCCAGACTCCCAAGTAAACATTCAGTCTTGGTAAAAACAATGCACTTGCTATACAGGTTCAAGGTAAGCCCCTTAGAATGCCTTTCTCCCCTAAAGAATGCCCCCATATAGAAATTCTGGAGTCACCATTATTGAGGTGGTGCCAGGAGAGGATGGCATCAAGGGAGGCACTTGGGCCCCATGACAGAGCATCCCCTGTTCTCAGAGAGGAGGCAGCAGAATGAGTGTGTTCACAGAGCTTGAACATGGACCCAGGAAAGGTTCTTAGAAGCAGACACCATAGACCTACATGTGTGTGGCTTCGAACGTGCACATGCACACACAGACCAGCATGTGCATAGCTGCATACTTGCTCAGGCAGATGCAGAGCCATTCCTCACCCCTTTCCAAAGCTTTCCTCCCCTGAGCACCTGCAGCAGGGGCTGGAACATTTTCCCCATTCAGACACTTGCTCATTCATTCATCCATTCATTCATTCACTCCATGAACTTTGGTTTTATGCCCCCTCTGTGCCAGCCTTTGTGCTGGGCACTGGGGAGGCAGAAATAAACATTATTGGGCCCTAGAGAGGGGGACTGGAGCAGAGAGGGCACTACAGGCCCTCCCCTGCAGCCTTGGGCTGGGGGTTGGGGGCCCAGCAGGTGAGGGGTTAAGTCATTTGGCATCCAGAGCTGGAGCCATTAGGCCTCCTAATTATGAAATTATCGAGGTCCTCAGGTGACTGCTAATTTCACACACACTGTTCCTCTCACGGCTAATGAATGCCCGCAGAACCCACACCTTGTCTTTCCTGCTGAACGGTGACCTGCAGTTAATGAGCTCAGGAAGGCAGACAGGCCTCCGGCTGGGTGGGTGGGGCACCAAGCCTGAGGAGGGGCCCACTCACCCCTCCTTCCCCTCCCGGCTCCCTTTGCTGGCTGCCTGCCCCAGTGAAGACTCCAGGGCCAAAGCCCAGCCCGCAGTTTCTGCAGGACAGGCTAGGCCCAGCGCTCTTGGGAACAGGGAGAGATAAAGATTTGGGAGGGCTTTGGGTCATATGATCCTGGAATGAGCGTGGGCATAGTGAGGGAGGGATGGACGAGGCAGGAGTGAGAAATGAAATGTGGATGGTGGAAGAGGACCATTTCTGCTTGATTCTTGGGCCATGTCAGGGACATTTATGAAGGGTGAGGGAGTCATGACAGCTTAAGGGGTGGGGATTTGCAGGCAGGGTACAGTCACACCCTGATGCTGGAGACGACGATGACTTTGGGGGATAGTGATGCTGATGATACTGGGGATGTCAACTGGTGAGGCTGCCGTGCTGCTGCTGCTGGTTGTGATTTGTAAAGTTTAAATTTTTTAAATTAAAAAAGTAACATAAAACATGTACCCTGCAAACTAAGAAGGATAAAAACAAGGGACACATACTAGTTGCAATCTTAGGTGGGGCAGTGTGGGAGCCCACGTCTAGAGGCTGTGTTCCCCCAAATGGAGGCACGTGGATCCTCTGGGCTGACCACCAGGTGGGTTTGAAGGTCCTGTGGCCTGCCCATGGGGAGAGCCCTGCCCTAGCCATGACCCACCAGCCAGGTCAATACCGTTGAGTGGCAGCATGGTGAACGAGGACAGCAAGACAGTGAGAACCCCAGTCTGGGACATAAGCAGCCTTGTTCTAGCTTTCTCCTGCCCTGTGGCCTTGAGCCAGCTCCATTCCTTCTCTGGCCCTCTGTTTCTTGGTAAGTAAATGATAGGGTTAGACTAGAGCTGTGTGTTTCGATCTGTGTTTACAGAGAGGCAGGGCTGGGCTCCCTGAGGTCCACACTCAGCTTGCGGCAGGCACCCCGGGCCAGGGTCAGTGGAAGAATCCCAGGTTTAGTATTTGTGCACGAGGCACATTAGAAAGGTGAAGCTGCCCCTTCTCCCTCAGGACTCAGAAGGACATCCTGGATTCCCACCAGCCTGGCTGTAGGCTGTGTCTGCTGACAGCAAGTTTCCGTTCTGCCACCAGCTTGCATCTACTTCTGCACCTCAGTTTCCCACATGTCAAAGGTAGGTAATAAAGTGAGAACTCTCTTTGGATGCAACAAAAATCTCAGAAGTCCTGGCTGTCACTGTGTGACCTGGGCCCAACCAGGCTTTTCTCACGATTCTTCCAGTTCTCTCCCCAAGTGCCCACAGGGTGTCTTTCAGGCAGCTAGCTACATGATGAGGCCAGGAAAAGTGTCTGCACTGTGGGTGTTCCCAGGGAGGGGGGAAGCATAGGGAGAGAGGAGAGTCTGCCTGTCTGCCCACAGGCTCGCCCCTGCATCCTGCCAGCCCTTGAGATGAATTATCCCATTTGACCTGCACACCAATCAGAGGAAGATGCTTTTATTATTTCCATTACAGATGAGAAAACTGGAGATTCAAGAGGTTAAGTGACTAGCCCAAAGTCACAGAGCCAGAAAATGGTAGAGCCAGGTCTCAAACCCAAAGCTGATGGGCCACTGACTAGGTTAAACTTTTTCTCTCCATGCCAGACACAAATGGCCAGGTACACATATGCTTGTATATACATTCACACTAAGATACAGATAGACACAGAACTTCACTAATCGCCACATCTTCCCTGTATTTACACAAACAAGTTTGTTCTCCCCTGTGCTAAGGCAGGCAAACCCACACACCCATAGGCACAGTCAGACATGAATATATTCCTCATTCGTAGACTTGTAAAAATTCACATGTACATGCCCCCAGGCAGATGTTTGCACACAAACATACAAAGCACTTCTGCACATGCCTAAACACACGAAAGCACTATTGCATGTGCATGCAAACACTACCTAGGAAAGTGTGCATACACACAAATTCACACTCCCACGTGCACAGATGTTAGTGTTTACCCATGCACATGCACTGACATACAAACACAGAGTTGTACAAGAAATATCCTCAAGGGAGCATTTATACACATAGGTGCACATAGGTGTGCCTGTACAGGCACATATTCTGCACATATGAAGGAAGGCATATGAGTACTCTCACATGTGCATGCAGGCATGCACACACTTGCACACATGCAGAGAGCACACAGGCCCGGGTACCCTGGTACAGCAAGGTGAGCAGCTTCCCTGTACCCTGGGTGTGATGGATGGACCCACATTCTAAGTGACTATCAAAGTGTCGTGGTGTGTGAGGTGCAAACACCAATTAGTGGGGCCTTTGAAAGCATCGGCTTGTTAGAGGGGAAGCAGAAGAGGCTGGAACTGGCATAAAACATGGAGCTATTTAACTCTCACAGGGCGGGGGTGTGTGCACTGTGGAAAGGCCTTTGGGCAGAACTCCCCCCTCCATTCTGCACTTGTTACTGGAGAAGGACCCTCACGAGAGGCCTTGGCAGCCGGCTTTGATGCTCCTTGAAAGTGGGGGGTGGTGGGGGAGCCTCCTGCCAGCACTGGGCTGGCACTGAAAGAGCGGGGGCTGCGCCAACTGGCGATCAATTTCATGCACATCGTAAACCTAAGTGCTTTCTGGAGAGTCGGGCAGATTGCACATAAAGTCCCCCTTCTGTCCCTAGCACACGGGTGGGCGGGTGAGGCAGAGGCTCACCCTAGCAGGCAGACCTCCACCAGGCTGCAGGAGACATGGGTAACCTGGTCCCCAGTAGGAGGTGTCCTTGGGGATGTGGGGAGCTCTCTCAGGAGGGCTGGCACTCTGGGGGCAGCTGGAGATGTGGACAGTGCATGAATCCAGAGTCTATAGGATTCTACTACTTGTTGGCTGAATGACCCTGGGCAATTAGCTTCTCTGACCCTTAGTTTCTTCATCTGTAAAATGGGTTTATGTGGGAATTAAATGAGCTCATGTCCTTGGCATGAGGTGACACAGAGCTGCAGAACTGATGAGGACAAGTAAGGTCATATTTACATTTATTCTTATGCCCAAATGACCCAGGATCAGAGTCCCCCCATGCTCACTGCAGGGCCTTTGGCCACCACCATTCCTGGCAGGCTTTGGGCGGTATGAGTGGGGGATCTCCCAGGGGGGCATAAACCTGTCTTTCATTAGAGGAGCCCACCTATTCTTCCATTCTGTTCCTGCCCAAACTCCTAACTGCTATCCTTGAACATGTCTGGAGAAGCCATCTCTCCCATCATGAAGTACTAATGCCAGCATGTTCTCCAAATACCCTGCCCTTTGGATGCCAAAGAGTGGTTCTGGGCTCTGCATCAAGGCCAGGGTGGCAGGGATGGAGCAGGACCCAGTCCAGAGCTTGGATCCTCCCCCAAACCCAACTACTGCCAGCCCAGGGGTCGACCTGAATGTAGCCATGCAGATGCCTGGGCCCCATGCTTTCTGTGGCCTGAGAAGGAAAGAGAGGTCTGCAGGGCCTTTCCTGTACTTCAAAGGCACCGGTCACACCCTCAAAGCAGGGTCTAGGCAGAGGGAAGCCTGGTTTTCGCTGGGCAGTCCAGGTCTCTGGTCACACAACAAACACTGGAACCTGAGCATAGACCGGCCCAAAGGGAGACCAGGATTGAAGCCAGGCCCCCAAGCCCACCCCTCACAGTCCCAGCTCCAGGCCCTGGTGGCCCCTGCGGGGCCTAGGCCACCCTGACATTCACCTAATTGTCTTCCTGCTTTGATGAGTGGATCCGCAGAGGCGCCGCCACGGATCAAATTAAATGTGAGCCAAGCCGGCAGCCCCGATGATGGGAGGGAAATACCACATTTACATAGCCCAGCACAGGGGCAGGGAGACCCAGGCCCAGAGTGACAGAGACCATGGACCCAGGAGGAGGCAGGGGAGGAAGACAGAGGTGGGGCTGAGGTAGGGTGGGCAGAGGCATCCTCCCCAGGGTCGCTGTCACTGTTGAATAAAGGGCAGGTGGGGAGGGAGGATCAATACAGAAAGAGGCTCTTCCCACCTCCAGGCAGGTGACTGCCTCTCTGCCAAGCCCAGCCCGTTGGCCTAGAGGTGGGAAGGTGGGGCCCAGGATGCAGCCTTGTGCCCCTCCTATACCAACTCCCATCTGGGTTTCCACACAGCTCCCTTCACCCCAGCCCAGACCCCACAGCTGGGCTGCAGCTGCCTCCCTCAGCACAGCCCTGGTGGGTGCGGCCTTGAGCTTCTCTTAGGTTCACTCGGGGACATCCTGGCTGCCTGTCCTGGGTGTGCGAGAAGGAACGGGCCCAGGAAGGGTGCGTGGGTGTTTGTGTGTGTGTGGGTGGGTGGGGGTGTTTGTGTGTGTGTATGAATGTGACAGAGTGATCATGTGTGGCACCTGTATGAGACCTTTGTGCAGGTGTGTTGGCTGTCACTAGGCCTGGGCACCTGTCGGACATTAGTGAGCTAGGTCTTCCCTCTCCTCGATGTGGAGTCAGGCCTGAAGGCTCTGGGTGGTCTGGAGGCATCCACCTGTAGACACTGAGTCTGTGTGTGGGACGTGTGTGGCACTGGTGTCCAAGTCAGAGTGATTGTGCCAATGGCCCCTCCACCCCAAAAGCATGTTCCCAGGTGCAAAGCACTGTCACAGCCTGCAAACTACCCTGGGAGGTAGGTATTATCCCCACTTTACAGAGAGGAAAACTGAGGCTCAGAGGGGGAAGTGGAAGCATCCTGATTCGTACCAAGGGCACAGCTCCAACACAAACCTAGAACTGTCCCACCCAAACCCAGTCGGTCTTTGCCTGCTCTGCTGCTGCCTGTCTCTCTGAGTATGAAGGCTGGGCCTGATGGGTCCAGAGCACGCAGCACAGAGGGCTTGTGCTTAGTAGGGATTGACAAATGCTTATTCATCACTTCCTTCAACTTCCTAAACCTATTCCCTCCCGAAACACACCCTACTTTCCTCCTTTAGCCTTGCAGGCATGGACTGGACACCTCATATAGTATTTTCATCATTAACACCATTTACTGAATGCATGCCATGCAGCAGGCAGGAGCCATGCCCTTTCCACATGTGTCCTTGAACCCTATGCAGTAGGCACCTTCATCAGCTTCCTTAACAGATGTGGAAATGGAGGCTCACACAGATCAAGGAAAAGCTTTTTTTTTTTTTTTTTCCCTTAGACGGAGTCTTACTTTGTCACCCAGGCTGGAGTGCTGTGGCATGATCTCAGCTCACTGCAACCTCTGCCTCCCTGGTTCAAACGATTCTCCTGCCTCAGCTTCCCAAGTAGCTGAGATTATAGGCGCTCACCACCACGCCTGGTTAATTTTTGTATTTTTAGTAGAGAGGGGGTTTCGCCATGTTGGCCAGGCTGGTCTCCAACTCCTGACCTCAAGTGATCCACCCGCCTTGGACTCCCAAAGTGCTAGGATTACAGGCGTGAGCCAGCATGCCTGGCCCATTTTGTTAAGAGTTAGGCTGTGCACCCAGATGTGCAGAGGCGTGTGGAAAGAGAGGCTTCCCATACGTGAATGTGTGTGTGGGCTTACACATTCACACAGTCGTGTGTGAGCACGTGCACCATGGTGTGAGAGTGAGGCCAGGGCAGGAGCAGGCAGGACCCCTTGCCCTCTGCCGGTCGCTGTGAGATGCTCCCACCAGCTCACATCATTGGCTGCTCACAACAACTCCACTACCTGAGAATTCTTAGTCCCCCATTTTTGGAATGAGCAAACTGAGGGTTGAAAATGGGAAGAGACGGCAAGTAGTACCAGGGCTGGTCCTGAGAGCCAGTAGCAGCCTCTAGATGCTGGTTCTTTCCAGAACTCCAAGGCTCAGCAAGGTGCGTCCTTTCCTTCCTGCCATCTTGGTGGGGCTGAGCACTGGGGTGGGGTGCATTCCTCTGTCTCTACCACCTGCTACTTGGCACTCCCTCACACCAGCTTCAGGGGAGCTAGGCCCACAAAAGTGCCTGTTGGCTCCACTGAGAAGCCCTTCCCCATCACCCACGGGGTCCAGGGCGGCTTTTACTGGGAAAATAATTAGAAATCTAATTCTTATTTCTCCCACTCTGCTAATTGTCTGTGGACAATTTGATTGTAACAGTCGTCACTGAAGCAGAAAAACCACCTTATTTCTGCCAGACATCCTCCCTGCAATTAACACTAGCAACTGCTTTGCTCTCTTCTCACCTGCAGAGACCCAGGGCCCTGAGGTTCCCTCACCTTTCTGCCTCCCAGCTCTGGTAAGCACATCTGGGGACCAGGCGTAGCCACAGGGTGGGGGGATGGGGCAGAGGCAGGGTGGGTGTCCAGGGACCTAGAACCAAGACGACAGAAAGAGAGAGAGAGAGAGAGGAGAGAGAGAGAGAGAGAGAGAGAGAAGATGAATAAATATGAATATTTGAGCATTTGGATAAAAAAGGGAGAGATGGAGGCCTAGGCCCAGTGGGCGACAGAGAGCACTGGGCCAGACCTGGGTCAAGAGAGATGTGGGGAGAAGGGAAGGCAAAGGAGGGAAGAAAGTGCCCAGTATGGGCCAGGGTGACAGGGCAGGAGCCCAGACTGTCCCTCTGCCAAGGCAGGGGACAAAACTTCTCTGAGACAAAACCAGACAGTGTGTTTAGGAGCTGGCTGTGGAGGGCTCCCCAGAGAGCCCAGCCCCCTGTGGGATGTGGCTGATTAGGAAAGGAAGGAGCTCGGGAGGAGGGGATGGGGCACGAAGGCGATGGGGGGATGGGAAGGGGGATGGATCCGGACCCAGACAAGACTGCAAATGGCAACGGCACTGAGAATGAAACAGCACAATCCTGGACTGACCTGTTGATCAAAGCTACGAGGCTCCATTCTCCGGCCGCTACCGCCCTTCCCTCGCTGGGAGCACAGCCCCTCTGGGGAGAGGGTGGTGGGTGCCCTCCACTGTTATGACCCCACTGTTACTCCTCACACATCATATCTTCAGATCCCCCAGCCCTGTCCCGGTCCCCCACTCTGCCTCATATCTCCCCTGCTGGCAGGACCCTGGCAGGGGTTCCCACATGGGTTGAGTCTTCCCTCTTAGGACACAGGGCAGGCTGAGAGCTTAGCAGTCCCCTCAGCCTCTGCTGAAGCCTGGTGCAGAGGGCAGGAGAGAGCCTGCTGACTGTTGGCGCCAACCTGGGCACACTAGTGCCTGCTGCTCTCAGATGCCTGGCTCAAGGCATCTTCCCCAGGGCACCTGCAGGTGCCATGGGATGACTCGCTGCATGTTCTGTGAAGGGGGCAGGTGTGGGCAGCTCAGCTCAGCTCATAGAGGAGCCCTGAGCAGCGTCCCCTGCCTTCACCCCAGGGCTGCGCATGCCTGGTGAGGGCTCTGACCCAGCCTTTTCTCCCCTAGCTCAGAGTCTTGTGGGGAGAGTGGAGGGAGAGTGTGGGGGCTGGCAGCTAAGTGGAGGGGCCTGGGGCCTGCAGAGGGGTGATGGAGTGAGAGAAAGAGAAAGGGGAGCTTCATCCCAGAGCCTCCTCTGTCTCTTCTTCCCTCTGCCGTCTCTCAGCCCTCCCCGCTCCTCACTCCCAGTCTTGTCAGGGGAGGATGGGGTGCCAGGGGCTCCTGTCAGTCTGGAGCTGGAGAGCTCCCCGGGCTTCATTAACATGCAAATTAGCAAGTTCTGACTGGCTGTGGCAGCGACAGGCAGCCACCCCTCCCAGCCCCAGGAGTGTGTGTGTGTGTGTGTGTGTGTGTGTGTCTCCTCTGCGGCAGGGCTGGATGGAAGTGGGGGAGCAGCTCTCATTGCCCTGGTCTCCACAGACAGCAGTGCATGTGTGTCTAACATACATACACACACTTATACACTCATACCTACAGAAAGACACATAATACACAGCTACATACAGCCACACATCACACAGTCTCAGGGACATTCATGGACACACAGTTACGCGTATAGCGTCACACACACAACTTCACACACAGTGGTCACACCCTAAACTGTCTCAAATAGGCATACCCTTTCCAAACACACTATTTTTCACACCCTCACCACAACCCTGCCGAGGAACAAACCCACAAACACACCACCCCCTACACAGCCACACACATACACACATAATCTCAGTTACACAAAATCACACACAGGCACAGTCCAGGGAGAGAGCGGGGCTGAGGCTCCACACTCAGCCTGGGAGAGCAACTGCCTCCACCTGGACGCCCTCCATGCCCACCTCACCCACCTTCCCTCCACCTGAACTGGCCAAGATCAGCCTGTGTCTCCCCCGGTCAGCTCTCAAGGTTGAATACTGTCTGGCCCCTCTGCCTGGATGCACCCTGAACTCCCTCACCCGGTCCACTTGCACTGTCTTCCAGCCATCACCTCTCCTGGCTGCCTGCCCTCACCCTCTATCCGTGGGGCTGGGCCCCTGCTCCGGCCGCCCAGGCTTCCCTTGAGAGTGGCCCTGGTCACGCTGCATTGAAATTGCCCGTTGATGTGTCTGCCTCCATCAGGATGGGAGCTCCAGGAGGACAGGACCGGCGTCAGTCAGTCTTGTTTATGGCTCTGTCCCAGCGCTCAGCTCACTCTGACCTGTCCGTGCTATTTCCGCAGCAGATGGAGCGAGGGCCAGCAGTGTTAACAACGGGAATGGCTAAGATTTTTACATGGCATTCGCTCTGTGCTGGGCCATATACACAACAGCCCTACGAGAGAGTTTCTACTATTCACCACCCCATTGTCACAGTCAAGGAAACTAAGGCACAGAGGGCTTAAGGTGCCTGAGCAAGATCACCCAGCCAGAACTGCGGTCTGAACTCTGGTTCCCCAGCTCAGAATAGCCCTGTACATGCTCTTCCCAGGACTCTAGGCAGAGATGTGGGGTGTTGAGGGCGGTCACAGGGGGCCAGAAACATTCCTTGGCGAGGGGAAGAGCAGCAGGAGGAGATTTCAGTTCCCAGGAATAGACGGAGGACACTAGATCTCTGAGAGGAAGGTCTGTGGTCACTCACCACCTGCACGGAGGCCCTGGGCCATGGGATCCTGGGACATCAGGGTTGGGGAGATCGAGCAGGACATCCATTTTAGAGAGGGGTTGACTGACGCCAGAGAGGTCCTAAATCACACTTGCCTTCCATTTCTCGAATATCTGTAAAGTGTGCCAAGCACACTTGTTTATCTACTTTAACCCTTGAGACAGCCCAGTGAGGTTGGCACAATAGTTAGCTCCATTTTACAGGTCAGAAAAGTGAGGCTCCATGTATCTCTATATGCCCAAGGTTGGTGTGGATATCTGTGGTTTTGTCTACAAGGAATCATTTTCAACCCATGTTAACCCTGATTTTAGAATGGGAGCTGCCATCGTTTACAGAGCCTACCCTCCTGGGCAATGTTGATTGGCTCAGTGAAGGACACGTGATTCACACTGGGCCAATCAGAAGCCCTGGCTTGAGTTTTTTTTATTTTATTTTATTTTATTTTATTTTATTTTATTTTATTTTATTTTATTTAGACAGAATCTCACTAGGTTGCCCAGGCTGGAGTGCAGTGGTGCCTTCTCAGCTCACTGCAAGCTCCGCCTCCCGGGTTCAAGTAATTCTCCCACCTCAGCCTCCGGAGTAGCTGTGATTACAGGCATGTGCCACCATGCCTAATTTTTGTAATTTTAGTAGAGACGGGGTTTTTCCATGTTGGCCAGGCTGGTCTCCAACTTCTGTGATCCGCCCGCCTCAGTCTCCCGAAGCATTGGGATTGCAGGCGTGAACCACCGCGCTCGGTCCTGGCTTGAGTTTTGAATTTAGGGTCAAGGTGAGCCTCTGGAGTTTTCAGCAGGCTGGATACTCCTCTGCAGTAGGAAAAGAGAAAGGCAAACATGCTGAGAACAAGGGAGGGAGGTCCAGCTATCCCCTGCCTGTACTGGAGCACCTTAGGGTGCTTCAGCACATGTTTTGTTGACTGGGCAGTCTCCCAACTAGCTCCACCTTCCCACATCTCTCCCCCACCCTTCCTTGTCATCTCTCTGCTTGTCTAGGGCCCCACACTTACACAGGGGGCTCACAACAAGTGTACTAGGGTGCTGAAGAGGGGCAGGAGGGGGCTCTGCCCATTGGATAATCCCGGTGGGCACTGAGCCAGGATTCAGGGCACAGACCACCTCTCTTCTGCTGGATGACTGGCGAATAGCCAGCTTCAGTCACTGAGTGGTCCTCATCCTCACACTGCCCAAGGCCCAGGCCCTTGTCTGCTTGTTCACTCTGCCCAGAATAGTGTCTGACATACAGTAGGCACTCACTGTCCATTTTTGTAATGAGTGGATGGATGGATGAATGAACGGACTGACATATGTCCCTGTCCCAGGCCCTGGCTGGGCCACAGAGCTCACTCAGCTGTGTGGAGTGAGCCTTGTCATTGGGCACACTTGGTTCCCATGTGGCTCCCTGGCTCTGGAAACCACTGGAGCTTCTGGGTGCAGCTCAGTATGTGGTCCTCCCTCTGACCTGTCTGTCTCATCCCTTTCTTCACCTTCTTTCAGGCTTTGGAGTCTTTTATCCAGTCTAGAGTGCAGGGATGTGGAATCTGTGGGTAGCACTCTCAATGCAAGCTGCATCCAATTTTTTTTTTTTTTGGTCTTAACTTAGAAGAGTATCTTTTGAACGTAAAAGGCCAACAGTACACACTTTTGTTTCTTTTGTTCCATGCAGGGGTGACCCCAGTGTCACTGTGTATGGTGGAGCAGGCTATGAATGGCACCCCCGTGTTGTGTAATGTAGCAGGCTCAAGACTGATGGCCTTACTTCCAAGGCTGGGAAAGACCCTTGGGGAGCAAGTAAAGTCGTTTGGTGAGAGTTGGTGGGAGAAAGAGTGGCCTATTAATTAATAACTCAGAATGTCATAAGGCCACATCAGCTATTGAGCTAGGGACTCCAACCTAAGGCTCCTGACAACCCAGGACTTCCAGGCCCTCATAGTTGCCTTTCTGAATTCCCCAGAGAGCATTCTTAGCAAATTTGACCATTTGCTTCTGAAGTTAGAATTGTCAGGGCTTTCTGAACGTGGCTGGATGCATCTTGCCCTGTCCCCTGGGCCCTTGTCTTTCCCAGATCCAGTGTGAGGCCCATGTAGGGCTCGGCTGTGACCTACCATCCCGGTCTGAAGGCCACTGTTAGGCCTGTCTCTTCTGTTCAGAGGTTTTTGAGCCAGGAGAGGATCCTAGGTCTCTAGAGAGAGAAAAAAAGTCCAGGCCTGCCTGTGGGCCAGAGTCCTGAGTATGCTTCAAGGCTGACCCCAAATTCCGCCGGGTGGAATAGAGGTGCTTGCGTTTCTGGCTCTGGTTCCTCAGCTTGGCAGCTGCCATGGGCATCTGGCACAGAGAAGACAGAAGCCAGCATGGCCAGCACACCAGGGCAGCCCTCCCAGCCCTGGAAGCAAAGGGTTAACAGGCTAGGGAAGGAGGGAGCAGCAGTCCTTTGGCTAAGGAGCCTTGTTAATTGATTCCCTCATTCCCATTTGTTCCTGCTAAAGAGAGACAGATGAGACGGAGCCCGCCAGGCCCGTCTTGGCACCCGGCAGCTTGGCTGGGCACAGCTGTGCTCATGGCTCTGGTGTCTCTGTGGGGGAGGGGCCGGTCGTAGCGGAGGTGAGGAAGTGGGGCAGTCCCATCGCAGACCCCCCGTGCCCCTCTGCTCACTTCCCTACAGGCAGAGATGATTTCAGAGCTCTTTGGAGAGGACAGATCTTCTACTTCACCTTGTGGCACCTCTTTGATCTTTCTGCCTGCGCTGTCACCACCATGGGCTGGGAGCCCAGCAGCCAACACCGGAGGCAGCTCCCTCACCATGGGCTCCTGGTGGGACCCTGCCAGCCTGAGGCCCAGGCAAGGTTTCTGCCTGGAAGAGGGTCAGCTCTGGTCCATGAAGTTTAGTTCTGTGCCTTGGTGAGGCAGGCTGAGGTCTGTGTCACTGAACCTCGCCATGGCTGCAGGCTCTGTCTGAGCCCCCGGGTCCTGACCTGCTTTAGACCCAACTTTTTATCTGTTCCTGCCTCGTCTTCATCTCAGCCAAACTCGCTGATGCCTATAAAATTGGGTTGTTTTGGATTGTGACAGACGAGAGCCTGCCAGCTTCCCCTAAGAGAATGAAGTCTGAATGTCACCATGTAGTCAAGCCTGAGACCCTGGGGTTCACATGTCTGCCATGCTCTACCTGCATAACTTGGTCAGGCCATTTTTACCTCCGTGAGGCTTGATTTTTCTCACAGGGAAAATGGCAGTGATATTAGTACCTATCAGTGGTAGATTGCAAAAGTCGCCACAATTCCCCATCCCTCCCTGAGTGCGCCTCATGGCAGTAAAATTTGGCAACTTCTCTCATTGCCTTGAATCTAGGATGATCTTGGACTTACTTTGGCCAACAGAATGTGGTGGAAGTGACAGAGCCAGTTCTGAGCCCAAGCCTAAAGAGGCCTTGTATGCTTTCCTCCATTCTGTTGGAGCCCTGCCCAGCTGCTGTGTGAACAAGCATGGGCTATCCTGCTGGATGAAGAGAAATGTACGGCTCAGTCACCCTCAGCATGCAGATGTCAGCCAGCCAACCCCCAGAAGCAGAGCCACTTAACTGACTAGCAGCTGACTGCAGATGCATGAGTGAGCCCAGCAAAGGCCGGAAGAAGAGCTCAGCTGAATTTCCAAACCACAGAATCATGAGCTTAATAAGCAGTGGTTGTTTTAGCTATAAACATTGGGGTAATTTGTTATGCAGCAAAAGCTAACTGATACACTATCACTAATCACTGTCGTGTGGATTAAATGAGAAAATATAGTAAAGGACTTAGCAAAGTGCCTGGTACAGAACAGATGATCAGATAATAGAGCTTCTATTACTGTTGCCCAGGGTAGAGTCATTGACCACATATTAAAGCCTCTTGTATTTGAGATTGTTCTCTCATTGGCACTCAGAAGTTAAGAGACCTATCCCCTCCATACACTTTTGTAGCAGTGATGAAAATAACAGATAACATTACTGAGCACTTACTAAGTTCCTGGCTCTCAGGCTTTGTAGCAGGTGTTTTTTTTGTTGTTGTTTTGTTTTGTTTTTGGTATTTTTTTTTTTTTTTTGAGACAGGGTCTCACTGTCACCCAGGTTGGAGTGTAGTGGCATGATCATGACTCACTGCAGCCTCCACCTCCCAGGCTCAATTGATCCTCCCACCTCAGCCTCCCGTGTAGATGGAACTACAGGTGAGCTTCACCACACCCAGATAATTTTTGTATTTTTTGTAGAGAGGGGGTCTCGTCATGTTGCCCAGGCTGGTCTTGAACTCTTGTGCTCAAGTGATCCTCCCAATTTGGCCTCCTAAATTGTTGGGATTACAGGCATGAGCCACTGCACCCAACCTGTAGCAGGTGTTTTAGATACATTTTCTCTTCTAATCTTCACTCAACCTTAAGAGACAGGCAATCATATTTATATGTTATTTCATTTTGCACACCCATCATTTTATTTTTTATTTTTTGTAGAGATGGGGTCTCACTGTGTTGTCCGGGCTGGTCTCAAACTCCTAGGGTCAAGCGATTCTCCCACGTTCGTCTCTCAAAGTGCTGGGATTACAGGTGTGAGCCATCATGCCCGGGCAACTCATCACTTTAAACCCAAGCAAATGGAGGCTTGGAGATGTGAAATCTAACTTGCCCAAAGTTATACAGCTAGTGAGCCTAGCAAGACCCTTTCACTCTTCCGAAAGCAATGGACTATCCTTTACTTTTGTATGCTTTGACAATTCAACTCCAATCAGCAGGCATATCCTGGTAACCCCAGGCTCTGGGCATATCGGAGTCATCCTCACACTTTCACCAGATGTTATAGTTAAGCTCAGTTAGATCCCCACCCCACACCCCACCACCCCACCATCCCACCATCTCACCACCCCACCACCCCACACCTGGACGCTGCTGAAGCTATATTCTTTTCTCTGTCAAGACAATGCGTTTAATCCTCTGTTCTCACTGGATGCCTTTTGGGGGTCACAAACTCTTCTCTGGCTGCCCCTCCTGGACCTCCAAATGACAAGTTACTGAGTTTTCCACCCTTCTGCAAACTTTTCCTTGTTCTCATGGTTTTGTTCCATCTCTCTAGTCAGAACTTCAGCTGACACTCAAGGCGTATAAGGAACACTAGGGACATTATCTGCTCAGCACCCTTCCCTTCTCTTGGGAATCACAGCCCATCCCAGCCCCCTCCAGCCCTGTGGTCATAGTGTGAGCTGCCAGGCTCTTATAGGAACCCCACTCCTGGCCACAGCTGATTGGCCCAAGAGGGGCACATGGTTGAAGCCCCGCCAATTAAAGTTCTCCAAGTTTTTGGACTGGAAATGCAAGAGAATGTCTTTCTTTTATATCCTATAATCATATACAAATTGAGAGGATGCCATTATGAATTTTTCCATATTTCCTTTTTCCTGTTTCAAAGGAATTTCATTGCTTTTGTGTGTGAATAGTTTTTAGATTAGTACATCTTTCTTTTTTAATATATGGATTTCTGGGGTAGTCTTTTCCCTCTTCACAAACTATACATTATCACATTTCTTCACATTTTTAGGCCAAAGGTGGCCAGGTCGGCCCTATTGAAGAGAAAAAGTTTAAGATAAAATTTGATTCTGATTTTCAAAAAAATCTAAGGGACTGTGGCCATGTGTCCTGGCTTGGGGAAGAAGCGGGTCTGCAGCTGGGAAGGATGAACTGGCATTGGAGAGACTCTAGAGGAGCTGCTCTCTGGGCCATTCCTGTGGGTTAGTTCCATGGATTCTGTGAGCCAGTAAATCCCTCTTCGTGCCTATGGGAGGCTGAGTAGTGTTTCTGTCACTTAAAAACCAGAGTTCTGATCGGGTTCCCTGCCATATAGCCTTTCCATACATTTCTTCCAGAGTGGCCAGGGCAACCCTCCAGAGAGTGAAGGCAAAGGGCAGCCAATGAATGTTCCTCCCCTGGAGAGAGAAGTCCCATAGGCTAAAGTCCCATCTTTAAAGATGATTCACAAATCACTCCTGTTTCCCAATCTTAGAAGTAGGCACCAGGCCAGGCACGGTGGCTCACACCTCTAATCCCAGCACTTTGGGAGGCCGAGGCGGGAGGATTGCTTGCACCTAGGAGTTCAAGACCAGCCTGAGCAATTTAGTGAAATCTTATCTCTAAAAAATAAAGATAAAAATAAGCAAATCCAGGCATGGTGGTGCTTGACTGTGGTCCCAGCTACTCAGCAGGTGGAGGTGAGAGAATTGCTTGAGCCCGGGAGGTCGAGGTTGAAGTGAGCTGTGTTTGCACCACTGCTGTGTTTGCCTGGGTGACACAACAACAAGACCTTGTCTCAAAAAAAAAAAAAAAAAAAGGAAAAAAGAAATAGGCACCACAACCAATCAGAGACCCAGATGTCACACTCTCCCCTTTCTTTTACCATCCATGTCTAGGCCATGAATGAGTCCTGGCAATTCTGTCTCCCTAAATTATCTCAAATCTGACCACCTCTCTCCATCTCTGTCACTGCCCTGGGCTCACAGCATCCTCATCGCGGCTCTGAACCTCTGCCGTGACTTCTACCTGGGCTGTTCCCTGAGCACGTGCATTCTCCACAAGCCAGCACAAGTGTCCTCAGCATGCCCATGGAGATCAAATCACATTGCTTCTTTTCTTAAAGTGCCAAGACTTTCCACCTCCCATTGCATCTGGAATAAAACCTCCCGTTCACACACACCCATTTGCCCTGCTAAATCCACGGTGGTCTCCCTCCTGTACTTCCAACACAGTCCCTTTTCTCCCTCCCCAGGACACTGGCCCTGTCCTTCCCTGGGCTTGGAGCTCTCTCCCCTCACGGAGAGTCCAGCTCCTTCTCTTTGCTTAGCTCTCACAGAGTCCATCCCGATCCTCCTTCCTAAAGTAAGCCTTCTCCCCAGTTATTCTGTGACCCTGTCTCTTGTTTGTATTCATCACAGCATCATTACAACCCAAGTTATTTTGTTTGTTTCCTTGCTTGGAGTCTGCCCCTCTCACTAGAATGTAAGCTCAGTGAGGGCAGGAAATGGGTCAGCCTTGTTCCTAACATAGCACTTGGTACATAGATGGGTTTGAGAATTTTTATTGCATGACTAAGTGAGTAGTTGAAACCAGGCAGGGAGGCAAATTATCCCCATTCCACAGAACAGAAAGTTGGGGCTGGCACAGAACCAACAAATAGCAGCAAGGGGTCTGAAGCCCGGGTGTGTGTGAGGAGAGAGCCTCTGTGCTTTCCAGAACAGCCAGCATTTGTGTCACGTTTGAATTTACAAAGCAAGCCCATGCCCGTTATTTTAATTGATGTTTCCCACTCAGTTCATTCTCCCAATCTTATAAATGAGGAAATGGGAGCTTGGAGGGGACTCATGCATGGCTGGTCCAAGGGGCTCTGCCTTCAGTGGGAACTTCTGGGGTCTCACAGGTTTCTGGTGCCCCTAAGCCTGTCATGATTGGAGGGACTCAGCCGAACTCCCCCTGCCCAACCAGGATCCCTGCCTACAGGGCACCACCTCCCTCTACCCCTGTGCAGCCCGCCTGCCTGTGTCTGTCACATCAAGTTCAAGTGATTCATGTGGCAGCAGCTCCTGGTCTGCCTGTCGGCACGTCAGCTAGTCCTGGTTACCATGACAACAGGATGCGAGGCACCAGGGCATCAGTGGGCTGTGGCTCTCTGAGGGGCAGTGCCATAGGCGAGGGAGGGGGCTTGTTTCTTCCTCCTGTGGGAAGCTTGGCAAGGGCTGCAGCCGCTGGGGGCTGGGTGGCCCCTCCCTGCCTCCGTGCCTTGGCATTTCCTTCCTGCCATCTGTGCTGGGAGCTGGGGGAGGGGCTGGAGTGCCGTCCCTGGTGGGAGGGGTCTGGGAGCAGATGGGTAGGAAGAGCAGCCCTTCCCATCTAGGCTACGCCCCCACCCCGGTTCCAAAGACTCTCCCAGGGCCCTCAGCACACCACAGCCTTTCTTTCCTTGGCATAAATGGGAAGTTCAAGACCCAGTGCAGTCAGAAAATTGGTCTCTGGTCTTGGAACAGAGCCTAGTGAGGGAGGAGGGGCTCTTCGCGGGAGGGTCCTGAGGGAGCTAACCTGCTCTGTGCCAGAGCCTGGCTGGGACCTTCTCTCAGTCAGTCTTCCCAGCAGCCCTGTGGCTGAGTGTCACCATATCCCATTTACAGAGGGGAGACTGTGCTTCAGAAATGACAGCTGGAAAGTGGCAGCACAAGGATTCAAACCCAGGTCCACCTGGCTCCCAACCTTGTTCTTGCTGGAACCCTTGCTGCTGCCTTAGAGAGGGAGGGACTCCTCCCTGCTCAGCCCCTCCATCTAGTCAGCCCACCCCTACCAGAGAGGTGAAGGCTGGGGGCGAGCCCCTGGAAGGAGCGCTGCTCTGCGATTCTGGTGCCTGGGTTTGGGTCACAGTTCTAGAGCAGGCTGTGAGACCCTGGCGGGTCTCGGCCCTGCTCCAGGCCACATTCCCTTGCCCAGGAACTTTGAGATGGCTGGAGGGGAGGTGAGGTGTTGCTCAACAGTGCATATGGGGCTATTGTCCTGTCCCAGGGAGAGGGCTGGGGCTGGGCCTAGGATAGGTGACAGGGACCGGGATGTGGCCAAAGAAGGAGTCTGAGTTAGCAGGAAGAGCAGTGGTTTGCATTCACAACGGGACGTCCGAATGGAACACTGCTCATTTGGAATTGCCTCTGAGAGTCATTGGTGCCCCAAACCCCCATGTTCTAAAGTGAGAGGCAGATCTCTTCAGGCCTCGCAAGACTGATGACCTCAAGCTGGTGTGGCCCATGGCACACACTTCTATGCTACCTTAAGGTAGGCGAGAGTGACAAGTGTGGGGAGGGGAAAGACAACAAGGATTCCTTGGTCAGTATGCTCTACCTGGGGAGGGGTGGGGTGTGCCCCCCTAACTACTCCCACCTTAATTTGGGTGAGGGGTGGTGCTTCAGGAGAAACACTGGCAAAAGCTGACAGAAGTGTTCCCTAGAATTTGCCCCTGGCTTGAAAAGAGTCTAGATGGGGGTGGTGGCTTGGAGCCCAGACTCCACCAAGCCCAGGTTCTTCCACGGGTCAGAGTATCCGTGGGTCAGAGTGGACGAGGCACACTGCACAGAAGGTTCTACCTGCCTTGCGAGGTGACTTCTTGGAGTCTGAGTGGAGAGAACCCCAGAAACAGGAGCTGGGGCAGGAACAGTGGGGTGATCTCTGCTGCAGACCCATTGCCCACGTCAGGGAAATGCCGGTTGAGAATCTCAGTGAGGGGCTCTGCAGAGGTCCCACAAGGAGTGCTCTGCAGAGAGGACCCCTAAGCCCTAAGCTTCCTGGAGGACCAGGCCTCCCAGCCCCATCACCTCAGCTTTCTCAGCCGTAGCCAGGCCTGGGCTAGAGAGAGGAAGGACTCTTTAGATTGAATGAGACATTGAAGTTTTGATGCTAGATGAGATTGGAAATTCTAACTCATCAAAATGAAATTGACAGTGCCTGAGAGTGCCCAGAAAAATGATGGGATCTGCCCCAGGAGCAGGACCCACAAGAGCAAGCTGTGAAGAAGCATCTTGGGCGGTGCTGAGGAAGAATCAAGGGGCTTTCCCATCTGGCCCTATTAGGGCCAGCCATTCCCGTAAGCTGGTCCCTTCGGTGGGTGTCCTGAAGAGGTGGCGATTTAACCCCTTTCCAGGCCCCTCGCCCTCCCGCTACTCCTCGCCTGTTTCCTCCCAGGACTGAGCCTAAACTAGGAGGGATCCTGGGGTGGCTGCCTCTCCCCTTCCACTGCCCCCCACAGGGCTCCTTTCGGCTCCCTCCCTGCTCCTCCATCCAGCCCCCAAATCCCCCAGCCACTCCTCCACTGGCCCTAGGTGGCTCTCCCTTTTTCCTCTTCTCCCCCTGCCCACTCTAGAGCTGATTTTGGCTTCTTGGACCTGAGTTCACCTTCGAAGTTGGGGCAGGCTGGGTCCCGTATTCACAAATGGACCAATATATCTAATGGTCCAATAGCCTCTGTTACAGATAGGGAGATTGAGGCCCAGGAAAGCAAGTGAACTTCCTAAGGCGATGCTGCAGCTATACTCCTGGCAGAGGCGGGTTAGAATCTAGGCCTTCAGCTCTTCTCCTGGGCTCAGCGGAGTATCTGGGGCTCCCTGGGAGAGATGGCTGGGCCAAGTCTTGGACAGATCCCACTCGCCACCCCTCCCTGCCTTGCAAAAGCACATCCAGAAAAATCATAGAGGACAGAGGGCTAGAAAGATCCCTTCCCAGGGGGCCTCAGGCTCCGTCGGCATTGGCAGAGATGTCAGCACCTGGCAGTCACCTACGCCCCATGCCCAGCCCTGAGGTTCAGTGGGCCACTGAGACCCTTGGGGAGCTGGCTGTCAGAGCAGCTTCTGCCAAGGGCTTCCGCAGTGCCTACTGCTGTGGACTCCAACCAGGTGGGGTTTAAAAGCACAATTCCTGGAGTTAGATCTGAGTTCAAGTCCTGTCTCTACTGGTTAGAGTTGTACCTCCGTGGGCAAATCATGCCACCTCTCTGAGCCCTGTTGTCTCACAGAAAGGAACAAGGCACTGGGATTCAGTAGTGAGGATAATGAACTGATGCACCCCAGGCAAGTATCCCAATGTCTGGCTTTCCAGGCATCTTCTAGTCCCCTGAAAGAGCTCTGTCATGGCAGACTTTCCTTGTGAACAGTATGGTGGAGATCCAGGGTTGTGGCTCCATCCATCCTTCTCATGTTCACCCTGCATGGAGCCCCCAGGGTCAACCCATCTATTTTAAAACTTCTTTTCCTCCCTCTGTCCCACCATTTCCATCCATTTTATCCCCCTCTCCCTTTTTCAGAAATGACATAATTAGAGGGGTTTAATGTTCTGCTGCTGAAATCTTCATTTTCTTGGGTAATTTCCACTATTTCATCAAGGAATAATTAATTGCATTGTCTTTAATCAATTGTTTGACAAATCCAGCAGCGGGAGGAATTCTCCCACCATCCCCGCAGCTGCTCTCCCCTCCTGGGTGAGGCGCCAGCTCATGCCAACAGGAGCGCTTGGCTGCCAGCGCTGGGGTGGGTGAGTGTAGAGGAGGGGCCCCCAGTTTCCCCAGCCTCCTGTGGGGGAGGGGAGCCCAGGCAGCCAGGAATCCACCCAGCAGCCACACGGGGAGCACCCAGCTGAGCTCAACTGTGAGCTCGGCCTCCTCAAAGCCCAGTCAGGTCGGCGGCGGTGGGGGGTGGGGGGATAGATCCCATTTAGCAGATGCAGAAGCTGAGGCTTGAGGAGGATCACAGGGACTGAGAGATGGAGAGGGACTCAGGTCTCTCGGGCTCTGAGACGCAAGACAGGGAAGATAAGATCCAAAACTGAATCTTAGAGATGGAGGCTGGTTACCAGTAACTGGTAACCGGGAGAGAGGAAAGAGGAGAAGGGAAGGACGTCCCCAGGCAGAGGGGGAAAGTGATAGTAGTAATAGCGAATGTTTTTATGGTACTCATGAAATGGCAGGTCCTGTTCTAAGTATTTTATCATCTCAATAACCCTGGGAGGTGGCCCCTCTTATAACCCCCGACTTACAGGTGAGGAAGCTGAGGCTCACAGAGGTTAAGTGATGTGCCCAAGGTCACACAACTAGTGAGGGGCGTAGCAGTTGTGCATTTATTCACGAACAGTGCTGCTTCCCCCAGCCACCCTGTGACAACAGACGAATCCTATTTCACTCGTGGAAAGCCCAGCCCCACTGTGGCCAACCACGTGCCCTCATGATCTCCCCTTCAAATGCCTCTTTCTCCTGTCCTTCCCACTGGCCCATTGCTCCAGCCTACTGATCTCCTTACTCTCCGCCCGCCCCAGGGCACTTGCTCCTCCTTCCAGGCTCTTCTTACAGGATTGCTCCCTGACTTTATTTACATATCTGCTCCAATGTCACCTTCCCAGGGGGACTCAGCCAGGCCCTCATCTCAATAAGTATCAGCCCTCCCTCTCCTTACGCTATTTTATTTGTCTTCCTGGTACTGATTCATGAATCTATCCATGGTGGGCGTTAGTGCTTTCTGCCAAATACGTCCTGCTCCCTATCTTCTGGGTATGAGTAGGACTGTACTTTCCCTCCCCTCAGAGATGAGTGTGACTTGTGATGGAAAGTGAAATAGGACAGACGTGTCCTGTATCATTTCCAGGGCTTCGGATGGGGCTTTTGGAACGATTGGGCCATTTGCCTTGTTCCCTGTTGTGGAAGTTGGGGATGGAGCCTCCTTCAGCCTGGGCCCTTAAATGAAGACAACATAGAGCAGACTCCCCTGCGGGGAACCCCCAAAGGGCATGCAATGTGAGCGAGAAACAATTTTTCATGGCTTTACACCACTGATCAAAAACATTGCCCATCTGACTGATCCATTACTTAATACATTCTCATTCATTTTTCTTTCTCCGTGAGAACAGGGGCTTTGCTGTGTTAGCCACCCTATCCCCAGTTCCTAGAGCATGGCCTGGCATGCAGTAGGTGACCAGTAGATATTTGTTGAATGAATGAATGAATGAAGATCATGTTCTCTTGTGCAGGACTTTGGCATTTACCAAGTTCCTACATCTATATTACTTTATCTTCCCTCCAGCACCATGATGTAAGAAATACTTCCATTTTATAGATTCTGGAGCTGAAACCCAGAGGGGTTAGTTGAGCTGTTCCTTGACATGCAGCTAATAGTGGAGGGACTTGAATCCACATGTCTTAGTTCACTGCTCCCCCTCCTGCCCCCATCCGTAAGGGGCCTGAGCTATTCCTGCATCCCCACCCGTACAGTGGTACTCTTCCCTTTTTCCCTTACACCAGGCATTTGGCCTCTGGTGGGAGTGTGTGGGAAGGGGTGTTTCCTTCATGTAGAACCCATAGGTCCAGAGTCTACCCCTTTCTCCTCCCTTGTGGAGTTACCTGCCCATGCATGGGGTCACCTGCCTGTAGGATTGCTCTGTTGATGAACATTTCACCCAATTGAACAACCCCTTCCCTTCCATCTCTTATCCCTGCACCTCTCATACCTGGAGTACAGCAGAGAATGGGAGGGTATGCAGAGCCCCTGCGCTCACGCCACGCTCCCCATGGGAAAGGCACTCCCAGATCTAAGTCCGGAATCATAACCCTTCCTTTCCACATGGCTCCATGAACTCGGTTATCTGGTGTTCCTGCCTCCAGTGGGTCAGGAATAATAATTAGAAGGATAAAGTGGGAACAAACACATGGGTACAGTGACAAGCTGAGACAGGAAGATCATAAAAACACGGAAAGACTGGAAGAACACGGACTTTGGGGCCATTTACTGCAGGGGCAAGGCAAGGGCTCTAAGCTCTTCAGTAAAGCAGGAAGCATCATTTACTGTAGCCCAGACATTAATTAAAGATCATCCCACAAGCTGCTTTCCTGGGAAGTTACTTGATCTCTGTAGCCTTGAGATCCCTCCACTACTGGATGATCTCCAAGGCTCCTTCACAAAAGCTCGGCATCTGTATTGACACAAATCATACAATCAGACAAGGTTAAGTCATGTCCCATGTACTGTTTTTAAAAAGCAGGGGAGTCTATAATACCTTTTAGCAATATATCCATTCAAAGTGGATTTTAAATGCATTGACTTTAAAGGTCAACCTAAAGGTCTTCCATTTTAAGAACTTGTATGGGCTTTGTATACTGGCCACTGAGCAAAGCACTGGCGATACAGAGAAAGACATATCCTGCTTTCGAGCTGTCAGTCTAGTGGGGTGCAAGGCATATAAACCGATCAGTGCAATCCAACAAGATGCAGTGGGGCCAAGAGAGATACTAGAGCTTTGTGGTGGATCAGAATGGCTGGGTCTTGACATATTGGTAGGAGTTTTCTGGGCAAAGAAGGGGAAGAATATTCAGATACAGAGAACAGTGTGAGCAAAGGCACAGAGGCATGAAAATCTCTTGTGTTCAGAAATTAGAGGTGGTTCAGTCTTAGTGGGATATTAGAGTTGAGACAAACAAAAACTAGAGATCAGGCTGGAGAGGTAACTGGGGGCAATGATAAAAGGTCTTAAATGCCAGTCCAAGGGGTTTGGACCTTATTCTGTAGGCAACAAGGGAGCCATGGAAGGCTCTAGAGCAGGAGCAACATGATCAGATCTATGTTTAATTTTAATTTTTATCTTTTTGAGACAGGGTCTTGCTCTGTTGCTCAGGCTGGAGTGCAGTGGCACGATCTTGGCTCAGTGCAGCCTCAGTCTCCAGGGCTCAAGCGATTCTTCTGACTCAGCCTCCTGAGTAGCTGGGACTACAGTGTGTGCCACCATGCCCCACTAATTTTCTTCTTTTTTTTTTTTTTTGTAGAGATAGTTTCACCATGTTGCCCAGACTGGTCTTGAACTCCTGGGCTGAGGCAATCTGCCTGCCTCAGCCTCTCAAAGTGCTGGGATTGCTGGGATTACAGGTGTGAGCCACTCTACCCAGCCCGGATCTATAGTTTAGAAAGTCCTCCCTCCAGCAGTCAGTGTGGAAGATGGATGGAGAAAAGATATTGGCTTGGGACTGCAGTCATCTGCAGGTTCACCTGGGTGAAAGCATCTGCTTCTAAGATGACTCATCACACACCTGCAGGCTGGAGCAGCTTGCTGGCAAGAAGCCTCATTTCCTTTCCACTGGGCTGCTTGAGTCTCCTCACAACATGGCAGCTGGCTTCCCCCAGAGAAAGTGATTTAAGAATGAGTGAGACGGAAGCCTCACTGTCCTTTTGCGACCTAGCCTAGGAAGCCACACTCTGTCACTTTCATAATATCCCATTGTGTACAAAGATCAGCTCTGTTCAATGACTACACAGGGATGCAACTACCAGGTGATGACAAGCACCGGGGACTTCTTGGAAGCTGCTACTACAGACAGAGGTCATCTTCTTCAACTCCTTTGTTTTTTGGATGAGGAAGCTGAGACCCAGAGATGGGTGGGGACTCACTCAGGGGCACGTAGCAAGTTTGGGCCATGACCAGGGCTACATGGTGGAGTCTACATAGGCCTGGGGGACTGGGATCTTCTTTCCTGGAAGGCCTAGAAGGAGGAGAGGCCCAGGCCAGGTGTGGTGGCTCATGCCTGTAATCCCAGCACTTTGGGAGGCCAAGGCGGGCAGATCACTGGAGGTCAGGAGTTCAAGACCAGCCTGGCCAACATGGTGAAACCCCATCTCTACTAAAAATACAGAAATTAGCCTGGCATGGTGGTGGGCACCTGTAGTCCCAGCTACTCAGGAGGCTGAGGCAGGAGAATCACTTGAACCTGGGAGGCAGAGGTTGCAGTGAGCCGAGATCGTGGCACTGAACTGCAGCCTGGGCCACAGAGCAAGACACTGTCTAAAAAAAGAAAGAAAGAAAGAAAGAAAAAGAAAAAAACAAGGAGAGGCCATCAGGAGGCGGATTCAGCCCCTGCTCACTTGGGAGGCTGAGGGACTGGCCAACCTCTCTGAGAGCTGGCTGGGGAGTGGGACCTCCTCCCTAGCCTGTCCCTGGAGTATGAGCACCAAGCCAGGGCTGCTTCCGCCTGACCTGGGCAGCATCTCCCACCCTCCCCACCATGCAGCTCTTTGGCTGTGCAGGTGTGGAGGAGGCACATCTTGCTGGTTCATCTCTCCACTCTTTATTTATTCAACAAGGTTTTACCAAAAATCTCCTATGTGTCTGGCATCTCCAGGACCAATGTTGGACATACATGTCCCTTGACTTCATGCATGAAACTTACCATCAAGTGGGGTAGACCAACAAAGACATAAAGACATATGTTTGTACAAATTGTGAAACGTGCCTGTAGGAGAATAACAAAAACACTTCATTTAGATGAGGTAGTTGGGGAATGTTCTCTGAGGCAGTGACATTTAGGTCTAGACCTGAAGAAGTCAGGCAGACAAAGAGTTTGGGTGACAGGGTGGGAAGGGTGTTCCAAGCACAGGGACCCCAGTGTGCAGAGTTGGCTAGGAGGGGTGAGTTGGGGCAGTGGACCTTCAGGGGTGCCCTGAGCGAGTTGGAGCAGGGCGAAGGGGCTGATGTGGAGAGGCCAGGGCCGGTCTGGGCTTGCCCTGCCACCAGGCTAACCTCAGTCTGCCTGCTGCATAGCAAGTGACCCCACGTGGCTCTGGAAAGGAAAACATGGGGAGTGGCATGCAGGCTGGACTGTCACCGAGATGGCCCTGAGCAGGACCCTTCGCCCTACAGGATGAACAGGCAGACCTTGCAAAGGACAGAGATAAGGCAGGTCTTTCAGCAGGCTGCTGCCAGGAAACTCGGGTGTGGGTGGAGGCAGGGGGCGTGGAAAGGGGACTGCATGGGAATTTGGGGCCCCAGAGCTCTGGTGGAGAGGAGACCCCAAAATGTCAGAGCCCTAGGATCATGAGCCTCCCCTGGGGAGCATCCCAATGCATTTCTTGTTCCCTGTGGCCTCAGGTGTGGGTGACGCCTGAGCTAAGCCAACTCTGGCACTGTCCTGCTGTGTGACCTCAAGGAAGCCTCTCTCTCTCTGAGCCTCAGTGCCCTTCACTGTCAAAAGGGCATTAAAATCCCCTTGCAGAAAGTTGTCAGGATCAAAAGATATAATGGATAGGAAAGGGTCTTAGTGGTTGAGAAGTGACCCTCCCAACCCCCACGAGGCTGCTGGGTTCATCGTTGCTAATGAACTGGTTGGGGGCTGGCTTGGACGCCCATTAGCCACTGCTCTGCCTCGGTGCCCCAGGCCAGCTGAGAGCAGGCAGGGGCTGCTCCCACCAGGGGGCTGTGGGGTTAAGTGGGAGCTAAGAGGATTAGAGGGTCCTTGTGAGTGGTGCAGCGTGATCATCTCCCACTCACCCTTGCCTCCAGCCTGGGCTGTCTACATATCTGGCTGCGGGGCCAAGGAAGAGGGATGGAGGGAGGAGGAGGGAAGGAATCAAAGGGAAGAGGGATTCAGAGGAGCCAGGGAGATCTGCTGCACCCCCACGTTCATGCACATGCACAAAAAGTACACGCACAAAAAATACACACACAACTACACACAAGAGCACATAAACACACACGTATGCAGTGTGCATATAGGTGTACTCGCAAGGATACACGCATGCATACATATTGCACACACATGCACATGAGTGTGTATGCAAGTACATATGCATGTGACAAGCATACAGCATACATGTGCACAGACACATGTGAGCACACATGCACATGCCCCGCACACCTGTGCATACTCACATGCATGTGTGGGTGTGCACAAACACACGTACACACTGGCCGGGTCATGCCCTCCCCCGCTACCCCAGTCTCTCACGCAGTTTGAGACCCAAGGCCTCACATGTCCCCAGGTCATAACTGCACTTCGGATGCTCCTTCAGTGTTACATCAATGACACACATAGCCTGTGACTTGCACAATGTCTCACAATGCTAGAAAGGGCCTGAGCCAGGATCTAAACTCATTTTGGAGGGTGGCGGGTGTGCCTGTATGGAGGGATGGAAGGTGAATCCAGGAGACCCCAAAGGGCTGCAGCCCCAGGAGCAGGAGGGGGCTGATGCTGGTAGAAAGAGATATTACACACCTGGCATGGAACTGCTCGGACATATGGTTACCAGTGCCCACCCCCCAGGCTGGCACATCACCTGCCCTCTGCTTCTCTCTCCTTTTAGCTCCCTGGACCCAGTCAGAGAGCTTCTAGCCAAGGGCCTGGTGTCTCATGAAGCGAACGGAGATCAGGCTGGCTGGGTGCCTGGTGCCCCTGAAGGAAGGAGGAAGGGAGCTGGCATCTGTGGAGGACCACTTCTGACCAAGACTGCCTAGTGAATGCTGGCCACTTTCATCTTGTTAAATTTTTAAGTGAAAGGTCAAGGGACTTGCAGGGTTCATGGGGCTGGAGCAGGACAAGGTGGGCCTTGACCTCAGGCATCCATCTCCATATAGCCATGGGCATGGCTGGACAGACATACAGGTTGGAGTGGCCTGGGCACAGCTGCCAACAGCAGCCCCCCCACCCAGCCCCGACTGCCACACTGCATGTGCTGTCCCTGCTGAGGCTGGGGGGAATGAGAAAGTGGAGTGAAGGCATGGAGAGGGCCTGGGTAAGGGGCTCGGGGCTGGACACCCTAGGCATAGCCACAGGTCCTTGAGCTCCAGAGTATCCTGGTGATGCCTGGGGCAGTTCTTGGGTCTCCCCCAAGAGACTGCTCTGGGGCAGGGTGAGCGAAGTCTCCCCCACTGGATGGCATGCTCTGAGGCTTCCTGGAGTTGTCCCCTGTGGCCTGCCAGGGGCCTGGCCGGTGCTGCAGCCTGAGATTTACAAGCCAGCCTGAAGGCGCAAACAATAAATCAAGCTTGAGTCTGGCCGTGGACTTGTCCTCCCACTGCCTTCCAGGCCTCTCACCTGCCATGTCCAAGCCAGGCACTAGAGCTGGGATGGGAGCATCGGGGAGGAGCCCTGGCCCAGCCTCCACCTTCCTGCTTCTCCCTGTGAGACCCTCTCTCTGGGTTTTCCAGGTACTGAGGCCTGGAGGTTAAGGGCTGGGGCTCTTGAAGCTGTCAGCCTGGGTCCAAGCACCAGAGCCCCTCTATTCCTGGTTGGGGAGCTTGTGCAGAGGCATAGCTCTGAGCATCCATTTATGGGGATAATGGTCACACCAGCACCAGGTGCCCTTGTGGGTTTGCTAAGGTGCTTAAAACAGGGCCTGGGAGGTAAGTTGCTCTTACCTGAGTCCCTAAAACAGAACAGAGGGACAAGGGTGTGGCTTTGCCTGTGCCCCAGGGTTTATCCCTCATTGTGTCTGTCCAAGTGCCTTGGGGAGAGGTCAGGGCAGCCCTTTCCCTAGAGGCTGCTGTGAATCACTGGGCTCAAAGCAGGGCCAGGACAGGGCTGACTGGGGAGGTGCTGGGAGGTGCCCCCAGCCACAGCCCTGCAGGCTCAGGGACAGGAACAGTGATAGAAACCAGCCTTTCCTGTCCCCTCTTCCCACTGTGGCTTTTCCTCCTCTGGACAACCCTATGAAGCAGATACTGTCCCTGTTTAAAGATGAGGTTGCTGATCTCATCCTTAGATGAGGGAGAAGAGGAGGTATGTGACTTGCCCAAGGTCACACAGCTCGTAAAAGGCAGGTGGAAATTTGAACCAGCCTCTCTGGGTTTTAGTGTCTCTCAAGAGCACACCAGGCCCAGTGGCTGGGACAGGACAGGACAGGGTGCTGGGAGTTGGTGAGGCCTGGCAAACCACAGGTGCTCACCAAGTATCATTCCCTCTGCCTTCGGAGGCTAGGGAGAGGGATGAAGGGTGCCTCTTCACTGCACAGGGGCCTGTAGGATGCCCAGCAGGGGCCCACCAGGGCTGAGTGGGGCGGGAGCTCAGGGAGGTTGGTGCCCCAGGTGAGTCCCAAGCCCTGCCCTGGAAGAGGCTCAGGAGATAAGCTGGGGCCCTAGGGCCGCATCTCCTAGCAACATGGCCTTGGGGACCCTGCCTGTCTGCCTCAGGTGCCCCAGGGAGCCCAGCTCAACCGCCATCCCCAGGTGTCTGGCTGAGGAACCTGCTGGGTGGGGGCGGAGCAGAGGGCGAGTGCCAAGCCTGGGCTTAGCCCCCAGGACAGGGAAAGAGGGTCCCCTCCTCCAGCCAAGGGTGAAGCTTCTGGGGTGTGGGGGGCTGTGGGGCTGAGAGGGGAGGGGTTTTCCTCTTCCCCTTCCAGCCGTCTCTCTGTGTCTGTCCCCATCTCTCTTCCTAGTGTGCTCCCTGCATCTGGGAGCTCTCCCTTCTCCCTTCCTCTGCCTCCTGCGGCCGCCCTCACTCCCCCACTTCTCCCTCAGGGTTCGGTTTCTCTGTCTGTCCGTCTATCTCTCTTCCTGTCCCACCCGTCTCTTCCGAATGTCTCTCCCACATCTCTCTCGTGCCCCCGCCCTGTTTCCCGTGTTGCTTTGCTCTGCCTCCCTCTGCCCCCCGCCCCCCTGGCTCTCTCCATCCCTTATGCTGAGGCCTCCCCACCCTCACACTTGTGGCTTCCCCTGTCTCCTGCAGCCTTCAGGGAGCCAGGGAGGCAGCGTAGGTGCTGGTACCCCAGCCTCGGTTGGGAGTCATACCACGGATGCTTAGGGGGTGTGCAGGGAAGCCAGCCTGAACAGGAAGACAAAAATTCACTCATGACCTGGGGCTGATCTTGCCTTCTCTTGGGCCTCAGTTTCCCCATCTGTGAAATGGGTCTAATGGCTTTGGTAGGAAGTATCCGTGTTCTCTAGGCTGTTGTGGATCACAGGCTGTGATAGAAATGGACAGAATGTCAGGCTGAGGTGGTGTAGGGCATCTTCTGGAGAAAGGGCTGTGGTGGTGGAAGCCCTTCTGGAGGATGGAGGCTCATCCTTGTCCTTCTGGCCGGCAGGCTTTGGCTGGCACTGCCCTCCTCCCTCAGGAGTGGTCTTCCTGGGGTGAGTCAGGGAGGCCTTGGCGCACTTGGCTGCATCATGGTGCCCTCTGGTGGCATGCGGCAGAAACTGCTGCCACATTTTGCTCTGCCCTCTGGTCCTGGGCGGGTGTGGACTCCAGGGCTTGCTGAGTGACCCTGGGCCCTGGGAATGCCAGTAGGAGCTAAACTCTACTGTGCACTAGGTGAGTGCCAGGCTTCTCTGCACCACAACTGCTTCTGTGCACTCTCCTATTTCGTCTTCACCCTGCCCCACTATTATCCCCATCTTACAGATGGGAAAGTTGAGACCCAGGGTTTTAACCCAGGCAGTTGGCTCCACAGCCAGCACTCTTGACACCACACTTGGAATTCTGCCTCTAAAATGACTCCAGCAGATGCTACAATCCCACTATCAGTGAAGACCCATTCTTTGGGGCTATTTATTTGTCTAACAAATATGTATTTACACTTGCTATTTTCAGAGCCAAAGGAGCTCACAGAATGCACTTAGCCTGATTGTGTCACTTTACAGATGGTGAAACTGAGACCCAGAGAGGGGGAGTGACTGTCCCATGGTCACATGTGTGAGTATGAGGGTGTATGGTAGGACTAATGGATGGCAGTGCGATTGTCAAGCCCAGCATGTGTGAGGCAGTGTGGGACGGGCATAGGAGACAAAACACGATGAGTGCAGTGTTCTGGGGTGAGGGAGGCCACAGTGGGTAGGAGCTAGGGGCCACCCCACCCTAAGTGGGAAGCACCGCTGGAGGAAATGCATGGGGCAAGGGTGGGTGTGAGCTTGGATATGGGCGTGGCTGGGGTCAGTGTCTGAGCTGTGTGAGGGAGAAAGCGGAAGGGAAATGTCTAGGAGCCAGTGGGAGCCACTGGAGGGGGCCACAGTTTCCCAGCACCTGCCTGGTGCCAGGCAATGCAAGGAGTAGGACAGCCTGTCCTCATGGAGCCTGCATTCCAGGGGCTGAAAGCACAGATCACTCCAGAAACAGGCCTCTCACATCCCATCCATGGTGATGGACTCAGAACAGTGTGGGAGGCAAGGCAAGGGGTCTTGATGGGAGCTCCCTGGGGTGAGTGAAACGGTCTAGAGCTTAGCCTGGGGGGTAGTGACCCGGAGGGTTCAGAGGTAGAAATACATCGAGCTGTTCACTTCAAAATAGTGCCCCTTACTGTATGCAAATCTTACCTCAATTAAAAAAGAAGAAAACAAAAAAACCTAGCCTTCTGCTTTGGGTGGGAGGGAAAGTGGGAGTGGCCAGTAATTGTGGCCTGGGTGGAGAGGACCTAGACAGAGAGGTGCTGGCAGAGAATTCTACGGAAAGTTTGCTGGTGGGAGTGAAAGCTGGAACTCGGCTCTAGGTTTCTGAGGAGCCCCAGGGGATGAAGCTGCAAAGATGTGGGGAGGCTCAGGGATCCTGGGGCATCCCATCTCTGGAAGAGCCTCCCCTCTGCAGAAGTGGCAAGAAGCCCTCCGAGAGTGTGGGTCTGGGATGCTTTTTGTCAAATCTGCAGGTGCCTGGGTCCGCAGTCTACTCCTCTGCTGGGGGTGGAGGGGATCCCCTAGATCTACATTTTCACACATTCCCAGGGTAATTTTGACACTGTCAGCTGCACACCAGTATTAGGAAATCACAGCCTGAGGTTCCTTCCAAGCCCTGGCTTCTGTGAATCCAGATTCTGAGATTTCCTGCACTGGAAAGTCATTTTAGCTAGGCCAGCACTGCCACCGCTGGCCATGGCGAGGCTGAGTCCCAGGGAGGGGAAGTGACGTGCCCATGGACTCACAGCCAGCTTGCATCCAGAGCTGTAACCGGAACCCTGCCTAGGCTGCCAGGCCAGGCTCCCAGCCCCGGCCCGGTCAACTTTGTCATGCCCAAGGAATTCCCAGCTGTCAGAGATGGGCGGGGACCGTAGGCAATGGCAGGGAGCCTGGCAGCTGTAGGTGGGCCCCACCCACCCTCCAGGTGCCCCAGGTCTCCCGGGTTGGTTGGGGGCCATCTCAGGCTGTTGGCTGCTCGGGGCTCAGGCCCACCTCCTGCCTCTGTGGCCCCAAATAGAGCTCCTGGGGGCACTTGGCCACCAGGGGAGGAGAGCAGAACCCTGACTCTGTTCCTAGCAGGGGGAGGACCTGTTGAGTCCTGTCATGTGGGAGTGCCACCCCAAACTCCTGCCTGCAGAACCTCATTGGGATGCTGGTGGCACAGGCTGAGCCGGCAAGGTCACTGGAGAACAGAGCGAGGGTGAGGGCGTCCACCGCCAGCCTGGCACTGCCCCCACTGGCGCCTGTTGGGTCTGAACCTCTGCCTAAGGCAGTTGCTTGCACCTGGCCTCACCTCTGCCAGGGCGTCCTCTGCCAATGACAGCCCTCCCTTCTGTTTTCTCTCCTCCTTCCCTTCTCTACCCCTCCCTCTTCCTTTTCTTGCCTACAGGATTGGGGCCCCATCTACTCCTCTTCCATCCTGAGCCCTTTGGAGACAAGCCGACCTGGTTTGAGCCCCAGCTCCTGCTCCTTCTGCTGCTTAGCTCTGTGACCTTTGGCAAGTTGCTAAACCTCTCTGAGTCTCAGTTTACTTATCTGCAGAATGGGGGGTAATAGATCCTATCTCATGAAGGGCTCGTGAGGATCTTTAAACTGTCTAACCTTGGTTGGGCACTTACTCTGTGCCAGGCACTGTGTGTGTGTTTTACCTGAGTTATCATCCTCATTTTATAGACAGGCAAAATGAGGCTCAGAGAGAGGGGGCAGGCTTGTTCCTGGTTGCTCAGCTGTACGTGCAGAGTTGGGCTTTCTGGATCTAAGATCTATGTTCTTCCCTAGGCAGGTTGGCACTGAGGGAGCAGGCAGGGCCATGGGCAGAGCTGTGACCTCACCACATAGGGAGGTGCTGGGCCTGGGTCACATGCGTAGAGAGATTACGATCCTGGGTGTTGTGAGTCAGGTATCGTCTCCATCTGTAGAATGAGGAAAGTTGTAACCATCCCTAGGTGCGATACCTGAGACTGGATCCAGCTTCCTGCAGTCTCCCTTGTCCAAAGCAGGGACTCTTGAGTTCCGTCAGTAGAAGGGGAGCATGACTCTGTCTTATGGAGACAGTCATACATAGCAAATGTTGACTGTAACCACTATCACAAGTCCTGAGATCTTTGCCTGAGGGATGAAAATGGGGGCGCACAGAATTTTAAGTCCTCACTTAAGGACTTGAACTTACCCCTCCTGAGTAGTACATAGTAGCCCCATCTCCAGAGGAAGAAACTGCTGCTCAGAGTGAGGCCCAGCTTTGTCCCAATCACACAGCCCAGTGGTGGGCAAGGTCCTGCCCCCTCCCAGCAGGCCTCAGAGGGAAGGCCAGGCTGGCTCTCTCCCCATCAGCGGCCGCCTTCATTAGCATTCCGAGGTGCACTGCCCAAGTTGCCATTATGTGGTTGGGTAGATTCACATCTGTAGGTTCTAATTCACCCTAATTGACCCTGCAGGGAATCTTCCAAACTCCTGGGTTTTTACAGCTTCTTGGAGTTTTATTTTGGCTTTTGAAAAATAGTGCATTCATGCCAAACACACAGGGCTATAAATCGATGCTGCTCTGATTGATAAAGTATAAAAAGGCCAGCATGCTGCGTGGCCAGGCCCTGGGTTGTCTGTGTATGTGTACATGCATGCATGTATGTATATGTTTGTATATATGTGTGGGTATATATGTGTGTGTCATAGCAACACATAGAAGCTGGCCTTCATTGAGCATTTCTGCGTTGAGCTCTGTGCTAAGCACTTCACAGGCATTAAATACAATCGCCCAGGGTCCAGCTGCTACTAATTGTCTGATCCAGAGCCCAGCTTGGCCAGGAATAAGAAGGTCAGGGCAGAGTCAGTGAGCTCATTTTGGTTGTGGCAAGTCTGAGGTTCTTCTGGGATATTCAGGGGAGGGAGCCTGGTAAGCTCTGAGGCTTACCTGCTATTTCACTTCAAGCAAATCGGTTACCCTCTTTGTGCCTCAGTATCCCTTCTACAAAATGGGGATAATCAATCACAGTACCTACTTCACAGGGTTGTTGTCAGGCTGTCTGCCTCTTGGTCAGGGTGAGAATGGAAAAGCACTCCCTGTATTTAACAACAATGTGTTGAGTGACTCAGTAAGAACCATTTTGGTGGAATACGGGGTGGACAGCAGCAGGCCTGGGAAGCAGACGGCAGGTGCAAGAGTGAGACTGGTCATAAAGGTAACCCTGGAATATGTTTTGCTGGGAAGGGGGAAGAAAGATGGGTCCTGGTTGGAGCCAAGTGTAGGGCTTCAGAAGGGTTTTTTTTTTTTTCTTGTTTGTTTGTTTTTTGAGATGGGGAGTCTTGCTCTGTCGCCCAGGCTGGAGTGCAGTGGTGCCATCTCAGCTCACTGCAACCTCTGCCTCTAGGTTCAAGTGACTCTCCTGCCTCAGCCTCCCAAGTAGCTGGGATTACAGGCACCCGCCACCACGCCCAGCTAATTTTTGTATTTTTAGTAGAGATGAGGTTTCATCATGTCGACCAGGCTGATCTTGATCCCGCCCACCTCGGCCTCCCGAAGTTCTGAGAGTGCCTGAGCCAGGCTGAGGTGCAGTGGTGCCATCTTGGCTCAATGCAGCCTCAATCTCCTGGGCTCAAGCGATCCTCCTGCCTCAGCCTCCTGAGTAGCTGGTACTACAGGCAGCTGGGACTATAGGCATATGCCACCACGCCCGGCTAATGTTTTTGATTTTTAGTAGAGATGAAGTCTCGTTTTGTTGCCCAGGCTAGAGCATGTTTCTTGATGCAGGGAAAGAGAAGGTGAAGAAGGGGGATAGATGGGAGGAGGGAAGGGTGGAGTCCAGGGCTCAGGGCACAGATGGGCTCCTCGGGGAGGGCCGGCTGGTTTATCCCATGGTTGCATCTTTGCAGAGTGGCAGGGAGACTTTTGCAGGGTGGGTGCCCAAGACTATCGCTATAGAAAGGCTCCTTGGGGTCCAGGTTGGAGAGGGAGGGAAGTGCCCCCAGGAGGAGAAGGAAGGTGCTGTGATGAGGTCAGAGAGCGAAGGAGGGCTAAGTGAAGGAGGGCCATGGATACAGGCCAATATGGGGTTGGGAGGATATGGGGTGGGGGAGGTAGTTCTGAGTGAGGATACCCAGGCCATGGCATGGGTGGGGTTGGCTGGGCCAAGTACAAAAGAGGGAGAGAGTTGTTGGTGATGAGGGAGAAGTAGGGGGTTGGCCAGGTCGTCAGGGGTCCAGGGAACTCCCAGGATGAAGGCAGGTGTTGGTGGAGAAGGCCAAGTCAGGCCTCAGGTCCTGGGGGCGTGGAGGTGTGGAGGGAGGCGCGGGGAAGTGGAGGAGGTGGCTGAGGGACGGGGAGAGGGAGGGCGGGGCTGAGGATGAGGGGTTCTTGCCCCAAAGTGGTGGCAGGGTGTCCTGGCTTGCAGCTTGAAGGGTTTTTATATTTTTGGCTTCTTGATGGGAATCTGGAATTAGTGATGGAATTGTGTCATGGATCAGGATTCTGTATTCACAGGGCCCTTAATGGCCCACGTTGCCCTGAATGAGTCCCCTGCTGTCTTGTCTGACTTCTCCTCTGGGTGAAGTCTACGGGGCTGGGCTATGTTGTCATTTACCTCTGCCGCCACCGAGCAGGCGAGAAAACCGCATCGGATGAACAGTTGGAGAGACGTGGCTAGGAGCTCCTTCCTGGAAAACAGTCTCCAGGAGATGTAGCATGGTGAGGGGATTGTGGGTTCCCAGGGCCAAAGTGTTCCAACCAGAAGCTGTGTGGCCTCTGGCAAGTTCTTTTCTTCCTTCTCTGTAACCCAGGGCACAGTGATGCTTCATGAGAGCGTAAAGTGTGTGGCAGTGGGTTCCTTCTTGTTAGTGATTACTATTACTCAGTGCTGACCAGAGAGAGGCCTGGTCTCTGTGGCAGAGGGGGTCCCTGGAGGGGCCCAGGACCAGGGTTTTGTCCCTGCTCTGAGCACTTGGGTGCTGGTAACGCCACAGGTTGTTTCTGGTGCTTTCTCCAAAGCTCTGTGGCAGACAGAACCAGGGGCATCACTGGCTCCATGCCTACCAGCTGTGTGACCTGGGCAAATCCCTGTAGGCACAGAGCTGCCTCCTTACTTGTAAAACACTGATTATTAATAATACCTCCTTCACTTCATTCATTCATGTGTGTACTCAGCAAATATTTCCTGAAGCAAGGTAGTGCTGCCATCAGATGAAAAGAGATGAAGAGTGGCTAAGGGGTTGCCTGGGGGCACACACAGGTAGTCTGCCCCCTCCCGCAAGATTCAGCTCCAGTTCAACCCCAACTACTCTCAGCCCCTGAACCCCACCTGGAGGCCTCTTGGCCGCGGCTCCCTGCTGGTTGAAGCTCAGATGCCCTCTTGTGGCCGCGGCCCCCTCGCACGTCGCCCTGCGCCCGGGGACCGGAATCCCCGACAAGGGGTGGTCAGCTCAGCGGCAGCACTGGACCCTCTACCTGCCCCCGCCCCCCGATTGTACGGAAGTCTGCAGCGTGTCTCAGGCCACACTGCGAGTTGGGGGTGGCCCTGGCCGCCAGCCTGGTGTCCTTGCCTGGAGGAAATGCGAGGTGTCAGATGACCCTGCCCGCCCTGCCCCTCCCAGGCCACCCTCGCAGAGGACGCCTCTCCCTGGCAGGACACCCTAGGGCCGTCTGGGCCCAGCATGCCCGCTGGCTCGTGAGCTGGCCCTGGAAACTAGCGGCTGGCGCAAGTGGGCGTTCGGCGGCACTGCTGGCTGCCAGCTGCCAGCCCCACACCCCACAGGCCCCTGCCTGGCCAGCCCCGGTGCACTCCTGGGATGTCCCCTGCAGGCCCAAGTGTCTCAGGCCCAGCCGCTGCCTCGGGGCTGTGTGCCGCTGGCAGGACACACAGCCTCCCGAGCTCAAAAAGCGGCTCTGCCCTTTCTTCTTAGGTTCAGGCTAAGGCCGGCTGTGCCGGAGGGGCACAACACCTGAGTGGAGATGAGCAGCCCAGGGGCGCCCTGCTGGCCCGCACCCTGCCCAGACCACATGAAGGCGAAGAGGTTGCTGAGTGAGTGGCGGGGGTGTGGGATGGAATTGTGTACGTGGTGTGGTGTGTGTGTGGCGTGTGTTGGTGCGTGTGTGGTGTGTGATGTGTGGTCTATATCTGTGTATGTGGTGTCTCTGTGTAGTGTATATCCATGTATGTGGTGTGTCTGTGTGTGGTGTGTGTGTGCATGTGTGTTTTGTGTGTGTGCTGTGGTGTGTCTGTGTGTGTTGTGTGGGTGTGGTGTGCCCTATGTGTAGTATGTGTGATGTGTGTGTGGTATGTCTGCGTGGTGTGTGTACATGTGTGTTGTGTGTTATGTGCGTGTGTGTGGTATGTGTGGCATATAGCTATTTGTGGTATATGTGGTGTGTGTGGTGTGTGTGTGTGGTGTGTGTGTGCGCACGTGTGTTGTGTATGTGCATGTGTGTTGTGTATATCTATGTATGCTATGTGCTGTGTGTGTCTGTGTGTGGTATGTCTGTGTGGTGTGTGTACATGTGTGTTGTGTGTGTTATGTGCGTGTGTGTGGTATGTATGACGTATAGCTATGTGTGGTATGTGTGGTATGTGTGGTGTGTGTGGTGTGTGTGTGCATGTGTGTTGTGTATGTGTGGGTGTGTGGTGTGGTGTATATCTATGTGTAGTAAGTGTGGTGTGTGTGTCTGTGTGTGGTGTGTCTGTGCATGTGTTGTGTGTGTGGTGTGATGTATATGTGTGGTGTGTGTGTCTGTGTGTGGTGTGTCTGTGTGTATTATGTTATGTATGTTGTGTGTGTGGTGGGTGTGGTGTGGTGTGTGTGTGCATGTGTATTGTGTGTGTGATGTGGTGTATCTGCATGTGTTGTGTGTGTGGTGTGGTGTATATCTATGTGTGGTAGGTGTGGTGTGTGTGTCTGTGTGTGTCTGTGTGTGGCGTGTCTGTGCATGTGTGGTGTGGGTGTGTGTGGTGTTTGGTGTGGTGTATAGATATGTGTGGTGTGTGTGTGCATGTGTGTTATGTGTGTATGTGTGGTATGTATGCATGCATGTATGTATGTGTGTGCATGTATGTGTGTGTATGTGTGTATATGTTTGCGTGAATATATATCTGTGTATGCAGGCATGTGTTTGTATATGTTTGTGCAAGCGTGTGTGCTAGTATGTGTGTGTGCACTTGCTGTGTACATATGTGTATGTGTGTTTGTGTGCATGTGTGTGTGCATATGTGTATATGTGTTGGTGTATATGCGTGTGTATGTGTGTGTATGTGTATATGTGTCTATATTGTGTTTATGTATGTGTGTATTTGTGTATGTGTTTGTGTATATGTGTATGTATATAGGTGTGTGTATAGATGTGTGTATGCATATGTATATGTCTGTGTATATGTGCATGTATTGTACATATGCATATGTGTATACGTGTATGTGTGTAGGTGTTTGTATATTTGTGTGTTTGTATATGTGTCTGTATTGCATCTGTGTATGTGTGTGTATATGTGTGTCTGTGTATGTGTGTGTGTGTATTGTGTATGTGCATGTATGTATATAGCTATATGTATAGGTAGCTATATGTTTATGTATATAGCTGTGTGTATAGATTGTGTATGCACATGTATATGTCTGTGTATATGTGTGTAGGTATATGTGTATAAATGTGTGCGTATGTGGGTGTGGGTGTATGTGTGTGTATGTGTGTGTATGTGTGTGCTAGCAGGGGATATGCTGAGCAGGGAAACATGACAAGGACCTGGCAGCAGTCCCAAGGGGTGATAGTGGTGGCCTGGATTCTGGTGGGCTGGGGGTGAGGAGCGGATGGATTCCGAGAGTTCGGAGGGGCTTGGGCAGGACTGGGTGGTGGTTTGGAAGTGAGTTCGGAGGGGCTTGGGCAGGACTGGGTGGTGGTTTGGATGTGAGTTGGGAGGGGCTTGGGCAGGACTGGGTGGTGGTTTGGATGTGAGTTCAGAGGGGCTTGGGCAGGACTGGGTGGTGGTTTGCATGTGAGTTCGGAGGGGCTTGGGCAGGACTGGGTGGTAGTTTGGATGTGAGTTGGGAGGGGCTTGGACAGGACTGGGTGGTGGTTTGGATGTGAGTTGGGAGGGGCTTGGGCAGGACTGGGTGGTGGTTTGGATGTAGGAGGTGGGCAGGAGGAGGCAGCAAGTGTCTGCTGTGGGAACCCGGGTAGTTGACGGGGGCTCATTCTCTGAGGTGGGAGAGAGGAGCAGACGGGGAAGGCAGTGAGTTCAGCCCTGTACCCGACATGTGGGGCAGAGCTCCTGCTTTCTGGGGGTTCTGTGGCCTTCTCTGAGTGACGCCCACACATGCACATACACACCTACTTCCCCCAGTGCACCTGGGCTATTCCCCAGCTTGGCAGCTGATGGGAAGAATCAGAAAGGGTCTGGAGGGCAGTGGCTGCATCCTGCTTCAGCCCGAGCTCTACCTTGACCAGTAAGTCCTGAGCCCCGGCCATTTCCGGGCTGTCCCCGGGCCTGGTGGGAGGAGGAAGACATGGCCACCATTCTATTAGAGGCCTGGCTGTGGCCAAGCTCTCTGAGGGACAGGAGCCTGTAGCACTGGACTTGGTGGCCCAAGCCCCCGCCACCGGTGGACAGACGTGTACCTCAGAATCCAGAACTCAGGTCCCAGCACTCTGTTCTAGCATTTGAGGCAGCCTCATCCTAAAGCCTGGAGTCCCTCCTCACCTCAGCCTTGGGCCCCTCTGGCTGGATCGCAGGGTGCTAGCGTCTTCCTCTTGGCAGAAGGCCAATGGAACCCCAAGAGGCGCTCTCTCTGCCCCCTCTTTTCAGCCTCTCTAAGTGTCCCTCCTCCATGCCCACTGCAGAGCAGCCCCCGTCTGATTTGCTGGGTCATCCTTGTCCCCTTGGAGCCTCAGTTTCCTCACCTGTCCATGGCAGAGCCATAGTGGGGGAAGTCCCCATGATGAGGAAGGGGCACATTCCTCAGAACAGGGGCATCTCTTGTCCTCCTGTCGGGGTCCCTGCCTGCAGTGTGGGGGGCCGCCTATGAGAAGGCTCTGTGGGCCCCTCCTCTGGGGCCCTCCCTGGCAGGCGGCCAGCAGTTCTTCTAGGCTGAATGAGTTATTTTGAAGCCAATGTGGGAGGTGGATTAATGAGCAGTTGGCTCTGGAACTGTGATCGGTGCCAGCCCCCAGCTCCCACCCTTGTGCCCACTGGCTCTGGAAATGCCACCGAGCATGGGCCTCCCTCCCCAGGGCTGAGCAGCAAGAGGCAGGCTAGGAGGCCCACTGTCCTGTCTCACCCATCTCCCATCCTCAGGCCTCCGGGGCAGGAAGGGGCGTGTGGTGGTTCTTCTCAGGTCAAGCCGAGCTCCTAGCGGGCCATCCTTGAGAGTCCCCAGCAGGACTTCGAGGCCCCTCCGAGGCTGCCCCAGTTCTCTGCTCTGGGCACAGTGCGTTGGTTGTCCAACATTCCTGTGAATCTTTAGCAGCAACAAAAGTTCGGAGCCCTTGCCTGCCACAGCCAGCCGCATTCCAAGAGGGACATGCAGCTGGGGTTCCTGCTCCCATTTAGCACATGAGGAGCAGGCGCAGCCAGTCACACAGCCAGGGGGTGGGGGAGTCCAGGAACCCATCTCCTGTGCGTGCCCGTCTACCATGACGCTCCCTCAAGCCACAAATGCTCCCTCCTCCCTCTCTCTCCCCGCCTCCCCGTCCTCCTCCTCTCACTCCTTCCTCTGTGGCCCTCATGCTTGCTCTGTCCCCCTTCTGATGACCCCAAATCCTTTCCACCCTCTTCCCAGGGTTTCCTCCCCATTGGGCCATGACCTCCACAAAAGCAGTGGCACAACAGACCCATCTCAGTCACCCCAGCATCCAGCACAGGGCTGGTCACAGCAGCATCCACAACTGTCCACTGTCCACTGAGTGACCAAGTGAATGAATGTGTGCAGCCCAGTGCGACCCGGAGCTCCCTTCCAAGCAATCTGTTCCTCCGGCTTGCATGCCTCTGGCTGTGGGAAGCTCACTTCCTTATGAAGAATCCGTTTCCACCTTTAGATGGTTCTGTCCATCTGGAAGGCTGGCCTTATGGTGAGCTGGAAGCTGCCCCTCTGGAGCTGCCCACATGAGCCACACAGAACAGACCTGCTGTCTTTCCCCACTTCATCCTTTCATCAAAACCCCACTGCTTTGTGCTCCAGGCTGAGCGGTGGAGATCTGGCTCCTGCCCACTAGCCTGGGTCACCACATCCCGGCCCCTGGCTTCTTTGCTGTTTCTCGTGCACATCATGCCTGATTCCCCGCCCAGCACCTTTGCACCCCTAGTCTTGGTGGGCCCCTTCTCCTCCATCAAATCTCCGCCCAAACATGTCCTCTCCAGCGGAAGTCAGCCCTTCCCTTGTTCTGTTGCGTCCTCCTGTTTATTTCCTTCACTTGCCAGCTCATCTCAGCTTAGCTCATCTTACTTCCTTAATTTGCAGTCTTTATTTCCAGCCACCATGAGAACAGAAGGTCTCTGGAGTGGGGACCTCATCTCTAACCCTGGAGCCTTCCACAGGGCCTGGTACACAGGCATTAATAACTGTGTGCCCAATGACATCATCCCCATCCCCATCACCATTCTCTTCATAGAGGCAGAAGAGCCATGAAGCGGCTAAAAACCAGGCCTCTGGGCCATACTGTCGGGCGCTGGGGCTGAATCCGGGACTCAACCAGTGTTTCCAAGCAGCCTCAGAGATAGAAGCAGGCAGGGCTGAGAACGCTGATTCCCCACTGCTCAAGCAGGCATCTTGATTTTGCCCAGAATTTAGGCTTTTTCTCTTAAATCTTTCTCATTCCCCTGTAAACACAGAATCCCTTCAGGATCTGCAGGGGAAAGGAAATTCATGTATAATGAACATCTCCTGTGTGCCTCGTGAGTTTGTTTGCTCTTCCTAACAACCCCATGATTGAAGCCCCTGCTTTACACATGAGGAGCCTGAGGCTCCTCAGAGAGGCTGATGCACTTGTTCAAGGACACACAGCTGGGAGAGATGAACCTGGGACTGCACCTCAGTGCTGTGCGACCCCAGGATCTTGGGGTTTGGAACTGGAGGAGTTCTGTGGAAGTTGGAGCCAGCATGTTCTGTAGAGCCAGAAACAGGCTTTGGCTGCCCCTGAAGCCTGATCCAAAGGTAGCGAGTTCCTCCACTGGAGGATACCAACAACATGCCGAGTAAGCTACCACGAAGCCTGTGCAGTTGACACGTGTTGGCTCCGTTCCAACAACTTTAGGAGGAGGGAACCATGCTCAGCCCTATTTACCCTGAAGAAATGAAGACTGAGAAGTCAGTGGAAGGCTCTGGGACAGAGTGGAATGAATATGCAGTGGAAGTAGTCATTACAGCAGTTCCAATGCGTGCGTCACTGCTTACGTGGGACACCGCAGTGGTGTAGCCAACCCTGGGCTCAGGGTGCTGCAAACAACACTCCACTTAATGTTTACAGCAACCCAAGGAAAGCCAGTGCCATTATTGTAGCCATTCTCCAGATGTAGAAATGGGTTCAGAAAGGTTAAGTAATTTGCACAAGGTTACACAGCTTGTCAGTGGCAAAAAAATGACAGTCACATGACCGACTTCAAGCCCCACGAGAAATCCCCAGCCGATGGGGCTGCTGCTTCTGAGATGAAGCAACTGTGAGCCTCTGTCAGGGTCAGGAGCCCCAGTCCTCTTTCTAGGGCCACTTGTGACGTCCCCATCCTTGTGGGCCTCAGCAGAAGGGAGAGTATCCCTGGGGATGTCCTCTGGCCATTTCAAGGACAAATTGTAGAAGGCTCTCGGTTTGAGGGGCCATCTTTCCTGTGACCGTCTCTGGCTCTCACAGGTGCAAAGAATCACCCTTTCAAGAGGGTCTTTGGATCTAGAACCTTCCACACTCCTCTCCCATCTGATCAGCCATACCACTCTGAAAAAGCAATCTGAAGGAAATATTTTAAAATTTGAGAACAGCTTTTGGCACAAAGGTATGCATCACAGCTTTGTGCAGAATAGCAGGAAACAATTTTCAGATTGTGAGCCATGGGATCAGCCTCTTGGAGGAGAAAGAACTTAGAATGAAAGGGAAATGCTCATGAAATCTTACATGTACTGAGCAGGAGACGACAGAGCACCATCTAAAGCACAGGGGTAAGCAAAGGAACAAAAGGATGTCAGCGAATGTCGAGGACGCTTGGGGTGAGACAGAGCTGGGGACTTTTCTATGTTTTTTCCTTATTGTCATATTTACCAAGTTTATTTAAACAAGCATTACTTTTATAGTGGGTCAGTGGGGAGAGAGATAGAGAGACCTCTATTTTATGCAACTAAAACCGAAACTGCTTCTGGATGCAGACAAGAACCAGGTGTGCCACCATGGCCAGGGTGCAGGCTCTCCCACTGCCAGATCCTGTGAGGCTGACAGATGTTGAATTTTCTAATGCTGCCCTTCTCTGAGGAACACTGGACATCTCAGTTAAAAATGTTGTACCTGGGTTGCCAGAAATTCTTTCCAAAGCACTTACAGTCTTACCTCAGGCTTGGCTGTGGGGCGTCTTGGCAGTTCTTTTGCCTGCAACTCTTGCACGTATTTTCCAAAGCACAGAATCGTTTTTAGTGGAAGTAGTAGCTTTCCCCTATAGGATCTTCAGCGCAAGGGCTGGGGAAAAGGTGGGCAGTGGGTGTGGCATTTCAGCTGGCTGATGTCCATATTCACATGAAGGGAGTTCATCTGATCCAATGGGCTTGACCAGGGAATTTAATTATTATTTGGGTGTACCAGGGCTGAGGGCCCTTTCCAAGCCAGGCCAAGTCTGCAATGTCCCCTGTGGCCAGGGGAGCCCCGAAGGTCCAGAGACCAAGGAAGGAGCCCAGAGCAGGCCAGGGTAGCCCCTGGTCCTGGGTCTCTTGTGCCCCCAGATGCTGTTTCTCCCCAGCTGGAGCTGGTCTGCTGAGGGCCTTCAGGAATCCTCCAGGGGTGCCCAGCACATCAAGAGAGCATCTCACTCTGGGCGCCTGTGTCCTTAATCTTCATGGGACCATGCCCGTGAGAAGGTGGAGGACCCTTCAGCACAGCCGCTGCCTGCCCCTGGGTGGGGGCTGATCCTGAGGGTGGGTCTTTGGAATGGAGCAAGTAGAGGTGAGGAGTGAGGGGGAAGGGGGTGTGCTCTATCCTGTGCTTTGTGATGAACTCCTAGCCCCATCCGAGGGAGGTGAAAACTGAGGCTTGGTACAAGAGACTTTCCCAAGATCATCCAATCTGCAGCAGAGCCAGAAACCCAGGACATGAGGTTTCTCAGGGGGCATCAGGACCCCCAAGTGCTCACTGTGGAAGGTTCTTCCAAAGCCTCCTTCTGGTCCTAGATGGGCCCATCATAGAGAAGGAATAGTGAGTCAGCTCTAGGCAGTGTGTACACTGGAAAGAACATGGGCTCTGGAATCAGATAAACTCGGTTTCTACTGTGTGATCTTGGGTAAGTCACTTAACGTCTCTGAGCCTTCCATTTTCTGTAGCTGGACACCAATACCAACCTCATGGGGTTAGTTTGAAGCAAAGGAGCTTTCCTGGGAATGACAGGGAAAGAGAAGTCATTGACACCAGGGGATACTCAGCCGGTCTCAATGCAGGACAGATGCTCCCAGGACACACCAGCGGGAGGTGCCCCCTGCCGGGGTCTGGAGGGCAGGACCAGCATGCCTCCTCCCCTGAAACCTCTGCGCCTGACATTGCCTGGCACGAGGCAGGGGCTTGATAAGTGTCCGCTGGTCAAATGGAGCGGATCTGGCAAGGGGCCAGCCCCATTCCTGGTGTTCTCCCTGCCTTCCTGGCTCTGGAGCCCCCTCCTGCTCCGAAGGCTCCGCTCTGCCATAAGCCAGGTCCCTACCCTGCCCTGTGTGGCTCAGGAGACGTGGACATCCCCGAGCTGGTCCAGATGCCTGCACCCCTGCTTTGCTCCTGGGGGAGGACTTTGCCTGTTTCTCATGGACGCTTACACCGTGCCAGAGGCTGGGCCTCACCTGCACGATCCCGTTAATGCCTCGCAACCCCACAGGGCAAGCGCCTTGAGGATCTTCACTCTACAGAGGTGGCAGCTGGAGCTTTGGAGGAAAGGAGTTGCTGCTGCGGACTGAATTGTGCCCCTGCTGCCCCCACATTCATATATGGAAGCTCTAACCCTCTATGTGACTATATGTGGGACGCGGTCTTTAGGAGGTAATGAAGGTAAAATGAGGTCATAATCCCACAGGACCGCGGCCTTATAACAAGAGGAAGAGGGACCGGAACGCTCTCTCCATGTGAGTGTACAGGGCAGGCCAGGAGGAGGGCCCGCTCCAGAAATGGCCCCGCGCCAGGCTGCCCAGCCGCCACCGCTGGGAGAAATGAGTTTCTGTTGCGAGCTGCCAAGTCTGCAGTACTGTGTTATGGCCGGGGCTGACCGTCACTCACCCAAGGTCACACAGAGAGGAGCAACCAGGATTCAAGCTCAGTCTGTTCTTGAGAACTCAGGCCTGTTCATGACCCCACAGTGGGTCTCCTGTGCTAGGGCTGTGCCTCAGTAGCCGGGTCTGTGGAGTGGGTGGCTTTTTTCTGCCCTGCTCCAGGGTCATGAAGCCTGAGTAACCTCTGACTCACCTCAGGCTCGGCAGGCTCCCTGCTGGCCATGGGGCCATTTCTGCTGCTGCAGCGCCCCCTGCTGGCCCAGACCACGTCTGCCTTGTGCCTGTCCCCTGGAGTTCGTTCCCCTCCCTCCAGATCTGGCTCTCCAAGCCCTGCCCCTTCCGTGCCATCCCTCAGGTTCTGCAGGGCACTGGCCACTTCTGCACAGCCAGGCCTTCCCACCCTACCCCCGAGATTCACACAGCAGGGTCCACTCCCTCCCAGGCTTGGCTTCCCCAGGCTGAGGGCTGGGCATTGGCACCCTTCCACAGACCACATGAGTCAGCTCCCTCCCCACCCAACAAGGCCAGTGCTGGCTCTGTCTGAGGTCCCTTTGTTCAGGTCTCTTCTGAAGAAAGGCACCAGAGGCTCCAGCTCTGGCCATAATGCCCCAGATGAAGCTTGACAGGAGAACTGGACACAACAGGCCAGGTGGGGATGGGACGCCTGGATACTGCCTTGGGCCTGAGTGGGCAGGGAAGAGGCAAAGATATGCTATCGTGGATCCTAGGCTGGCTACAAGGCTCTCAGATGCCAACCCACCTCCCTCCTGTCCTTTTACACTCCCTGGGCCCCCTGCCCCCTGCAGCCCAGGGCCCCTCACTGCCTCCTCCACCAGCTGCTCACTGAACCCCTTGCAGCTCTTGGAGAGGGCAAGCTGAGATTCTGGAGCCAGAAACTCCTGGGTCCTTTTCTACACTAACTCACTTTGTGACCGTCTTCTCTCTTGGCCTTCATTTCCTCAACTGTGCAATGGGAGCAGTGCACCCCTCTTGGGTGTGAAGGGCCCAGCAGAGGGCCCAGTGCAAAGCTGGCATCAGTGCATGTTTGTGCGATGGGCAGACGGGTTGGGGGGGTCAGTAGCCTTGACTACAGGGACAGGGACTCTGCTCACCTCCAGGCTGTCTTCCTTGCCTTTCTTTCCTTGAAGGGAGTGGTTCCCTCTGAGTGCCTATGCTAATGAGCTCCCTGCAGCCCCATCTGCATAAGGAGCTTCTGACTCGGTTTCTCTGGGTCAAGCTCAGGCCATGGAGGCATCTTAAGGTCAGCTTCAGGTGGGAAAAGTAGGTAGGGGTGTTGGGAGGCAGATCCAGTTCCAATCTTGATTTCACCAAGTTCTTATCGAAGAAACTCCTGGAAAACTGTTTTCCATTGTCTGAGCCTCAGTTTCATCTTCTGGAAAATGGAGCAATGACACCCTGTTAAAGGAGCTCCATGAGAAGGTGCAACTCAGAGTAGGTACCTCGTGCCCACACCCACCACAGTCTGGGTTGCATCTACACTTGCCCTCTCACCTCTCGGTCCCTAACTCCTCTGAGCTGCAGTAGCTCAAAAGCAGCTCAAACTCAGCTTATCTCACCCTCAGCTCCTTACCCCACCCTAGTAACTGCCCACCCTCCACTCACTGCACAGACCAGAAACCCAGGTGGGGTTTCCTTGATTCCTTTCTCTCCCTCAACTCCTTCCCTAGTCCCCAGACCCACAGCCCCAGAAGATTCCATCCTCACACACTCCTGCTGCCTCCTTCCTTGACTGCCCACTGGACTGGTGCAGGAGCCTGTTGGCGGTTCCCACATTCGTCTAGCTCCTTTCCAACCCTTTCCCCACACTGCAGCTAATGACTTTATCAGGCTCACATGTGGTTCCTTGCTGAAAATCCTGCAGGGGCTTCTCAGTGCTTTTAGGAGGAAGAACACATGTCTCTGCTGGAGGTCCTGCATTATCTGGGCCCTATGACGACCCCGTTAGATTTCAGGGCGCCTTCCCCTCACTTGGAGGTCCAGCCATCCTGGACTTCCTTTGTTGACCTTTCCCTCTGTCTGGAGTGTTCTTTCCCATCCCACCTCATTGCCTGGTTGCCACCTACTCACTCTCCAAATCTCAGCCCAGGCACAGCATCTCTAGAGAGGCTTGTCCTGAGCCCCCGGCAGGGTTGAATGCCTCTGCTGCAAGCTCCTGGCAGTCTGCGGCCTCTTCTTTGGGCCCTTTCTTGGTTATTACTAAACAAACCTTTGGGTGACCCTATGGCAGTCTTCTCTGTCCCACAGACCGCAAGCTCCCTGAGAACAGGGTTGCCTCTGTGCCTGCTTGCCTTGGCAGCTCCAATCCCTGCAGAGAATTTGGGATGAAACAGATGCTTGATAAATATGGTCATATCCTCCTTGAACCCCTGGAGGCGTTCATTCTATGTCCTGAGTTTTGCACAAGATGTTCAGGCTGATTATTGGTTGGAGAGCTCACGATGTGGTGGAAAGAATCTTAGTCTGGGATTTCTGGGATTCAGGAGTCTTGAGTTCTAGCCCTGGTTCTGCTGTGTGACTCTGGGCAAATCACTGCCCCTCTCTGAGTCTGTGTTCTCACCATAACATCAAGGGGCTGTATTGTGCAAGATCAGAGCAATCTCTTCCAATCGGATTGGTACAGGAAAATTTCTTGAATAAGACAGGGCCTGTGCAGGGTCTTGAAATAAGAGCAGGACTGAGTGAGGTGGAGAAGGAAAGGCATTCCAGATGGGAGGAACAGCATGAGCAAAGGTGTGAATTCCATGTGTGGCTGGATGGAGGGTGGGAGGTGAGGCCCGGGTGAGCAGGAATGGTGGGGAGCAGGGACTGAACTCCCCTTCCCAAAGTCCTCTGGGGCCCCCAGCTGACTAGGATCCCAGTCCCAGCTCTGAGAATGGCTGGTTCAACCTGAAGCTGCCTTAATTGCAAGGCCCCTCAATTATCCACCCCACCCAGCACCTCCCGCCTCTGGCGTGGTGGGTTAATTTCTGGCTCTCCAGAGTTGTCCTGTTAATAGTCTTGTCTTCCTGTAACCGACAGCTCCCTCATCAGATAGCGGCAAGGACGAGTCCTCCCGGGGGGAACCAGAGGCTCCTGCCTGCCGCCCTCTATGGCTAGGGAGATGGCGTCACCGCCCAGGAATGCTGCACCCAGGCCCCCTCCCCATTCCCAGCAGCTTATCTAGTCTGGAATCTTGTGTCTGGCTTTGTCATCTCCTGCCCTGTGCCGCCCCCTGCCACCCTCAGCCCACACAGTGTCCCCTAGAGCCGGCTCCTGTGGGGTTTTGGGTTAAAAGCCTGCCAAGATTGGTTTCTTGGTGCCTCGTTGGGCCAGGTCTGGAGCTCTGGCTTCTGGGGGTGAGGCTGGGTGCCGGCATCCTGGCTGAGGGATGGGTTGAGAGGCAGCAGTTCATGTGCAGGATACTGCAGGCTGGATTAGCAGGCTAAGATTGGGATGGGTGGGAACTTTTCCTGCCAGAAAGAGCCCGGGTCCCTGAAACAGTGGGGACTACGGGATGGGAAGCAGGGATTTCATCCTGAACAATCAGCCCACCCAGTGGGCCCAGCATCGAAGCAGTGGGGAGAGACTGGGTGGGTGAGATCAGCCAAGTGTTTGCAGCAGGTGCTGAGTCCTGGGGTAAGGTTTGCCCCTTGTGGTCACCTAAAATGAAGTGCCCATCAAAGGCAAGACTTCAAAGGCCACTGGTGCCAGAGAACAGAATTAAGGGCAGAAGGAATTCAAGGACTGTTTTTAATGGTACCAGACAGCTTAAAGAAAGGAAATGCGATGAAAAATCCCTAGAGCCTTAGCCCAAGGCATGGACCCAAACTCGAGAACTTTCTACGGTCTGGAAAAAGAATCTCATCTCCTATCAAGGCAGGGCAGACACGACCAAACACCAGATGCCTACTTTGATCTGGTGGGTTGCTGAGTTACAATATTAGTTGAATTCCCAAACTTTGCAGGGTTTTTACATAAATATCAGGAATTAATCCAGAAGAGGTGAGAGTTGAGAATCAGAATGAGGTAGACAGGATGGTGCACTCAGAGACCCAGACTTCCAAGCCCTACAGAGTGTCCCATGCTGGCCAAGCTGGCCCTTCTCCCCTCTTAAAGGGGTTGTTCTAGCTCCAGTCAAGATTCCTTGCCTAAGGGTATTCATTTGCAAGGCAGAAAACAACACTCCCTGCTTGTGCTTCCAGGCTTGTGACTAGATCAGATTCCAGCATGTTCCTGTTGACCAATTATAAAGACAAACTTTGGAGGAGAAAGTTTACTTACCAACAGAATTACAAGACTTTACTAACTTGTCTTGGCAAAATCCTGGGCATACCACATGCGGATGGTTTATCAGAAGGAATATCATTTTAGATCTGATGTCAGGAATTAATCCAGAAGAGGTGAGAGTTGAGAATCAGAATGAGGGCAGACAGGATGGTGCACTCAGAGACCCAGACTTCCAAGCTCTACAGAGTGTCCCGTGCTGGCCAAGCTGGCCCTTCTCCGCTCTTAAAGGGGCTGTTTCAGCTCAAGTCAAGACTCCTTGCCTAAGGGTGTTCATTTGCAAGGGGGAAAACCATAGAAAGTTCCCGGGTTTGGGTCCATGCCTTGAGGTAAGGACCTAGGGATTTTTCATCCCTGTTTTCTTTCTTTAGGCTGTCTGGTGCCATTAAAAACAGACATTTCAATTCACAGTTCTAGAATTCCTTCTGCCCTCAATTCTGTTCTATGGCACCAGTGGCCTTAATTTCTTGATGTCAATGAGCCTGTCTGAGCTGTGGATTCAATATGCTGGATTCAAAACTCCCAGGAGCTGGGAGAGATTTCTTGATGTAAGAAATTCAGGAGAAAGATGTCCTCCTATCCCAAACCCTGACCCTTAAGAGACCCCAGAAGTTACTCCCTTGTCTAAGACCTTATACATTATCATTGAGGAGGGGAGTGCCAACCTCTTTGAACCCCTCTGCCCCACCCAAAGGCTGTTCTCTGTGTATTAGGCATGCTGGTGGTAGTTGCCATTGTTAAATAAACCCCTTATATCAATGGAAAATAAGCCATTACAATAAAAAATGTCAGACCCTCACCCCACTCGATATGTCGTACCAGGCTGGGCACAGTGGATCGTGCCTGTAATCCCAACAGTTTGGGAGGCCGAAGTGGGAGGATTGCTTGAACCCAGGAGGTTGAGAGCAGCCTGGGCAATGTAGGGAGACCCCATCTCTACAAAAAAAAATAGAATCATAAAAATTAGTCAGGCATGATGGCATGTGCCTGTAATCCTAGCTACTTGGGAGGCTGAGGCAGGAGGATCACCTGAGCCCAGAAGGTTGAGGCTACAGTGAACTGTGATTGAGCTACTGTACTCCAGCCTGGGTGACAGAGTGAGACTCTGTCTAAAAAAAAAAAAAAAAAAAAAAAAAATTCGGAACCTGGATCCCTTGAATGGAGTGGTCAGCGTTGAGGAAACACTATCTAATAATATAATTTAGTTCCTTAAACCTTCTCTTGTTCCTCTCCAAAAGGACCTGTGGCCATATTTCAGAATAACAGTGTACTGGCGAAGATCCTAGATCTCTTGAAAATTAACCCTGAATTAATGCTAATTTCTAAAGACCCAGATTACCCAGAGATTTACCAATGAGAGTGGGGGTTTACAGGGATCAGATGCTGAATGGAATGTTGATCTGAGTCTGCTCCCTGAGAGGCAGCAGTACTATCAGTGGGTACTTCCCCAGGTTCTCAGTACAGAGTTAGAATAGATACTCTCCGGATTGGCAGATTTACTGCATGGTTCCCTGACCCATAGAGCAAGGACAGGCCAAGGGAAAGCCACTATAGGTTCCCAAATCACATCAAAATAGTAAGTCAAGGGCACTAATGCATATTAAACAGAACCACAAAGATAACATGACTGTGAAAGAAACATGCAGGGATTGTGCTTCCAGTTAACTTTCTAGTTTGGCCAGCGTGTAAATTGGATGAGTCTTGAAAAATGAAAATGGATGATTATAATTAATCAGGTGGTGATTCCAATTATAGTTCCACAATGTTCCAAAAGCGGTCTCATGATTGGAACAAATTAATGTAGATTTGACACCCAGAAACTATTTTCCCTCCTATATCCTGATCACCAGAGAACATCAGAACTACTTTATTTTCTCATGGCAGGGACAAACAACAGCACACCTGCCATCTTGCCTCAGGGCTGAGTCAACTCTCCAACTCTATGCCATAAGTTAGTTCATGGGGACCTTGATCATTTCATCTTTTTATAGGCATCACACTGGTGCAGTACACTGGTGATGTCATGCTGATAGGTCCTAGAGATCATAAAACAGCAGGTACCTTGAAATACAATTGTTTTCCAGAATGAGGGAGGAACAGCCTGTGAAAATACAGGGGTCTCAGTTAAGTTTGTGGACATAATGTCTTAGGAAATTCAGAATATTCCCTTCAAAACGAGGAACAAATAAATGAAGGTTGTTGAACTTTGCATCCCCGACCACTAAAAGGCATATCACTGGGTGGGCTATTCTAGATTTTAGAGGCAACATATACCACATATGTGTCTGCTACTTCAAACTATTTCCTGAGCAATCAAAAGTGTCTTGCTTTGAATGGGGTCAGAGCTGGCTAAGACTCCAAACCAAGTCCTTAGGATCCATTAGATTCAATGGTGCTCGAAGAGTCTGTGGCAGACTGTGATGCTGCACGGAGCCTTTGGCAAGGCAAGATAGGAGAACCGCAGTAAAGGCCCTTCATTTTTGGAGCAAGGCCATGGCTTCTTTGGCAAATAACCATTCACCTTTTGAGAAACAGTTCCTGGCTTGCCCCTTGGCACTGTCAGAGGCTAAGCATCTGACCATAGACTACAAGGTAACCATTTAATCCAAGCTACCCGCTATGTCGTCTGACCCACCTAGCCATTAAACTGAGCATGCCCAGCAACGCCCCTCTCTCAAGTGGAAATGGTATAAATGGGTCTGGCCCTGGGCACATCCTGAAAGCACAGGTACATTGCATGAGCAAGTGGTTCACTCTTCCAGCATGCTGTGGCTTTCTCAGCCTACATTTGTGCTCACAGAAATGCCCTATAGCCAACTTATCGAAGAGAAAAAATTCTGAGCCTGGTTTACAAAGGACTCTGCATGGTATGCTGGCACCAGCTGGAAGCAAGACCTTGTGATATTATAACCCCATTTAGAGTATCCCTGAAGGACAGAGTAGGGAAATCCTCACACTGGGTAGTACTTTGAGTGTTATATTTTACTCTCTTGATCTGGAAGAGCAGAAGGCCTAAGTTCTGCAGTGATTCATGGTAAGTGGCTAATGATTTGGACAGATGAACAGGGACTTGGAAGAGACAAGACTGAAGGATAGGTAAAAAGGAAGCTTGGAAGAGGCATGTGGTTGGACTCTTAGAATGGATCCAGCATCATACGCATACTTACATCCCATGAGAGCACTCACCAGACGCTCCTAACAACCCTGGAAGGATCTTAATGAACAGATGGACAAGATGTGACCCACTTTGTGGATGCCAATTAGCCTCTTTTCTCAGGCACCCCAGTATTTGCTCAATGGACTCAATAAACAAGTTGGCCAACAATGTCACTGGTGGTGGATGGATGACATCAGACTCCTTTCTTCCTGGAAGGGGACTGGGATCTGTCCTCACTGGCATAATCACTTATTCTGGATTTGGATTCGCTTTCCCTGCCTGCCATAATCCATAATTCTTCCAGCAGCATCATCTGCAGACTCACCAAATTCCTTCTCCACTGTCAGGGTGTCGCCTACAACATTGCTTTGGGCCAAGAAATTTATTTTACACAGAGAGAAGTACATCAGTGGACTGAAGCCAATTAGATCCATTGGTCATACTAGGTGCCCCATTGCCCAGAAACAGCTGGACCAATAGAATTACAGAATGACCTAATGACGAATCAATTCCAGAAGCAGATGGAAGAATACAAACCACTGTGAAGCTGCAGTGCCATTTTACAGGATGCCATAGACACTCTTAACAAAGCTAGATCCATGGCCAGGGGAGCCAGGAAGCAGAAGCAGGGTGGTGCCTCTCACAGTTCCACCCAATCACTCCTGAAACTTGGGGCTTAGAAGGGCTAGTACCCAAGGAAGGAGCACTTCTACTAGGGGATGTAAGTTGAATTCCAATTCAGCTTCCACTGAATTGGAAGTTGAGAATGCCAGCTGGTCATTTAAAACTCCTTATGTTGCTGAGTGAACAAGCAGAGAAAAGGAGTTATGATTTGGCTGGGGTTATTGACTTTGACTCCTAAGAGGAAATCAGCTTTCCCATGCTTAGTGGGAGCAGAGAGTAACAGTATGGAAACTGTTGTAATCTAAAAGTAACTGAAGACCTTTCTAGCTCTAGGTGGGCAGGCCCCGCCCAGTCTCAGATCCATAGGAATAACTGTTTAAGTCATCTTGCCAGGTAAAGGACCCTGCCTGGGAAAACAGGAAACTAATAAATGCCAACTGTTATGTGATAACCAGCAGCAGAAGGAGATGTAGTATTTCCCTTCATTTTCTTTTTCCTACCTTGTCATGTCTATGTTAGTATATTTTAACCTAGTGCTTCTTAATCTCTAATGTACATGCCAATTATCTAAGGGATCTTGTTAAAATGCAGATTCTGAATTAAGAGGTCTCAGTTGAGGTCTGAGATTCTGCATTTCTAAGTAGTCTTTCCTGACCTCTTTATAGAAAGCAGTCCTTCCTGAGCCACTCTTTCTATTTACCCTGCTTCCCCCACCTTCGTGACAGTGATCCTTGAGATTATTTATTCATTTATACATCTGTTCATTTATTGCCTGTCGCTTATACTACATGTAAATTGCATGGGGAAAGAAATCTTGAATTTCTTATTTATCTTCATATTCTCAGCACCTAAGACAGTATGTGGCACATAGTAGGCACTCTGTAAATATTCATGTAGGCTGGGCGCAGTGGCTTATACCTGTAATCCCAGAACTTTGGGAGGCCAAAGAGGGCGGATCCCCTGAGGTCAGGAGTTTGAGATCAGCCTGGCCAACATGGTGAAACCCTGTCTCTACTAAAAATAAAAAAATTGGCTGGGCGCGGTGGCTCACACCTGTAATTACAGCACTTTGGGAGGCTGAGGTGGGCAGATCACGAGGTCAGGAGATTGAGACCATCCTGGCTAACACAGTGAAACCCTGTCTCTACTAAAAATACAAAAAATTAGCCGGGTGTGGTGGCAGGTGCCAGTAGTCCCAGCTACTTGGGAGGCTGAGGCAGGAGAATGGCATGAACCCAGGAGGCGGAGCTTGCAGTGAGCCGAGATCACGCCACTGCACTCCAGCCTGGGCGACAGAGCGAGACCCTGCCTCAAAAAAAAAATAAAAATAAAAATAAAAATAAAAAAATTAGCCGGGCATGGTGGCGCACCCCTGTTATCCCAGCTACTCGGGAGGGGGAGGCAGGAGAATTGCTTGAACCCAGGAAGTGGAGGTTGCAGTGAGCCAAGATCGTGCCACTGTACTCCAGCCTGAGCAACATAGTGAGGCTGCATCTCAAAATATAAATAAATAAACAAATATATATATATAAATGTAAATATTTTTGGAATGACTGAATGTGTATAACTCATGCAATCAGTTGTATTTCCATGTGTGCCCGGAAACACCCACACACATACATAAGGGCAAACTCTCATGTGCAGCCACATATAAAATTAATTAGGAACATACACACACAAAATAATTGTAGATATTCACATACACAAACACACAAATACGTGATGCACATGTATATACACACACAGATACACAAACTCACATAAACACATGCCTTCTCCAGGAAACCGATGCCCACATCAGAGTCGAGGTGCCACTGGCCACCAATACAGTGACTCAGGCTAGGCCCTTCTTTGCCACTTTCTGATCCCCTGTAGCTGGTGAGAGTTTTCCTCACCAGGGCAGAGAAAGGGCTCAGAACATGGACCCCTCCCTGACCTCCTCAGAAGCAGCTGTGCCGAGCTTCTCCCTCCACCTGTATTGGTGCCCCCGAAGGCAGTGTTGATGGCTCCTGTCCCCCAGTGCTGGCCAAGGGCAGCATGGGTGTACCACAGGTCTCAGTCTACAGATGGGAAGCCTGAGGCCTTGCCCACCATCACCCAGAAAGGTGGAGGGAGCCCCAGAGTCTCAGAGGTGCTGAGTGGGACTGGTTCTCTCCATGACTCAGGGCCCTGGTGCCTACTCCTGCGTGCCCCACCCAGGGCCCCCCTACTATACAAAGGGGTGGTGGCTGCTGCCCAGGCCCCAGTCTATTTTGTTTGCAATTATCTGGCCAGTAAGCCAGGAAACTGCAATGAGCAAGTTTTGGCAGATAGACCCATGTCTCTGCCCAAAGATTCCTGCTCCTGATAATCCCCCAGGAAACCCTGCTGCTTCACTCCTCCTTGGAGCTCCCTCGGATCCCTGCTCTGAGTTCCCGAGCAGCTATAACCAGGCCTGATAGGTGTCCTCTATCTGTTGCCGGAGTCCTCTCTCAGCCTGCCCAGCGGGTTTTCAGGGTCTCCTGGTATCCACAGGTGCGGGAAACTCATTGCCTTTCACGGGGCCCAGTTCCTTCAAATCATGGATAGGCCTGCCTTTATTAAGCAACTCCTCTTTCAGCTTCTTTTGCTCCAGGTCCACCCTTCAGAATTCAGAGACAGAGCCTATGTCTTCCCTGAATCTTCCAGTTCCCCTTGTGACCATCTCCATATCTTTCACTTTATCCAAGGAGGACATATTTTTTTTTATATGGGGTCTTACTCTGTCACCCAGGTTGGAGTACAGTGGCATGATCATGGCTCACTGCAGCCTCCACCTCCCGGGCTCAATCAATCTTCCCACCTCAGTCTCTCAAGTAGCTGGGACTGTAGGTGCACACCATTATGCCTGGCTAATTTTTGTATTTTTTTTTTGTAGAAACAGGGTCTCACTTTGTTGCCCAGGCTGGTCTCAAACTGCTGGGCTCAAGCAATCCACCCATCTGGCTCCCAAAATGCTGGGATTACAGGCATGAGCCACCGCACCCAGCCCAAGGAAGACATTTTTTCAAGTTCCTATTATTCAGCTATTCAGTCACTCACTCACAAGTGCTTGCTGGGTCCCCACTATGTGCTCAGCACTGTGGGGTGAGCAAAAAAGATAGTGTGCTGGTAAACAACAGCAAAAAAAATAGTGTGCTTTTCCCCATAGGGCACACATTCTCCCGAGAAAGGCAGGCCAAAGGGAATTTTAATAATCATGCCTACTACCTACATACTTCCTCAGGCTTCAGTTAAAGTAGGCATGATTATTCTTATTAAATATATAAGGAAATTGAGGATCCAAGAAGTCAAAAAGCATGTGCAAGTTCACACAGCTGTTATATGTCAGACCTGAGGTTGGAATTTTCTCCTTTTAGTGGTTGACAGGTAAGGGCAGCAACCTGAGGTCAAGCAAGAAAGGGTCTTGGGAAGAGCCAATGAGATGGTCAAGTGCTCTGCAAGTGTAACCAGAATCACCTGCCTCACTAGCTTGGGAGTATTGTTTACACACATCTTAAAATTTTCCAGGTACTTGCTCAAAAACCTACCTGCACACTTAAGAGATGTCCTATACCTCCTGATCAAAGCCATTAACTGCCTTTGTCTGAATGAACCCAGGAGATTTCTCTGACCAGAGGAGAGACTCCTGCTCCTAATGCTGAGACTTGAGAAATTCTAGTTCTCATCAGCCTATCAGCGTTTCTGCTTCTATTGCTGCCGCATGGGGTCGCTGTTGAAGACATGTTCTGCACAGCTTTGTGAACCCTTGTCTTCTGTTGCAGTGGAGCCTGTGCTCCTGTGATCTCCACAGGTTGGCTCCAAGGTTATAGCTTCCTTAGACTCACATCTGCACCCTTGATGACTGGCCCCCAAAGCAAATTACTGTGCCAGGCCAAGAAGGGCTTCTAGCTTCAGCCATGTGGAAAACCAAAACCAGCCCTCTACTAACATCCCAGCCCCTGAACTGGGCCAGTGCCTTATTTCAGATCCTCCCTGCACTCGTGGAGGGCAGGAAGGTATTTAGTGTCTTCTCTGGACAATGGATTATCTCAACCTATAGGAGAGAACACTGAACATGGAGGATTTTTGGTCACTATGCAGACTTTCCCACCAATGCCTCAGAGACCAGCTCTGCAAACAAAGGGGGAGTGGGAGAAGCCTTTTCCAGGCCACAGTAAGTCCTGTCACATCCTTCCCCAAAACCACAGGGGCCTCCTGGCTCTGTCTGGAGAGCTAAGAGAGACATGCCTTCCCCACACTGGTCAAGTGACACTTCCCTGAACAGGGAAGGTTTGTTCCAAGAGGCAGCTCTACTTACACTTCAACAGAGAAATAGCTGGCAGCTTCTCTCACCACTTGCCAACCCTAAATTAAACTCTTCTTTTCCAGGCACTCTGGTATAGAAGCATCTTCCTCTTTCATCCTCACAAACCACCCTGTGAAGAAGAAGCTGTTGTGAGGATTAAATGGAATGATGCATGATTTGTGGCAGGAAAAGAGTGGCTACTTAAGGAATGATGGGTGCTTTTCTGGATGGAGTTTGGGTTCCTCTTCAGCACTGAAAACCCATCTTAGGCCCCTTGCTTAAAGATTGCTTGACAACTACTTTCTTGATTCGATGTAACTCCCTCCCTGGCGGGAGGATAAAACAGGCTCTTTAATGCTTCCCCAGGCAAGGCAGAGGTTGCAGTGAACAGAGATCGTACCACCACACTCCAGCCTGGGCAACAGAGCAAGACTCTGTCTCAAACAAACAAACAAACAAACAAAAACAAACAAACAAACCATGCTTCCTCAAGCTTCAGTTAAAAGGCCTTTCCCCCCTACTCCCCAACCATCGTGCTCACCCTGACCCCTCTAGATGGCACCACCAGGTCTGCCTGAGCATCTGGGAGAGGGAAAGTCTGTGGGCAAGATGTATCTGGAGTGGGTAAAAGGGAAACAGCAGAGCAGGCACTCCATCTGGCAGACAGGTGGGCAGATGGAGCCCCTGGGCCAGGCTGAGCAGAGGCCAGAGAGCTGAGCCCAGCTAGAGAAGGTGAGCAGGCAGTGCCCTGCCTACCTGGCTCCAAAGTCCTCATCCCTGCAAGATCTGAGTTGTGTTTGCAGCACTTCCCTGGATGGACTGCAAGTGGAGGCTGTGATCTGATCTGCCCTGTCATGGCATCACTGATGGGCAGTGCCACCCTGAGCTGGAGGGGGCTCATCCTGAACAAATGGCCTCCTGACAACAGGCCCTATGTTGGCATGGATGCCTCTGCCCTTCCCCCTTCAAGATCCCCAAATTTGAGCTTTTCCAACCAAGGCGGGTGACCTCTGAGTCCGGGGGTGAAGGAGCAGACACCTCTTGGTTCTCTGAAAAATGTCATTGGTGACAAGGGGTAGAGGGAAAGCACCAATTTGCTCTATGGCTTATCCAGATCCGGTTGCCTTCACAGGCCACAGTGCCCTCTCTCCAAGAGGACTGTTGAAGTTCCTTCTGGCTCTGACATTCAGTGGCAAAATAACAATGACCAACCTTTGGAGCACTCATCTAATTAAATCCTCCTGAGCTAGTACAAATATTATCCCCAATTTATTGACAAGGAAACTGCAGCTTAGAAAGGATAAGTAGGCCAGGTGCGGTGGCTCACACCTGTAATCACAGCACTTTGGGAGGCCGAGAGGGCGGATCACGAGGTCAGGAGATTGAGACCATCCTGGCTAACACAGTGAAACACCGTCTCTACTAAAAAATACAAAAAATTAGTCGGGCGTGGTGACGGGCACCTGTAATCCCAGCTACTGAGGAGGCTGAGGCAGGAGAATGGCATGAACCCAGGAGGCGGAGCTTGCAGTGAGCCGAGACTGCGCCACTGCACTCCAGCTTGGGTGACAGAGCAAGACTCCATCTCAAAAAAAAAAAAAAAAAGAAGGAAAAAAAGAAAGGATAAGTAAGTTGCCCAAGGTCACCCAGCTGCTTGGTGGCAAAGCCTGGATTCAAATCGGAGGTTCTCCAACTGTAGAGTCCAGCACACTTAACTCTTCTGCTATGCCATCCGTGCCCCCTTTGGACAGTGTGGAGATTAGTCAGTGCTAGTCTAGGCTGATGTTTTGCTGATGACAATGAATTCATCCTCTGTTCTGGTTTCGTGCTCTGTGGCTTTAAGAAAACTTTCTTCTCTTTCTGCTTTAGTTTCTGAAGAAACTGGCCAAGCTGGCTTCGAACCGGCAGCCAAGAGAACTCCGTGGAGTATGTCAAGCAGGATCTTGCCTAAGAACACAGATGTGCGTGTGGAGGGGAGAGCCCAGGGAGTAATTAGGGCAATATCTCGAAGGGGGAGACGTGCCTCCTCTCGGGGGAAGACCGTGAGCCCATCTGTCAACAAGCCCTCCTTGACTCCTTCTCTGGGCTGGGCACTGTGGGGGGTAGAGGGATGCAGGAGCACAGAGCTCCCTCCCAGGTCTGAATGCTCTGACATGAAGACACCCCTTCTGCTCTCCTTCCCCAGAAGCCCCAACCCCCATACCCTAGAGCTCAAATCCTGTGAGGAGAGATAAGATTTATACATGTGAAAGTGAAGGAACAAAGGGATGATTTGCTCCAAGTGTGTGGTCTATTGGCTCTTTAATAAGCATTGATTGAGCTTTTTCAGAACCAGGACAGGGCTAGGCAAGGGAGACCCAGAGATGGAAGGGGCTGAGTCTCCCCTCTTAGCACAGGCCAGATGGAGGACAGGCTTGTTAGCCAATCAGGGCCAAAGAGAGGAAAGAAGCTTAGAAGCTTCACAGTAGCACGCAATAGGTGCCCAAGCACTTGCTTAAATACTTACTGTGGATTTTTAAATTTTTAATGTTCTTAAAAATGGAGATGGGGTCTACACTATGTTGCCCTGGCTGGTGTCAAACTCCTGGGCTCAAGCGATCCTCCTGCCTTAGCCTCTCAAGTAACTGGGACCACAGGCATGAGCCTACACCCAGTTGGATTTCCTTATTTAATCCTCATAAAATTCTATGAGGTGGGGGCCATTACTGCTCCCATTTTATGCATGAGGCAGCTGAGGGTTTGTAACTTGTCTAAGACCCTGCAGCTTGTAAGAGATGGAGGCAGGATAGGAACCCAGGAAACATGGCTTTGAAGGCTAAGTCTTCGAGTGCTGGACTCTGGAGAGGGCAGACCTCAGCCCAGGGGCCAAGGACGGCAATTGGAAGAGAGAATGTTCGGGCTGGTCTCAAGGAGGAGTTTATCAAGGAGGGATGAGGGCCAGAGCCATCTGGGCAGGGAGTGTCTGGAGGCATGAAGCAAGGAGCATGTTTGGCAATGGGGCATTGCCAGAGGGGATGGGTGTTTATTGTGTGGGTAGTGTGGTGCTGAGACAGTAAGTGGGGATGGATGAGGAAGGGCCCCAAGTGCTTTGTGACTTCGTCCTGGAGATAGTGGAGGATGCTTGAAGGGATGGTGGGTGGGTGCTCTGTCGACCCAGGGGAAGATGGCTGTGTGGTCAGGAACGGAGGTGTCGAGGAGGATATGGGCTTGGGCTGGCTAGAACATCCAAGAAAGAGAGAGGAGGGGAAGTGGTGGGAGCAAAGGGGGGGAGGGGGAGGTCCCCAGTCTGGATAGGGGGAGGCATGTGGAAAGGGTTAGGGCCAAGGAGCGCTGGAAAAGTGGGTGGAGTCCAATCATGAGGCCCTTAAATTCCACACTAAGAGTCTGCTCCTGGGCCATCAGCACAGGCTGTATGGACAGGGAAGCCTGGTCAGCTGGGGCTCTGCGGTGCTATGGGCCAGGCACAGTGTGGTTGTAGAGTAAGCAAGACAGACATGGCCCCTGGCCTTCATGGAATTTGCAGTCCAGGAGCCGAGACAGACATGAATCAAGCAGCCTCAGGCACCCATGGCTGACTGCAAACAACCTGGCAGCTGATGGAAAACTCAGGGGCCCCAGGGGAGTGTGAGCTGGTAGGAAGTGCAGAAGCAACTCTAGGCTGCATCTCTTGGGGATGGGGAGAGGGGGAAGGAAAAGCATTCCAGGCAGAGGAACCAGCAAGCGCACAGCCTCAGAAGCAGCAAGGAATGGAGGCATTGAAAGAAAAGCAAAAAGGCCAGGGAGGCTGGAAGGCAGAGAGCTAGGGGGAGGGAGATGCTGAAGATTTGGGGGTTTGACTGGAGAAGAGTTGGGAGATGGTGAAGGGTTTTAAGCAGGGAAATGACCAAAAGATCTGTGTTGTAGAAAGATCCCTGGCTGCTGTAAGCAGAATGGAATGAGGGGGAAGTATGGCTTTGAGGGACCAGTTAGGCAGCTGCTGCAGACTCTCAGGAGCAGCTGGAGAGCCCCGGCTCAGGTCACAGTGAGGGAGTCAGAAGCAGGTGGGTGGCCCACACAGTGCAGGTGCTTGGAAGATGGATTCAGCAGGACTTGGTGACTGGCTGGGGAGGCGGGTGAGAAAGAAGAAGGGGTGGATGGAGGGGCTATCTACGGAGATGGGGGGGTCGGGAGGGAGGGGGTGGTCTTGAGAGAAAGAATCATGAGACAGTTCTAGCCAAGCTTGGATTGAGGTGCCTGAGAGACACCTGAGTGCAGGCAGCTGGGTGCCCAGGCCTGGGGCTCAGGAGGCGGGTGTGGGATGATCTAGGAATTATGAGCTAGAGATGGAAAGTCAGCTATGGGGGAGGCTAGGGAGAGAACATGGGAAGAGAAGAGGGCCCAGGACACAACGTCAATGACTGTTGGAAGAAGAGGCACCAAGGACACCGAGAAGCTGCTGGCGGAGCAGTGGGGGAATATCAAGTCAGAGAATCCAGAAGGCCCTTGGAGGGTGTGGTCTGCAGGTGTGAGGAGGCCGAAAGCCCAGGCAGGTTGACGACTGTAAAACGCCGGTTGGATTTAGCAAAATGGAGGTCCGGGGCCTTGAGCAGGAGCAGGTTGAGTAGAGGGTGGGGAGGGGCAGAGACAGCCTCGTGGGAGGTGAAGCCTAGGAGATGGGACTTGGAGATAACAGGTTACTGCCAGGAACTGGGGCTGAAGGAGGAGGAAAGGAATGGGACCGAGTTCAATTGAAGAGGATAGACAGGCTTGATTTGTTTGCTTGTTGGTTTTTAGGGTGGGAGGAACTGGGCATGTTTAAGAAGAGGGAGCCAGTCAGGAGAGAGAGGTTCAGTGTCTTTCCCAGAATAGACCCTTGAGGCTAAGAACAACAACAAAAAATCCAGTAGAGCCCCAGGAGGAAAGGAATTTGGCTTTTTAGCTGAGTAGTGAAAAGGCAAGCTGGCAATTGCCCTTTGGCTCTGCCAGGGAAGGTCAGAGAAAGGCCTCCCCAGTGATGGAGAGGGGAAGGAAGTGAGGGGGAGAAAAAACAGTGGAGAGATAAACAAGCCTTGGCTGGAAGGAGGAGAGAGAAGCCCCCTCTGAAGGTACCTAGGGGTATTAAAAGGGGGAAGTTAACAGTGAGAACAAATAATAAAGATTCTTATATGTAGCCAAGGTTTGCTCTTTGTGTACTCTGAGACTACCATACGTAAAGGCTGGTGTTTGAACTTGGCTCCTAGCAGTGGCAGCTTGTTAGGGAAGAGTTCTGGCTCGGGAGGCAGGAGATCAGGCTTCTGGTCTAGCTCTGCCATTAACCGGCTCTGGAGCCTGGGCCGCAGTGTCCCATATTTCAGTTGGGCTGGAGGTGAGTGTTTCTAATACTTTCATGGGGTTTTGTGAGTTGGCAACCTCGTTACATGGCTGGTGGCTTGATGCTCCAGAAAGTGTGTTTGCTGCACGGGACTGCATGAGGTAATAATAGTGTTGATAGTGATAATAATAGCTAAAGTGTACCGAGTGGCATCTCTGTGATCTGCACTGTGCCAAGAGGTTTGACTCCTGAGGAGGGATCATACTCCCCATTTTACATCATGGAGATGCTGAATGCCAGGTTGAAGGGTCTGAATGGGAGTATAAGGAAGGTTTGGAAAGAAGGGTCGGCAAACCGATAGCAGGATCCACACAAGACGGGTGGGACAATGCTGGAGTCCAGCAAAGAAGGAAGGCAAGCAATAAACCCAGAGGCAATCTGTGGATGAGTCTGCATGGGGGAAGAGGCAGAAGGACTGGCCTGAGGGAGGCATCAGCGTCTCCAAGTCTAAGCATGGGCTGCCCACTTCCTTGGAAAGGGGCAGAAAATCTAAGCAAGGCCAGCTCTGAGCCTGTCAGAGAGTTGGGTTGGGACACGCCCGGGGGTATTTGGCTCTGGGATTTTGTTGTCTGTTTACTAACCGCTCTCCTGCCTCTGGCTGCAGCGGTGAGCTTGCGAAAGTCTTGGCCTCACTGTGTCTCTGTCTCACCGTTGCTGGAGGAGCCCAGTGGGTTACCTGGCCTCCCCTCCCTCTGCCGGGTCTCAGTTCCCTGCCACCTGCCCTGCAGGGCAGGTGGCCACTCGGACCCCAGTGGAGACTTGTCCCAGCCTCAGCCTCCCTGCAGCCCCTTCATGCCACATCTGTGTGTTCCCTGCCACCACCCTTCTGTGCTGTGCCTCAGGGAGGCCCCAGCCTCACTCCACATTTCCACTGGTTTTCTTTCCAAGCAAGTTCCCATCTATTATCCAATTTAATGCTCCTCCAACCTTGTGAGATCATCAGCTGAGCCATAAGCCCCTGAATCTGGGTCCCACAGCTGGTTGTAAAGCTGGACCAGAGGCAAGGCTCCTCCTGGTTAAGTGCCATATTGGAAAAAGGCCTGAGTGACAGGACTCTGGATTCCATTTCTGGCTCTGACATTATTCCCTGTGTGACCCTGAATAAGCTCTTGCTCTCCTGTGCGGAAAGGAATGGGGTGGACGAGGTGACCTTTACTGTCTTCCCAACTCTGAAAGTCTTGGAAAGATTGAGCCGAATCCTTTAGTCAGCAAACATGCCTTGTCCCTTCCAGTGAGGCCAGCCTGGGCTGGAGCTGGAACCACTGTAGCAGGCCTGCCTTCTGGGTAGGGGTAACCCTAGCAAAAGGCCTGGTCCACAGATAAAAGGCCTGGCCACAGTCAAAGGGGCAGCATACAAAAGGCCTCTGAAGGCCTGGCGTGGTGGCTCACACCTGTAATCCCAGCACTTTGGGAGGCTGAGGTGGGTGGATCACAAGGTCAAGAGATCAAGACCATCCTGGCCAACCTGGTGAAACCCCATCTCTACTTAAAATACAAACAATTAGCTGGGCGTGGTGGCTGGGCCTGTAGTCCCAGATACTCAGGAGGCTGAGGCAGGAGAATCGCTTGAACCTGGTGGGTGGAGGTTGCAGTCAGCCGAGATCCATGCCACTGCACTCCAGCTTGGGGACAGAGCGAGACTCCGTCTCAAAAAACAAACAAAAAACCAAAAGGCCTCTGAAAATCATCACAGAGACTGCCAAGCCCTTCTCATGGCCTCTTTCTGTCCCCCTAAATTCTCTCACACCCACCCTGTCCCCAGCCTCTCTTTCACCCCCAACCACACCATCACATAAAACCACTCTCCACCCCAAGCCTGGACGTGCTTCTGCTTACATGATGCCATTACTGTTGGCCAGAAACTCACTTAATCCTCGCTACAGCCACCCTATGCCATGAACATTATTATCCTCATTTTACAGACGAGGAACCAAGGCCTAGAGAAGCTAAGTGACTCATCCAGGTGTTCCCAGTGGGAAGTTGCAGTGCAGGATGTGGTCCCAGAGTGCAGGGTCCCAGTGCCTGAGGTCAAACCCGAACTGTCCTGCTCACCAACTGTGTGGCCTTGAGCAGAGGCCCCCTCACCCTCTCTTGAGTTTTAGCTTCCTTCCTCATAGAACAGATCTCCCCATTTCTACCTTTGGGTGGCTGTGAACAGACCCATGTCTGTCACCATCTGTGTACTCTCGCAAATCGCTCACCCTCTCTGAACTTAGAGGTTTTGTCTAGAAATGGGGAAAGCAACACCCACTTCACAGGGTTGGTGTGGGGATTATGACAGAGTATTGAGAAAGAGCTAGTGCTCAATAAACCCCAATCTCTGAAGCTGCCTAATTGTAAAGCGAATAGGGCCCTGTGGTTGGACAGACAGATTGCTTCTGATTATCCGCCATATTGTAAATATGGCTGCAGGGAACATCTTTTTGGCTTTCTTGGATTCATTCCTATGGATAAAGTCCTGGGGATTGATTGCGGCCCAGGTCAAAGGTCATGAACACTTATTCAAGTTGGCAGCTTTTTGTTATGGAGCAGGATTCCGGAGTCAGATAGTCCTGCGGGTGAATCCGCATTGGCCTATTTCCTAGTCACTAGCCTTGGGTAAGTGACTCCACCTCGCTAAGCCTCTGATTTCTTATCTGTAAACCAGGGTAATAACATTAACTGTATTAAGGGATTGTTGCCTGACATGAAGTACTCATAAACCCTACCTTTTATTACGGTCCTGACTTGCTCTGATACCCATCCTTAGTTAATCAATACGGAAGCCGAGGTCGAGTGAGGGGAGTAGTCTCCTACCAAGGTCACAGTCTGTGTGCAGCTGGTAACCCAGATCTATCTGGGGCTAGTTTCAGCATCTTCTTTGCAAACCCTGTCAGACTCAAGCCAGGGCTGGAATTGATATGGTGCAGGGACTATGGTGGCCCAAGACCTCATCCAGGTAGCAGAGGGAAAGTTCCAAATTGCTCTCCATGTCCTAAACAATGCCTGGGTGAGCCCCACTGTTTTCTTTCTCACCTCTCACCTCCATGCTTTTGCATCTGTTGTTTCTGCTAGAATGTTCTCCCTGACCAACCCACTTTAAACTGCATGACCTTCTTACCCACTGGACTATGATGGGGCCCTGCCTTCATCTCTGTCCGTTGATTGAATAGAATGAACTTGGGGAATTTCAGAGCTGGTCTGGATCAGTTTCACGTTTTCTAATGGAGAAGTGGACGCCTTGCCCAAGGACGCATGGTCTATCCACGAATGCATTTCTTGTGTGCCTACTAAGTATTTAGGGTGGGTGCAGTGCCCAGCCAGGAAGTGTCAAGGTATGGCAGAAGGAACACGTGTTTGGGGATCAAAAGACTTCAAGTCCACTCTCTCTCATTCCTTCGCTGGGACCTCAGGCTTGCTTTGGCTCCTCTCTGGGCCTCGGTTCTCCCACCTCTAAAATGGAGGTGATAAGCTCACCCACCTCTTGAGGCTAGTGTGAGTAGGAGTTGGAGACGCTGTGCCAGTGTTACACCCAAGTGTCATGTGGCAATGGCCCCAGCTGAGAGGGGGACTTCCAGGAGACAGAGAGCGGGGTCAGGCCTGGAGTCAGGCAGGCCTGGGACCAAAGCCTGGATCCTTCACTTACAGCTGTGTGACCTTGATTGAGTCACCTCCCTCCTCTGAGTTCAGTTCCTCCTCTATGAAGTCACCTCCTCAAAGTGGCCTTCCTTGGCCCACCTCCCACCCTTCATTTCTTCCATACCTCTGATCACAGGCCACAGTTCTCTCATTTGTTCTTTTTATTGTCTGTCTCTTCCTTCCAGAATATGCATTCCAGGAGAGCAGGGATATTTGTTTTGTTCCCCGATGTATCCCCTGGATCTAGCACAGGACTGGCAGGTAATAGGCACTCAATGATATTTGTTGAATGAGTGAATGGATGAATATGTGAATGCATTGGAGTTAGTACTTCCAACCTCCCAAGGGCGTTTAGAGGCGAAGGGCGAGATGCATAAGGTGTCCGGCCCAGCACATAACAGGCTCGCTCAGTGAGGATGGAGCTGCTGTTACCATCCTGAGGAAAAACTTTGCAGCTGCCTCCCAGGAAACTGGGCTCAAAGTGGGGGGCGGGAGAGCTCAGCAACTCCCACAGTGTAGCTTCCACTTCCTGGCTGGGGCTGAGCCCTGTAATTGCTCCCATCTCCTTGGCAGCCTCAGCAGCTGTCTAATGAGTTTGCACCCGGCTGGCCCCTGGGCTTGGCCGCACAGCCCAGGCCTGCCTGCCCAACTGCAGGCAGACAAAGGCCCTATGTCCCTGGGATCTGCTTCCTGCCCGCCCACTGCGTCCCTGACAAACCGAGGTCCCCAGCTGCCAAGCTCTGCTTCTGCAGTGAAGGAGCCCAAGATTCCCATGTGGGCCAGGGGCACAGAGCAGTGGAGAGGGCATTTGTCCTGGAGGATGGAGCCCTGGGTCCACATCCCTGCTCTTCTCCGGCTGAGAGGTGCTAGGGGAGGCGGTGGGATGTCATGCCCAAGAGCCTGACCAACAGGGTTGGAACCACGCCTCCACCACCTCTAGCTGTGTGACCTTGGGCAAGTCCCAGACTGCTCTAATCCTCAGTTTCCTCATCCATCAAGCAGGGGTAGATTACAGGAGCTCACGGGTGTACAGCTGTCAGCATAGGTCTTGGCACATGGAAGAGCTATTATAATTATTGGGGACCCCGTTTGATCCAGGGTCCTTGGTCTGCTCATCTATCAAATCAGGATTGCTCAACCTTGGCACTATTGACATTGGGACTGGATGATTCTGTTGGGGCTGTCCTGTGCATTCTAGGATGTTTAGTAGCATCCCTGGCATCAGCTGACCCAGTTTCAAGGTTTCTGTTACACTCTGAAATTCCCTGATTTGCTTTAGGAACCCCAGATTCTTCTCCATGGTCGGAATCATTGCAAAATAACTGGTAAGTATTCCTTCACTGCAAAATAATCTCCCTAGTCTAGGGGCCCCAAATGCCTCAGGCTGCTCACAATGAGCATTGGACATGGAGGATGATGGCGACGTCTTTAATTATGCAAGAGCTGTAACAGGACCCAACCCTGAGCATCCTGGAAACTCCTTGAAATGTTCCCCATAACACTTCTTTGGAGCCTCCCATCTTCCCCCTGGAATACACATGGCCACCAGCCCATTGTCTTTGTGCCCCACTCTGCTCTACATCCTGCTGCAGTCCCCATCTCAGACTCTGCCAAAAGGGCCCCTGTGCCCAGCATTCACTGCTTGTCCCCATCTCCCTAAACATCCTTTCCCACCACACCGTCCCCTGCAGTTGCCGAGCTCTCTTTGTACCCTCCATCCACTGTGCCTTTGCTGATGCTGTCCCTTCTACCCCTAGAGCTCTCTCTCCACCCCTCCCCTCCCTCCAGGCCTAGCTGTGAAGTTGCCTCTTCCTGAGGTTCTCCCAGATTCCTACATCAGAACAGCTCTGCCTGCCCTGGGCACCGGAGCCAACCCTGAGCTCACCACTCTGCTGGAACACATGTCTGCCCAGCATGGCATCCAGTTTATTTATGAGGCTGTCTGTCTGCCCCCCGTCCCAGGAGCCCCAGGGCAGGGCCCTGTCTGATTCATTGCCAGGCACAGGGTCTGGCCAGCATCAGGGAGCATGTGTTGAGCAGTACCGGTGAGAGCTGTCTCTGGGAGGAGGCATTGTGGGGCTGGCTGGCATGGAGCACAGGCCCAGGGCTGTGGAGTGGCGGGGCCAGGCCAATGCCAGTGCTGCTGGAGAAGGCTGAGGGCCCTCCTTCCCAGGTTCCCTCATCTTGCCCTCTCTCCTCCTCCCCTCTGTCACTGACTCATTCACTCAGCAACTTCTCTTGCTCATTCATGCATCTGCGTGCTCCGTCACAGACTCATTCACTAATAGGGGAGCTCATCCATTCATTCACTTTTATATTTGTCCATTCATTCATTCATTTCTTCACTTACTCCTCTATTCATCCAACAAACTTTCCTGAGCTCTGATATTACACCCCACTCTGACCTCTAGAGAAGCCCTGGAGATTCAGCGCTAAAGACCTTTTCTTCCGGAGTGGTGGTGATGGGTGGTACACACGTATAAATGAACAACTGCAGTCAGAGTGAAAGGGGCTATGATTGAGGAATACGTGATGTGACAGCAGAGGAATCTACACAGGCTTCATGCAGGAGGTGGCATTTGCATAGGGCCTTGGAGATTAAGAAGTCCCAAGCAAGGCCTAGAGAGGCTGGGCTCTGAGCTCCGGGATGGGGAGGAGATGGTTTCTAGAGGACTTAGGGACTGCTTGGCTGGGTGCCTGGGGAGAGAGAGGAAGGGACAAGAGTTGCGTTCAGCCCTCATCCTCCATCCAGAAATCCCGAGCGCACAAATACATATTCAGTGCCTGCTGTGTGCCAGACAGTGGCTGGGGATACAAGAACAACACGGACAAAGCCCTGCCTTCAAAAAGCTTACATTTGAGTGTGGGGAGGCAGAAAACTGAAATAACTAATAAAGGATGTAATGTCAGGTGGTGCTAAGTGCTTAAGAGCCGGAGAGCAGGGGATGGCTTGCTAAGTAGCTTGTTCGTGGAGGGCCTCCTGACAAGGCAATGCTCATGAGCAATGCAGTGTCTGGTGAGGGTGTCCAAGCAGTTTCCTGCTGGGAATGTCTTCTGCTTGCCAATTCAGTATCATACCAGCAGCCAGCATTGGGCTGAGCACGGAGTGGCTGTGCAAGCCAGGGCAGTCCTGGCTGTGTTTTCCTCTGGGTCTCGGTCTGCCCAGTCCACCGGGCTGAATCTTCATCTGTGAACCCTCATGCTCAGCACAGGGCCCGGCATGTGTGGCCTCCCTGAGGACCAGGAAGCAACACAGGGGTCGAGGTGGGACTGTAAACCCTGGGCAGCTGCTGCCCATCCAGGCAGGTGTCAGGGTTGGATGGGGAGGCTCAGGGGGCCCAGAGGGTTCCGGGTGCCCTGGGGGATGGGGCATCTTGCAGTAGGAGCCCAGCCCTTCACTGGGGAGGGGAGCATGGGGGAAACGGGGCAAAATAGTCAGCCCTGCTTTTCAGGCCTGGCCTTCCAGACCCATCCCTGCTCCCAGGAAAAGCAGCAGGGGCAGCCCCGAGGGCCCCCATTCCAGTCTCTCTGAGAGTGGAGGTTCTGGAAGTGGGGCCCTTGAGGTACTCTCTGAGGATCACACTGAGGCTTTTTCTGCTCCTGGAACCAATGGCTCTGGAGAGGGACAGAGTCCAGGGACCAAGCCTAGAACTAGGCCCAGGGAGGAGAGGGAGCTGGGCAGGGGTGAGTAGATCCTGTGGAGCCCCTCTCTCCCTAGCTCTTAACGTCTTTCTTCCTCCCCTTCCCCAAGCTCTGAGCCCAGCCTCTCCAGCTCTTACTTGCAGGTATGGGTCAGCCCTGGGCTTTCTCCTGGCTAGTGGCAGAGGCTCCTTCCACCCACTCTGGGGCTCCTGGGCTCACCCAGCCTGGGGGAGTGTCAGAGACAGTCCTGCCTGCACTGCTTAGGACTAATCTGAGAATAGAATCCTGAAGCCATGGCCTTAGGGAGAGATGGGGACCCTGGGACAGAGCAGAGCACACAGGGGCTCTGGGGTCTGGGGTGTGGCCTCTGGTCCCCAGCGTCTGCAGACCCCTCCAGAGATGCTAAGGGGCCTCAGCTCTGACCAAGGAGAGCACACAGCACTGGAGGGGGTAGCGCCACTCCTGCAGGAGGAGCGTGAGCAGAGGTTGGAAATTTGTGAGGACACTCAGACTTCAGATGGGTGGGGTGCCTTCTGCCCTGAGACTCTGCGATGGGAGAGGAGGAGGATCCAGGCCTTGGCTCCCAGAGCCACAGCCCTGCCTCGGCCCCCAGGAAACAATACTAAAGTCCTACAAATCCCCATGTGGCAAAGTTTTCGTTGAGGCTTTCCTGTGGCAAGGAGCGTTTACTCTTCTGGACCAGCTAGGATCAGGCCATTGTAAATTGTTGAAAATCTATGTCTAAATTTTAAAGAAATATTGTTGCTTCTTGAGTCATTTCTTTGTCTAGCAGATAGACTTCCTGCAGAGCAAACACCAAGGAACTCAGGATGTTTTGGATTACTTTTTAATCCTTAGGATTTTAAATTACAAGTGTAATTAAAACTTACACTGAACAGTCAAACATTTTAGTCATACACAACCTAGAAGGGGAAATCTCTACCCCCACTCCCCTACAAATTCTCTTCCCCAGAGATGACCACTGTTAACAGCTTAGAAGTTCACCCAGACTTCTGTCTGAATATTAGTGTTATGTGGATAATTGCTCTGACATAGCAATGCATATTTCCTCCCATAGTTCTTGTATGAGATTTTCCTCCTATTCAGCCAGAAGCATCCATTTGCTTCAGAGAGGATTAAAATAGATAGACAGTGATATAAAGAGGACTAATGAACAAGGCTCAGTTAAAAATGAGATTCAAAAGAGAATCTCGAAGTCCATATGAGACAAAAGTCTTGAAAGCTGGCTTTGTTGATTAACATTTTGGTTAGGATGCTTTGGCTGCAGGTAACAGTAAGTACAACACAAACTTGATAAACAATGAGATACATTGACTCAGGTCCCCAGACTCCAGAGACAGACTAGGCTTCAGAGCTGGCTTCATCAGTGACGCTGGCCCATCTCTCTAAAGTTCCCTTGGTGTACCTTGCTTTGTCTAATGGCTTAATCTGTGGGATGGCATCCCTTAGAATTACCATGTGGCTGGACAGTACAATTATTCTGAGGAAAGGGGAGCACATCTGTTCTTAAAAGCAAGAAAACACTTTCCCCCAGGCTCCCAGCAACTCTCCCCTTGCATCGTGGCTAGGGTCACATGCCCATTCCTGGAGCCAAGAGTGTGTCCTGCAGTGGGGCTTAGGCCTGAGTTTCTGGACCAATCACCATGGCAGATGGGGTGGGATTTCATGGCACCAGTTAGAGCTGCCCTGGAACTGAAGTTGGGGTCAACTTTCCCTGAAGCTCATTGGTGATGTGAGGATGGGCTGGATTCCAGATTAAAAACTGGGGCATATTCAAGAAGAAGGACAGGGAAATCGAAGAAGGTAGAGAATCAACATCACCTACTGTAAGAGAGAGAAAGCAGATTTCTCTGTTCCCAAAGCTTCCCTGTAGATATTCACAACAAATCTTGGAGGACAGGACATGGAGTTTTACCCTAAGCCACAGGTAGAGAGAATTTAGGAGGTGATGTAAGGGAAGTCTCTACCAGCTCAGGAGGAAGTAGGGAGTCCTTCCACCTTTCAGAGGAGCCACCAAGGAGTTGGAAAAATGAGGCAAAAGTGACGTAAAGCAGCTGCCTGAAGACCCAGTGCCCCATCCTTGCCTCTGAGCCCCAGCCAGGGGAGGGATTGTGGGAAGATAGAAAGCCCAGATGGGGGCTTCTGCCCATTTCTAGAACTCTAGAACTCTGTAGAGTGCTGTCTGGAAGGATGCTTGGCCCATGCCCACAGGAGACTAGAAAGGGCAATGTGGGGTGTGTATCCATTTCCTGAGGGCTGCCGTGATGAATGACCACAGACTTGGTGGTCTGAGACCCAGGCGTCGGCCGGGCTGTGCTCTCTTCGAAGGCTCTGGAGGACAGTCTGTTCCCTGCCTCTTCCAGCTCCCCTGGTTGTCCTGTGGCTGCATCACGACTCCAGTCTCTGCCTCCATCTTCCCATGGCCTTCTCCTCCATCTCTGAGTCATCACCTCTGTGCCAAGTCTCCCTCTGACTTTCTCTTCTAAGGGCACTTTTCATTGGATTTAGGGCTCACCTGGATAATCCAAAATGAGCTCATCTTGAGAGCCTTCATTACCTGGGCAGAGACCCTTTTTCCAAATCACATTCACAAGTTCTGAGAGTTAGGATGTGGACGTATCTTTTTGTGGCCAACATTCAACCTCCTACGGGGTATTTAGGCAGAGAGAAGACCAGAGATAGTGCCCCTAGACTAGCTTGTCTCCTGTGTGGTGTGGGAGGAATGCCCCAAGGTCCAGTGTCTTGACAATGGGGGGACACAGAAGGACACTGAGAGCTCTGGTAGGCTGCTTGTCTGTCAGGACCCTGGCAGGGTCACAATGACCCTGAAGTCCCAGCCAGATCACAGGGGATTTGCCCTTGTGGATCCCAATCAGGCCAGCTGTGCTGGAGCTCTCAGTAGTCCTTGCCCAAGTCAGAACACACCCCAGGTTCCACTTGCTGCACTGGTAACAGCAGCTAGGACAGAAACCGACAGGATGAGATGCTCCAACAGGAAGATGACTTGAGGCCTGGAGGCCCTTGCCTTGATGCTATGAAGACACCGAAGTTTCCAGCTTGCAGACCCCATCTTAGGAGGGGGACTCCTTGTGAGGGGGAAACAGCTCTGATGGGAACTGAAGTTTACATCAACTGAATCCCCCAAAGAGAATGAGTTACCTTTCATAGGTCAGTTTAAAAAAAATTTTTTTTTTTAATTTAGGGTCTCACTCTAGCACCCAGGCTGAAGTGCAGTGGTATAACCTCGGCTCACTACAGCCTCAAGCTCCCGGGCTCAAGTGATCCTCCAGCCTCAGGCCCCTGAGTAGCTGGGACTACGGATCAGACGCATGCCACTATGCCAAGCGATTCTCCTGCCTTAGCCTCCCAAGTAGCTGGGACTACAGGCACGCATCACCACACCCAGCTAATTTTTGTGTTTTTAATACAGACGGAGTTTCACCATGTTGGCCAGGATGGTCTCTGTCTCTTGACCTCGTGATCCGCCCGCCTTGGACTTCCAGAGTGCTGGGATTACAGGCATGAGCCACCACGCCCAGCCTTGTTTTTGTATATTTTGTAGAGACAGGTCTTACTATGTTGCCCAGGTTTGTCTTGGAGCTCCACTCCAAGGTGGAGCTCAAGCGATCCACCTGCCTCAGCCTCCCAAAGTGCTGGGATTACAGATGTGAGCCACCATGCCCAGCCTTCATGGGTAAGTTTTTTTTTTTCCTTTTCTTCCAAATATATAAATGGTAAGTCTTCTGCAAATAATAGGGCCTCCAGGTTTTACTTGCAAAAACAGGCCCATGCTATACACATCATTCTGCAAACTGCTGAATACACTTCATACATTACAGACATATTTCTGTGACAGTATATTTTAGAGCTACCTTATTTTTTTTTAAATCCACATATTATAATTTGTTTAACCAGACCCTTATTATCATTATTTTTTAGAGATGGGGTCTCACTCTCTTGCCCAGGCTGGAGTGCAGTGGCACAATCATAGTTTACTGCAACCTCGAACGCCTGGACTCAAGCAATCCTCCCACCTCAGCCTCCTGCATAGCTAGGACTACAGGTGTGCACCTCCACACTCAGCTAATTAAAAAAAGTTTTGTTTTTTTTTTCAAAGAGACGGGGTTTCACTGTGTTGCCCAGGTGGTCTCCAACTCCTGGGCTCAAGCCATCCTTCTGCCTCCTCCTCCCAAAATGCTGGGATTACAGGCATGAGCCGTCACATTCAGCCAAACAAACCTTTATTTGATGAACATTCAGGTTATTTGTTGAATTGGATTGAATTAACAAGTGAATCGGTTAAACAATGTGCAACAATGCCTATTTATGCTGAGGTTGTAAAAATGAAGTATTTCTTTCCCTCTCTCCTAAATCTATATAACTCTGACTTCACATTTCAGCAAGTGAAAAAGTAGTTAAATGACCCCAGAATTATTAGTCAGAAAAATGCATCGCAGCCCTCTCCACCTTCCAAAACACTCCAGAAAGTGAGGTTGAGGGTAGCTTGCCAAGACTTGGCCCTTCTGGTGTGAATGACATTCTGGACTCTTGAACATAAACTGCTGGCAGTGTTAGCTTGCTTTGCATTAGCCAATTGTTGCTTCTCAAAGAAGGGCAGCAGGATGTGGATCTTTGCCTCATTACAACATTCTAGTTGCAGTGGCCCTTTTGAAAGGAACTCCCTGCAATCTTATGTATCTCTGGGATATGAAGGTGCAGACAGGGCTTGGCTGTGTTCTCACTTACTGTTTCAATCAGCACCCTTTAGACTGCAAGTGATAGAAACTCTGATCAAACATAAACAGAGCAGGATATACACTGGCTTATGTAAACAAAAAGTCCAAGGACTTTCAGTCATGGCTGCATCTGGGTGTTTAATTGACATCATTAAAACTCTTTCTTTCCATCTCTAATTTATGCCTGCCTATTTTTGCCTTTTTTTTTTTTTCTGGGCAGATTTTCTTGTTGTGATGCAAGATGTCCACCAGTTGCTACAAACTCATCCTTACAGCTCACAATCTCGAAAGAAAAATTTCTAGAGCGCACTAGAAAAAGTCTCAGGGAAGACTCCTATTGGCCTGGCTTGGGTCATGTGTTTATCCTTAAGCCAATAACTGTGCCCGGGGATGGGTGCTCCAGTGGCCAGTCATGGCTCAAGAGTTCCCCCTGCCTGGCTGTGTGGGGAGGCTGCCCCACTGAGCCACACACATGAACAGAGCAGGATTTATGTTTGTTTGTTTTTGCTTTTTTTTTTTTTTAAGGTAGGGTTTCACTCTGTCACCCATGCTGGAGTGCAGTGGAGGGATCATAGCTCACTGCAGCCTCAATCTCCAGGGCTCAGGGGATCCTCCTGCCTCAGCCTCCCAGGTAGCTGGGACCTCAGGCCTGTACTACCATGCCCAGCTATTTTATTTTTATTTGTAGAGATGGGGGTCTCTCTATGTTGCCCAGGCTGGTCTCAAGCTCCTGGGTTCAAGTAATCCTTCTGCCTTGGCCTCCCAAAGTGTTGGGATTACAGGCATGAGCCACCACACCTGGCCCAGAGCAGGATTAATGGGGGAGGGAGACATGCCTTGTCAAAGAAACCAGGTGCCCACTGTGCCTGTCCTCCATCAGGTTCCATCAGGACCACACCTCTGTCTATGGAGAAGATGCTTGTTGTTTGGATATAGAGTTGGATATGGCTTGGCTCCAAACCCATAGCTATCCAGAGCAGTTGGACCCTGCTCAGACCTGTCTTAAGTTCTCACTTCCCAATCTCCCTCAGGCCAAAACAGTGGTGGTAGTGGGGGTGAAGGTGGCCCCTCCAAGCTCACACTCCTGGGTCCAGCTGTTCCTTGATCCTCGGCCTTCCCTGTGCCGTCTCTGCAGACAGCACAAACAGAGGCAACTTCCTAACCTGCTAGAAGACCCCAGAGGAGAAGCAAGGTCTGAATTCAGGAGGCTGAGGTTGGACACCAAGTGGCTGCTTTTTGGTGTTTTAGGATACCCTCTACCTTGGCTCAGTCCTTTATCAGGCCCAACCCTTGCGGTCAGCCCCTGACCCCCCTGAAGTCTAGGCTGTGGTCTGGCCTCTGAGGGAGAGGAGCATCTGCCACCACTTGCCCTCGGGCCTGGGAAGGGGCCAAGTTTGGATCCTCTGCTGGGGAGATATCTGTGTCTCCTGGGTGCAGGAGACCTTCTTGGATTTGGGAGTGCTTGCTGTATGAGGAGCTGAAGTGGGGACAGTCAGAGGCAGGGGGGCAGGAGGGTGTCCCAGGAAGACAACATTCTTAGGGATAGGCCAGCTTGGGCTTCTGAGCAGCTAGGTACATAGATGGGGCACCCTCTCCAGAGCTCTGCTGACCCCAACCTGGTCTCCAATCTTTCCCCTTCCCTATGTAGCTGTAGGCTGGACACCGTGCTTCCTCCATCCTGGCCTTTGTCATGTTCTTCCCCTGCTGCAGTGCCTTCAGCTGCCTGGCCCATCAATATTCACTCTTCAAAGTCTAGCTCCACTGGATAAGTCACTTCATGACAGCCAGAATCCGACGTTGAATAGTGAAGCCACCCTAGCAGTGTGCTCCTTGCAACCGCCAGGGCCTGCAGCACTGGGCCCGAGGGTGTCTGGGGAGGCTGCACTGCTGCAAGGGCCTGAGAGTTAACACCTCTCTCCCAAGATCATGTAGAGATACCTTGAAATTGACCTCAATCCATGAGCAACATGAACTGGTGCATGATAATCCAGCTCCCATACTCATGGGTCAGAGAGCTCTAAGGTGTGTGGTTTGCAGTTTCCCAGAGGCTCCCTGTGGGATTAAGCTCCAGATGGCCAAGGTGACCACTTGCTTGTTAGCACACTGGCCTCCTCCTTTTCCTTGCTTCACTTTCTCATTTCCCTCTAGGTTTCCCTAGGATCACCAGCTGTCATGGACTGATTTGTGTCTCTCCAAATTCATATGTTGAATACTTAACCTGCCATGCGATTGTGATTGGAGATAATTCCTTTAGGGAAGCAATGAAGGTTAAATGAGGTCATAGGTGGGAGCTTAATCCAATGGGACTGGGGTCCCTACAAGAAGAGGAAGACACCAGAGCTCTCTGTCTCCACACACAGAGAAAAGAGGCTGTATGAGGACACAAGAGAAGGTAATAGCTGTCTACAAACCAAGAAGAGAAGCCTCTCCAGAAAATGAACCCTGCTGGAACTTGGTCTTGGACTTTCCAGCCTCCAGAACTGGGAGAAAATAAAGTTCAAAATAAAGTTCTGTTGTGTAAGCCCCCGAGTCCATGGTATTTTGTTATGGCAGCCCTAGCAGACTAATAACACCTGCTAATTAAACTGCTTGTTCTCCACTTGTTGTCTCAGGGTCTGTTCCTAGGGAACCTGGACTCAGACAGATGCTCTGCTTAATTAGACCCCAGGGAAATGTAAATGAAAACCACGTGTGATGCCATGTCACAAGTACTAGGATAACCAGAAGGAAATCTGACCACATCGGATGCTGGTGAGGTTGGGAAGCTGTCATATTTAGCTGACGGAGGTGTGAGTCGGCAAACCACTTTGGAAAACTGTTTGTCAGTATGAAATAAAGCTAAAGCTATGTAAACTATATGGCCTAGCAACTTCGCTAATAGGTACGCCTCAGCAGAAATACATACAGACGTTCACCAAAAGACAGGTGCAAAAATATTCGAAGTAGCACTCTTTGGGGTAACTCCAAATTGGAAGCAGCCCAACTTCCATCAGCAGACTAGATCAACAAATTGTGGTATAGTCACACAATGAAACACTATACAACAATGAAAAAGGAGAAACTTCTGTTACCTGCTAGGACACAGATGAATCTCAAAAATACAGTGTTATTCAAAAGAAGCCAGATGCAAACGAGTGCACACCGGAAGACTCAATTTATGTAAAGTTCAAAAGTGTAAGAGTCATACAAAAGAGGATACAAAACATTAATGTACAGCCCAGTGAGATTCACAGGCAGAAAACACCCATGTAGCTTGCATCTAGGAAAAGAAACAGGCTACAGCCACGACTCCCAAAGCCCCTCCTGCCCTCCTTTCAGTCACTGACTCCCCAGGGGCATCACCGTCCTGACCTCTAACACCACAGATTACTTTTGCCTGTATTAAAACTGTATAGAAAGGTAATGGTAGGGTATGTGCTATTTTGTTTTGTACTTCTCATTTGAGAGATCATCTACATGGCTTTCTGCAGTTGTAGTTTAATTTATGTAGTCATTCTACTATTGCTGGGCTTTTGAGTCATTTCCATTTGGGCTACCATAAATCATGCTGCTATGAACATTCTAGTACACATTGTTCTGGTGAACATGTCTAGGCATTTCTTTTCAGTATATACCTAGAAGTGAAATAGCTGGTCCATTGTTGGCTTTGATTTCATTTTTCACCTACCCATCTTCCCATCCGCACCATTTTTGCTTTCCTGGTTCCCACTTAGGGGAATCAAGGAGGTCTCTGATTCCCCTTCCAGGTTAAAGTCAGAGGGCCTCAGTTTCCCTCTCTGGCTAGGGCATGCCTGCTTACTCCAGGTGCTGTGAGGCTCCAGGACCTTCTTGAGTGAGCAGGAACAGCTTGTAGTCTCTTTAACGCCCTGGCCCAGTTCCTGGCATACCTGAGGCCAAAGGTGTCCCAGAGCATGGCTGATAACGGCAGGTGCAGCTCCAGCTGCTCCATGGGCCAGGTGCAGGGAGACAGGCAGTGGGTGAGCCTCGGGTCAGGGCCAGGCCAGGCAGGGGAAAGGCTGGAATGGACAGGGCTTGAGCCAGGCTAGGTGGTGGCTGGGGCTGAGAGGCCCAGGGTTTCCTGGGTCGGGGCTGGATGGGTCTGGGAACTCTGTACCTACCCAAGCACGGCCTGGCTTCCTCAGTGCCTGCCTCCTCTTCTCTGGGCCTTCTTCTGTCAATTGGGAATCAGCGTTGCTTCCTTGCCTGAGTAAGGATTAAAGGAGATTGTAGATGCTTACTTGGGGTCAGCAGGGCACTGGCTGCCCATTTCACCATCAAGGAAGTTGAAGCTCAGAGAGGTTAAAGGGCTCCTCTGAGTTACACAGAATTTGAACCCAAGTCCATCCGGCTGTGATGTAAAGACTGCAGTCTTCTAACTTCCTGAGGCAGCCTTGGGGCTGACATAGTGTGATTTGAGGAGTCTAAGGAAGGTCAGTTCCCAAAGTCAAGCTGTGTCTTTCCCAGTGCTCGAGTTTCCACCATGAAAGCTTCATTCCTCTGGGTTAATGAATGCCCTCTGCCAAAAGCATATAGGGATAAGGGGCAAGATCTCTCGTCCAAGTACCAACCAGGCTGGACCCTGCTTAGCTTCCGAGAATGGACGAGATCAGGCATGTTCAGGGTGGTATGGTGGTAGATGTGGGGTAAGATCTAATGTGGCATGTACAGATGACTCTGGTGGAACTGAGGAACGTGAGCTCTTGAAGGGGTGCTGAGATCACTTCATTCACTTTCTCATCCCAACCCAGGTCCTGTACCCAGAGAAGGGCACTGAGTTGCTCATACTCACATCCAAGGTCTTACCCCAGGCAGCCTCCCTGCACTCCCTGGAAGGACCCAGGCCAAAGGCGGCTGAGCCAGAGAGGGTTGCTGAAACCCGGGATTTTTCAGGTGGAGTCTGCCCTGGACCTACAGGGCATAGGTGCCTGGGGTGCACTTCTGGAGAAAGGAGGGAAGCCTAGGTGTGGTCTCAAGCCTGAGATAAGCCCTGCCTCTCATTGGCTGCCTGGCTTATGCCCATAGCACATGCCCATAGCTCATGCCTATGCCTTCTCTCCCTTGCAGCTCCACAACCCAAACTGACACTGTGCACAGCCCGGGGCTGCAGCTGGGCTGGCCTCACGCCTGCCAGCACTCCTGGGGTTTGCCCCAGACCTCCACTGAAGTGCTTCAGACCCTAACCAAGTCCCATGTCCTCTCTGAGACAGGGGCCCTTTTGGACCAAGGTTTTCTTGGCTGCTCAGGCACACATAGTCTCTGCACCTGCTGCTCCTCTGTCTTGGGTTGGGGGTCCCTGGAAACAGACCAGAACTAGGATTTGAGGGCAAGGAGTTCATTTGAGAGGTGATTCCAGGAAGCCACGAGGGATGTGGGAAGTGAGACAGGGAAGGAAGCCAGTATAGGCAAGTTCATGAGCAGCTGGCAGGCAACCGGGGCCCTGCCCACTTGGGACCTCTGGGAGACAGGAGATGGTGCAGAGCAAGGCTCAGAGCTGTCCATTCTGGGGAGGGAAGAAGCTGGGGCATTTATCCACCAACACAGATCACTTATCCATCACCAAGGGCGGTTCCTGAGCCCACAAACTCTGACCTCTGAGAGCTTTCAGGAGTCCTTAGGGCAGAATCACAGATACCTGCTTAGTGCCAAGGGGATGTGGGTGAGGCTCCGTAAAGGAGAGGGAGAGCCTGCAGCAGAGAGAACCTGAAGAAGGCCTTGGAGAGCTTGAATCTCAGGCAGCTGCTGACTCGTCTTCTCCGAGGGTTAGTTTCTAGAAAATGGGAGTGAAATACTGCTTTCCTGCAGGTGTCAGGTAAGGATCAAAAGCGATAAGGCCTGTAAACAGCCTGGGTGCTGCCTGCACGGGAGGAGGTTGATAAATGATACTCTGTCTGCCCTCCTCCGGGGCAAGGGCCAGGCTGACTCACCTGGTCTGGGGGCACCCAATGACCTGCTGTTTGTACCAAACATTGCCGTCCACAGAGCCCTCACCCTCCCTTCTTTTCCTTCTTTATCTTTCATTAAAAAAAATCTAATAGTGACTGCTATCTAAGGCATGCCAGGCTAGAGTGGGCTGTGGAGACCCAGGAGTGCCCTGAGCCTGTCCTTACCCTCAAGAGTTCACAGTCCAATTGGGAAGTTAGACGAGTATGTGGCCAGCTGGTGACACGGGCGTGGGCTTTGACAGGTGAGTAGATGTTTATGAGGGGCAAGGAGGCAGTGAAGGCAGGGGTGGGGTGGGTAGAGATGGTTCTGGGGACAGAGGGAGGTGAGTAGAGGAAGGTGGGCAGATGGCGGAGCTTGTGTTTTGAGCTCCTGTGCAACAGAAATCCCAGATGCTGCAGGTGAGGCAGCGGCCAAGCCTGGCCCGGTTGCTACCAGAGCAGGGCTGGCCTGCGGCCTCCTGATTCCCAGCCAGGGCTTGCCTGATACATCCCTCTCCCACCCTCCCTTGAGCCACGGGAGGTGAGGATGGAGCTGGGGGCTGGGCAGCCCAGGAAACTGAGGCCAGGCTTTCTGCCCTGGCTCCTCCCTCCTCTTCCCTGCCTAACCCCTGCTTGAGCTTATCCAGCACGGTTCTCCCAGATGCCCTGGAGGTTGGGGTGGGAAATCCATGCTTTTTATTCAAATGCCATCCGAATTTTACGTCTATGATATAGACATGTTTTTTTTTTTTTAAAAGAAATAACAGTTATAATGACTTACTAATTACTAGAATAATGAATCTACATGTAAATAAAACAAGATGTTCAGAATTTATACAGTGGTGTTGTTCCTCAGGGTGAGTAGAGGTCCAGGCCAGGGGCAGATGGGGGCCGGAGGAGTTGTCCTGTCTCACAGACCCTGAGGTGTCCTCTCGGGGGCGTCCCTCACTCACCTATGCAAATGCATGCTTGTGTGTATTCACATCTGCTGAGAGTCATGGGGCAGTATTGCCATACATAGTTAGGTCCACACGTGTACTCAAACACCTCTGGATCCACGTGCTTGGGTGCATGCCCCAATGCACACCCCAATCTACACTTATATATACATCACGCATGTGCCCTTACACATACTCAGACACCCTCCCTGGTGTGTGGGTTCATGTCACTCACGTGCATCCACACACCAGCAATCATGGCCTTTCATGCACATCCCACAGGTGCGCATGCATCCTCACCCATGCACACACATCTGTGCAGCCATAATCAGGCAAAGACATGCACATTGACGACACTCACATGTACATGTCAATATGGACACACATACACATGCAATAGGAAATACACATATGTGGGTTGTGCATGTGTACCCATCACATGAGACACAAACCCACACGCCTCTAGACATGCAGAAAGATCACCAGCTGCATGTACAGGAACTCATTTTACACACAGGCCACTCCTATGCGCATGTGTGCTCACACATGAATGGCTCGTATGTGCACAAGTACAATCTCATATTAGCCAGTTGGGACACTACCGTGCAAGGTGGTAGGGAAGGAGTTTCAGATTTCAGGCCCTGAGGGGGCATGGGTGCACTTCCTTCCTTTGCCCTCTCCGCCCCTCCCCTGCCCTCATCTGCCACCTCCCAGGAGGAGCCCTCCTCTCACTCTGAGAGTAATTATTGTGTGTGGCATGTGAAGAGACTTTAGAGGGACAGATTCTGCACCTACTCCCTGGAAGGAATGTCCCCAGTCTTGCAGCTGAGGTGGGAACTTGGAACCCATAGGGGACAAGGACCTGCCTGGGTCTACACAGCAAGGCCTAGGCAGAGGTGAGACTGAATTCCAGCCTTCTGCAACAAGCCAGTTTGGACTACAGGCTGAGAGGCAACCAGGACACACCATGCTCCCTGCCTTCAAAACACCTGCAGGCTCAGATACCCTAAAGTCCCCTCATTGCACATGCTTTCAGATGAAGATGTTGTCCCCAAAAGGTCCCTGTTAAAAGGCATGTTTATTATGGGAGGTGGGGTCAGCTGACAAGGAAGACAGGCCAGTCCCTCCTCCATGCCCAAGCTGCCCTGGAGGGAAGGACTGAGAGACAGAGGGGCTGAGAGCTAACATCAGCCACAGAGGGACAGACCTGCAGCCAAGCAGATCCTAGATACCAGCGCTGGAAAGCTAGAGGGATAGAGGGATCCTCTGTACCAACTCAAGATGGAATAGGACTCCATGCCCCTCACTCCCTCCAACCAGAATCCAACCAGGTTGATCTTTTACACATCAGGATTCCATGTTAATAAATGCTTTCCTCCTTAGATCAACAAATAAGAGATTGATAAAACCCAATGCTGGAAAGGCCGAAAGGAAATGGGCATTTATCCCCAAGTGGTGGTAGGAGTGCAAACAAGAGCCCCATTTCTGGCAGGATATTTAATATGTGGTGTCCTCTGACCCAGTGATTTACCTCTAACAATCTGTCTTTTCTGGACAAAGATGTATAAACAGGTGTTTACCGCAGCATGTTTGTAAAAACAGTAAATGAAGTCCATCCAAATGGCATCAGTAGGCAAATAGTTAAAACAAACAACAGTTTGTGTGCACTGTGGACCACCATGGAGCTGTTGAAACAAACGCTGAGATGGAGCCGTATGTACTGGGCCAGAACGAGCTCTGTGGTGTGAAGAAAGCAGGTCGCAGAAGCGTAAGATTTATGTTTCCATTTATTATTTTAAAACACGTCTAAAAAGTTAGATATAAAATACATACCTGAATCCATAGAAAAGGGCTACATATTCTACTTTTGGGCTGACAAGGCAAGGAGACTTTATTTCTTTTATTTGAGACTGAGTTTCGCTCTTGTTGCTCAGGTTGGAGTGCAGTGGCACCATCTGGGCTCACTGCAACCTCTGCCTCCTGAGTTCAAGCGATTCCCCGCCTCAGCTTCCCGAGTCGCTGGGACTACAAGCTTGTGCCACCACACCTGGCTAATTTTTTTTGTATTTTTAGTAGAGACGGGGTTGCACTATGTCGGCCAGGCTGGTCTCAAGCTCCTGACTTTGTGATCAGCCTGCCTTGGCCCCCCCAAGTGCTGGGATAACAGGCGTGAGCCACCGCGCCCAGCTGAGACTTTCTTTTTAACCCAGGTATTCCTATATTCTTTGCATATTTTTAGCAGCAGCTTTTGTTCATATATTATGTCACCCTTATAATTAAATAGAAAGTATTAAGCATTCTCGTCCCATTATTTAATTGATGAAGGCCCAGAGGAGGCAGAGACCTGCCCAAGATCATGCTTTGTGTTGTGCTGACTAGGACTGCAGCTCAGACCTTAACCTCACCCAAAGATCTACCTCTGCTGCCCGGTGGCAGGGCGTTGGGGCCCAGAAAGGAGCAGCCACGGCTTCCTAGGTAGGAATTGGTGGAGGGATGAGGTCTGGGATGCAGGCCAATGATGCTCAGTGGAGGGAGCAGGCCCACCTGGGTGTGAACGGATGTCCCCTTCCTAGGAGAATCACCTGTGTGCTGAGATGGCAATTCTTTATCACTTGTCCTGACATCCTTGTCCTAGCTTAGGGTCCTGCCTGGCAGCCTCTGGCTCTGCCACTTGTAGAAATGCTGTGGAGAAGTGCCACGCTTTGCTAAGTGCCCACCGAGTGCCTCCTTTTGTGCTGACCTCCATACACTGTGTTACTTTGACTGAGGAGGCAGTATGGTACAGTGGTTAAGGCCATCATCTCCAGAGCCAGACTCCTGGGGCAAATCTCACCACTGCTACTCACTAGCTAACTGACCTTGGTGGGTTACTTAACCTCTCCAGATCTCAGTCTTTTGTCTATAGGACACTAATAGAACCTCCCATAGGGTCATTGAGGTTTCAAGTAGAAAGAACCCAGATGTCTATTAACAGATGAATGAACAAAATATGATCTGGTGCTAAGATGAAATATTATTCAGCCATAAAAAGGAATGGAGTACTGATACATGCTACAACATGGATAAACCTTGAAAGTATTGCGGTATGTGAGAGAAGACAGACACAAAAGGCCGCATCTGGTATGATTTCATTTATATGAAATGTCCAGAGTCGGTGAATTTATAGAGGTAGACGTAGATTAGTGGTTGCCTAGGGCTTGGGAGCGGGGTAGTAGGGTAAAGGGAGTGACTGCTAACGGGTAAGGGATTTCCTTTTGGGGTGGTGAAAATGTTCTGGAACGAGACAGTGGTGATCCTTGTATAACTCTGTGAAAACAATAAATCCACACGTAACGTTGTTGATAGGTTCTTGGAAATGGTGACTTTAGCGGGAAAGAAATGTAGAGTAGATCCTCGAATAATGTTTCCTTCAATGGAGTTTTGTCGTTACATTGATGAGAAAAACATTTCGCTTGATGTCACAGTCCCTTAGAACCTATCAACGATGTTAAGTGAGGATTAAAATCCACTGAATTGTGTGCCTTGAAAGGGTGAATGTTATAGTGTATAAATTATATCTCAATTTTAAAATGTAGCCAAACAATAAATAGGGAATAAATAGAAAAATTTATGTACAAGTGTACCACACAGTGTTATTTTATTGGTGGTGTAGGGGAGGAAAAAAATTGTTTTCCTGTATCCTTTTATAGACTGTGACTGGGGCTTGCAAATTAAACTGACAAAAGACTAATGAACAGGAGAAAAGGCATACAGATTTTATTTGATGTTCCTACTTTAATTGTGATGTACATGAAGGCATTGATTGCATTCATAGAAAAGAAGTGAAGACCCTTTGTTAAAATGGTATATAAGCCCCCTACCATTTTAACAAAGGATGATACATTTGTGGAGAAATGACAAGATAAAGGAAAAGGGCTTTGTGTTCCTAGGGGTGGCAAATTGTGGGAAGATAAATATGTGGGGAAATTAATGGAAGATCAGGGTGATTTCAGCAAGATTGGTTTGTGCAGACTCGTCTTCTTACTGACTTTTTGTCTTCAGTGCTAACTAACGGTTGTTCTCTTCCTGCTATAAGAGAGGGAAGGAGAAGAATCTTCCCAAAGGAAAATTTATGTCCCGCTTTTGGGCAGATGTGGGAGGGCAAAGAGCTCTTTCTACACGTGCAGTTTCTTAATTGCCTTTAGCTCAAAACAATCCTGATGCAAAAGTGGCATATTTGGGGTGGCACGTTCTGATCTTCTTCAGTGGGAAATTGGACAAACTTAAATATACACCTACAGGGTAATACATGCCCACATATGGTATTTTATGGGGCAGCTGTATCATGATGTATTATGTAGCTATGAATAAAATTTTGGTTTTGGAAATTAAAAAAAATTAAATAAAGTACTTAGGACAGTATCTGACATCTACTAAGTGCCTTTAGTGTTGGCTGTTATTAATGAACCCGAGGACAATCCTGTAACCTTGGGCTCCTCATCCCCATATGGCAGATGAGGAAACTGAGGCTCGGAGAGGCAGCATGACATGGATGTTCTGCCCCTCCTTCCGGTCTGCTGTCAGGGAAGGGCAGGGTCTTGGCATCAGGCTATTCTGGAGCCCGCCTAGGCTCTGCCACTTTCTAGTGGCAAGGTCTTGGTCCAGCACCTTCCTGCACCACTCTGAGCCTCTGCTGGCCTCAGTGTCCTGCCTGTGGAGGGAGTCATAGCGTTGCAGAAGGATTCTCTGAGCATGTGCAGACTAGCCTGAGACTCCTTGGGTAATGTTGGTACTGTGCTTCTGTGACAGGCCCCAGGCAGTGGAACTAGGACCAAATAGGTAGAGACCCCAGAGACAGGATCACTTTCCACAGCCTGCCTCGCCTGGAGGTAGTGAGCCAGACATCCCTCAGGGGGACCTGCAGGCCAGGGAAGGAAACTTCAGGAGGAGGCAATTCAAGCAGAGGCCAGGGGCATGGCCTTTCCCCATCCAGCCAGTGTCCCCAGGCCCTTTTTAAGCCAATTGTCCTTGAGAAAGACACCCCGCCTCCCCAGGGCCTCAGTTTCCCTTGCTGAACCAGTCTAGCATGGTGGTTATGATTAATACAGTCTGGGGGCCCAGATTGCCTGGGTCCACATCCCAGCTTCCCTGCTTTTGCTTTCTAACTGCATGACCCTGGGCAGGGAAATTCGCTTCTCTGAGCCTCAGTTTCCTCATCTGCAAGATGGAGATGAGAGCAACACTTATCTTACTTCTTGTAAGAAAAGTGAATGCAATGTTCTCACTAGTACTCAGTGTACTGGCAGAGTCTGGTGCTCTGACAGCCTCAAGGCCTGTTGGCTATTACAGTTACTATGACTGTTTTATTAGCTGTGAAGGGACTGGAGGACACGTGTGTGCCTGGAGGCAGGGGCTGGCCCCCCGAGTCCCCGTCCCCCAGTTCCCAGCCTGCAGTCCCCCTCGCTGCTTTCAGCACCAAGTGATCGACAGGCTGGGCCAGTGGCATCCTGGCAGGCCTGTCCTGGCAGCTGCTCCCACAAGGCGAGGCCCTGTGAGCTGCAGAGAATTAATTAGGCTGCATTCCTCTTCCAGGGCTCCTGGCGGGCCCGCACACGGCCCCCTTCTTAGCTGCCGAGGGCTTTTGGCTTGGATCCCTGGCAGGCCAAGGCGAGGCCCACACTCTGCTCTCCCCTGAGAGGGGCTGGGAGGGCCCTTGTGAGCTGGAAGCATTGGCCGGGAAGGAGCCAACAATAAACCAGCCACCCAAGGCCAGCTCCCGTCCTGGCTCTCCCTCGTTTAGCAACCTTCGCTGGCTACCTATCACTCAAGTTCAAATTCCTGGCATCGGATGCTATTCCCAGCCTGGCCCCTGCTGATCAGGCCTGCTGCCCCTCCCTGGACTCTCTCATGCCCTGGCCAGATCTGCCTTACACCATTCCCACCAAGCCCTTTCCCTCATCCCAGCCTGCACAAGCCTTGCCAGTCCTTCACCCCCCATCCCACCAGCTACAAGGCCAGCTCCACCTCTGGACCTTCGTTTTGCTCTTGTCTGTCTTCCCTGCCAGGCTGTGAGACCTGAGCGGGCAGCCAGAGAGGTTTCCAGAGGCCTGAAGCCCTCATGGAGGGCATGCTGGGCATGGTAGTATTTTCCAGGGAGGCATTTTCTGAGGCTGTGGTGGGGGTGAAAGAGGTGGTGGCCTCTGCTTCCTAGAGCACCCCCATGCCAGATGCTCGGGGCTTGGTCTGGTGCTCAGGCATGCACTGCCCCTTCCTGCCTGCCCCTTCCAGCCGTTCCCAGGACCTCTCCTTTTACTCCCCAAAAGAGGCTGGGAATAGCTCCCTTCCTATGAAGACAGGAACCTTCACCTATGCTGTTTCCTCTGCCTGGAATGCTCTTCTCCACCCTCTTCCTTGACCGACTTCCCCCGAGTTGGCCTAGATGTCCCCATCTCCAGGAAGCCACCCTGGGCTCCCCCTCCTCAGGGGCTCCATCACAGTGTGGACATACCCTATTAGAGAGGTAGGATAGCACGGAAGTTAAGAGCCTGGGGTTTAAAACCCAGCTAAGCCACATCCTAGCTATATGATTTTGAGCAAGTTACTAACCGCTCTGTGCCTCAGTAACCTTTCCTATCAAATGGAAATAGTAATGACAGAATTTGCTACATAAGGTTGCTGTAAGGAACCAAGGAGTTAATATGTGGAAAGCACTTAGTAAGTGCTCAGTGAATGTTTGCTGCGATTCTTATCTTCATATTTAACTGTTGTTTTCTTGAATGACTGTCCTCTTGGCCTATGAGGCAGGAACTGTGTCTGTCTTGCTCACGAGAGTCCTCCCAGGGGTGATTATTCATAACTGTTGAATTAATGGATGGCCACATTCCAATAGTTTGTCACCGTGATTAGGCAAATGACTTTTCTGAACTGAAGACTTAGCTACCTGGACTCTATTTTCAATGAGAGAAAGAGAGAGAGAGAGAATTCCACAGGGCTCTTTCCTGAGTGAGGGCTGTGGAGAGGCTGCGAAGGGCCCCGTCTGCAGCCTCACAGCCCTGGACACAGGACCTAACTGCTCTCTGCCTCAGCTTCCTCCTGTCCACATAATCCGAATAAATCTGGGTCATCCTGTGCCCCCTTCTGGCCTGTCTCTGCCTAGTGTTCCAGTTAAAAGGAACACAAATTTGACTCAAAAAGCCTTGAAAAACGCTTGTTCTATATTTATGGAAAAGGCAGGAGGAGGGGAGATTTTGTCCCAGAAAACCCAAGTTTCCTGAAGCTTAGATGCCTTCTTCCCAGGGTTCGGTTTGACCTGGTAGCTGCTCCTTGTAGCTTTTTCTCTACTTCTTTCCAAACTCTAGCCCACCTTCCCCAACATGGCTGAAGTCCCAACTACCTGGAGTGTGGGCTGGAAGCAAGGACAGACTTCGGACATATGTGGCCCTGTGGCCCTGCAAACTTTTTGTCCCATAGAGAGGTATGGCTGGATGAGGGCCAGAACAGGGCCCCCCTGCAGTGCAGGGCCCCAGCCAGAGGCCCCTGTTTCCAAGGTGTATGGGTCTAAAGGACTGTAGTGTCACCCTTACCTGTCCCTGCCTTCTGGGCCTCCTCTACTACTTTAATCATCTCTGTTGCTCAATCATCTGGGTCACTGATCTCTGAACCCTGGCCAGGGTCCCCGGGGCCTGTGCCAAGGGCGGTGAATGCTTCCCTCCAACACACCCTCCGCCAGGTTTTCCTCATGCTGCTGCCAGGCCTCTGTCATAGCTGCGGCCCTAAGGCTGCCTTACCCAGCTGCCTGGCCTGGCCATGGGCTGTTGCATTTGAGTTTTTCAGGGGCAGGGTCATGTTGAATGGGAGCCTGTGATGCACTCCCAGGGAGCGAGGCTCCCCTGGCATCAAGCTCAGCTGAAACGTGAGAGGTGCGCTCTGGCCCTGGGCTGGAGTAGGCAACAAGTGCCTGGGCTGACCCCGTGACACCAGCCTCATCACCAGGATGCGCGGAGGATCCCTAAGGACTTATGATGACTGCTTCTCTGCCACTGGTCTCCTCATTCACTCAGCTCTGGCCAGCCCTCTGTGGCATATTTCCAAAGCTCAGCTCTGCCGAGGTCCCCTGCTGCTCACAGAGCTTTGTGGCTTCCTGTGGCCCACAAGGGGAAGTCGAGGCTCCTAACCTTGACCTTCAAGGCCTCTCTGGCTTTGTGTCCTGCTGCTGCCCCCTTGCCATGGTCCAGACACCTGAGGCCCCTCCTAAGGAAGCTTCTTTGTTACTCCCACTTCCATACTTTCATCCTCCCCGCTCCCTCTGCCTGGAATTCCCTCCCTATTTTCTTTCTATGTATTCAAGTCATTTGAGTGTTTCTTTTTCTTTTTCTTTTAAGCCAGGTCCTCCCTGTGGTGCCCAGGCTGCAGTGCAGTGGCACGACCATAGTTCACTGTAGCCTCGAGCTCCTGGGCTCAAGCAATCCTCTGGCCTCAGCCTCCTGAGTAGCTGGGACCACAGGTGTGCACCACCTCACCCAGCTAATTAAAAACATTTTTTTTTTTTTGTAGATACAGGGTCTCCCTATATTGCCCAGGCTGGTCTTGAACTGCTGGAGTCAAGTCATCCTCCCACCTTGGCCTCTTAAAGTGCTGGGATTATAGTCGTGAGTTGCCACCCCTGGCCTCTTTTGAGTCTTTCTATTTATTTTGCATATCTTTTGAGGCCACAAGAGTAGCACCTTTGTCCAGACTCTTCCTATGACCACCCACCTCCACCCCAGCTAGCCCCCATCTTGCCCCCCCATCAGGCCCCTTAGTTCTGTCCCCGTCCCACTCATTCCATAATCACCATTGCCAGCCCCACAAGCAGCCTCTGCCTCTTGTCAGGCCTTGGGCTGAGCCTGGTACCATCACTTCTCTGCTTAGTGCCCACAGCAACTCTGCGACGTGGGGACAATTGCTTCCCATTTTCTAGATGAAGAAAACTGAGGTTCAGAAACTGAAAGAGATTTGTTCAACATCATACTGCAGTGGTGACTCATGAATTCAATCAGCAAGTATTTATCATGTCCAAAGCCCAAGGTGAGGGGCCAAGCCAGGGCCAAGCTGTGGCTCCATCACAGCACCCCTCACTGACCAGTGGGGCACCCACAGCCTTGGGGTTCACCTGGTCTTCTCCCTCGCTGGACAGCTTTGCTCTGAGCCTTACTGTCAGCCTCTGCTGGGACAGAGCCGCTGGGGCGATGAGTCCCTCCACCCTCGTGTCTTGGCTTCTTCCACACACGCTCCTGGAAAAGGGATGGCCGTTGATTACTGGCCTGATGAGAACATAGCTCCTGGAATCCTGACGTCACAGCTGCAGGTGGCTGTCGAGGCACATGACAGACAAAAGCCCAGAGAGGGCAGGCTAGCAGCCAGAGACACCCAGCAAGGGTGGGAGTGGAACCCAGCGCTCTAGCCACCTGCCCCAGCCCTTTCCTTCTTGTGTCCTCCAACTTCCAAGCGGCCCCTTCTTGAGAGAAGCCTCCAACACCCTGCCTTGGCCAAGACAAAAAACCAGAGTATGTTTCCTCATTTATTATAAACACAAGTTCGCAGGTAAATAGAGGGTCTAAAAAATACATTAAAATAAATAATTGGGATTCTCAAAGTTCTTAGGGCAAATAAGTTATATACAGACAGGAAAAGCAGAGCAGGCCCTTCTCACTGGGAGGGTCCCGAGGGAATGAGGGTGCAAGAACTCTGGGGAGGGAAAGCTGGAGAGGACACAGCCAGCCAGGATGCCAGCCTCAGGGGAGCCATCCAGCCTCCAGGGCTGGCTGAGGCATGCGTGTTCGTGGCTGCACGGTTGCTCCTGGTTTGTAGCCCAGCAGACAGGACACTCCTCAGGACGCAGCCTCCAGATGAATGTACTCCCCATGCAGTTCTTCCAGCAGAGCTGTGGGCCAGCAGCCAGCACTGGAGGCTGCTCCGCAGTCTGGAGGCCGAGGGCTTCCCTGGGCAGTGCGAGGACACAGAACTGCCTTGGACGAGGCTCCCTCACCAGGGAGCTTGTGCCAATCCTGGCAAATGGGTCCAGCTGTCTGGGACCAAGGCCCCGGTCCAGGAAGCAGGCAGAGAGTCCACAAGCCCTGGCCACTTCTCTCCTCCTCTCTCCCCGCGGGCTTCCTTCCCAATGTTCCTCCAGCTCACGACACTATCTCTTCCTCCACCTGGAATGTGTGGACCGAGGCTCCCGCATGGCCTCCTGTTGTCGCTTGGCAAAGAGGCTCTTGACTGTGGAAATGTCCCTGGGAATCAAGAAGGGTCAACTTAGCATCTCAGGAGATATGGACTGTCCAAGAGCTCCCCATGAGAGCAGGGGCAATGGGGCTACAGCCCTTGCCCAGATCCTGGGGTCACAGCGGCCCTGGGGTCAGACAGTGACCACAGCCTGAAAACAAGGTCTGCACAACCAGCGCAGGCCAGCCCAGGCGTTGAAGCTTCTCTGCACATGGGGGCTTTGACAGAGCTAAGGTTCAACATCAAATGCTGCCAGAATGAGTGGACAGCCAAGCACAGCCCTGTGGGTCTCCCGTCATCTGCCTTCCCACTTCTTTCCACAGCTTTCCACACCTTTGCTCCTGCTCTTCCCTCCAGGCTGTGTGTATTCCCCTCACCCAGAAGCCACCTGCTACAATTCTACTCATTCTTCGAGGTCCAGTTCAAGGTAGTCCAGCCCAGAAAACAGGGCACCCCGCTGCCCTTTGAACCTGGCTGGGTGGCCACATCCTGGCTCAAAGAACTCTAAACTGGGAGCCAGGAGGCTGGCTTCAGTTCCTAGCTAAGGAAACTTGGGCAACAATCTCAGCCTCTCTGATCCCCTTTCTTAGCTTGTAAAACAAAAACAGGCCTGAACTGCTGAGAATGAGTACAAGGTTGGCCGAGCCAGCTCTGCACACTATGAAGTGTGCGCTTTTGAAAAGTCTTGTACTCATATTTTTCATTCTCAGAAAGTTCCTAAGTATATGTTGGGTCCCGTCCATCCCACCATCCTGCCTTTTCTCCTGTTTTTCTGCCGCCCCCAAAAGGTGAGAATCTCTGAAGGGCTGAGCTGGGCCCTGGGACCTGGCCAGCTGTGAGGAACCCTCAGTGACAGAAGTGGGAATGGCAAACCCCTCCACAGCTCCCACGGGCACAGACCCTGGTCTACACACTTCATGTGCGTCCACTCATCTGACCTCACAGCAACCCCAGGCGGGGATGGATGGCACAATTTCCCTGTTTCTCCTGTTCAAATCATAGGAACTAGAGGCACAGTGAAGTTGAGGGGCAAACCCAAGGTCACAAAGCTTGTACCAGGCTGGGCTGGGGTTCAGATCAAGCAGTCTGCCCCAGAGGCTGCCCCTACAGCCACTCTGCTGCCCGGCAGGTGCAAGTGTCTGTTCTTGAGTTGGTTTGGTTGAACAAGCATTCGTGGGCACCTCCTGGGGGCCAGGTCTGACTCACACTGAGGCACCAGGGAGGAGATGCAATCTGGGCAGCAGAGAGGGAGCAGGCTGGGCAGTTGGCCCCTCTGGACCCCAGCATGTGTGAGATGCTCCATTCAGCACAGCCTGAACGAACAACTGTGGTCCTTCCCAGTCATGAGCCTTCAAACCCTCTAAAAAGTCCACTTCCAGGCCTAGTGGTAACAAAGAGCACAGTGGGTAAGAGCACAGACTCTGGGGTCAGCCAGATGCCGCTGACTGCTGTGTGACTTTGGGCAAGTGGCTTTCCCTCTCTGAGCCTCAGTTCTCTTTGCTGCCCAATGAGGACCCAGGCCTGCCTCACATAGAAAATATGGGAAATGTGCAAGGCATACAGGAGGTGCTCAGTCTGTGCATGTGTCCCACGCCCTCACCTCAGCCTTTGGAGAAGCTCTCCTGTAGTGGCCCCTGTCTTGCCAGTCTGGAACACGTCTGCAGGGGACTTCCGGCTTGGGACTGCCCCGGCTTCAGTCCTACGTGAATAGCATTAGGGCCCAAGTGATGGACTGCCCAGGGCCCTGAAGCTACCTGGCTGCAGGCCCAGCCCAGCCCCCACCCCTTCCCCATCCCCACCTGCCTGCGGGAGCAGATCCATTTCCACCCCTGTGCACCTGGCATCTTTCCCTTTCCAGGTGGGGTGGGGACTGAGGAAAACTGAGCTACCAGGAATGTGTTCTTAGCCCCAGAAAGAGGCAGCTTTTTTGGCCTTCCCAGAATCTGGCCACCTGCAGCTGCAGGGGAAACTGAGGCAGGGGCGGGGCCTCAGCTTGAGACCCAGAGGAGGAGTTTCTCGTAAACCATCATGGGAACTGGAGCTTGGGATTTTTTTTTTTTTTGAGACTGAGTTTCACTCTTGTTGCCCAGGCGGGAGTGCAATGGCGCGATCTCGGCTCACTGCAGCATCTGCCTCCCAGGTTCAACCGATTCTCCTGCCTCAGCCTTCGGAGTAGTTGAGATTACAGGCGCCCGCCACCATGCCCAGCAATTTTTTTATATTTTTAGTAGAGACAGGGTTTCACCATGTTGTCCAGGTTGGTCTTGAACTCCTGACCTCAGGTGATCCACCCGCCTCGGACTCCCAAAGTGCTGGGATTACAGGTGTGAGCCACCGTGCGCGGCCGGAAGCTTGGGACTTTGAAGCCAGTTTGGTTTTCCCAAATTCTCCATGTGGGTGAGGGAAGGAACAAAGCCTCCCACCACTTTACAGATGGGAAAACTTAGGCTCAGGTAAGATAGGAGACATGGCAAAGGCTCCCCAGCAACTCTGGGGCCACCCTGGGATGGTGACATGGCTTCCCAACTCCAGATGCCATTTCTTCCCCGAGCAAGCTCCAAAGTCCCCCTGAACCTCAGGTCGGAATCCAAAGCCCAGTAGGACTCGATCAGACAGACTCAGGCCCAAGGCCTGGCCCTCCTTCTGACAAGCTATGCAGCCTGACGTGTCCTGCCCCCTCTCTGGGCCTGAGCTGCCTCAGCTGTCACTGGCAGACTCTCTCCTGCCCAGGAGTGAGGACATGAGTGTTCCCAGAAGCCCCCAGAGCTGGGCACCGGGAGGCCCCCATGGGTGACTGGTTCCTGCAAGAAGGGATGGTGCCATGGACCCAAAGCAGCCTGTGGGCCCCTGGGTCGCTTCTCACCCCCAACTTGCCAGTTCGCTCCTCTGCTAGTCTCCCAGACACCTGCTCCCCAGGGCATGCCCGGGCTTGCAGCTACCCTATGCCCCTGCAGGCTGGGTGCCCACCTACCAGGGCCTTCGAAGGCAGAAGGTGGCACAGGCGGGGTCCCTGGCACTGGAGCACTGACAGCGCCTTGGCAGGGAGCGGCGCCGGCGTCTTGGCGGGTTTCCCAGGCCGTAAGGAGCTGTCTGTCTGTGGGCGGGCAGCCAGCAAGGTAGTGGTGTGGGGTGGAGAGAAAGAGAGAGAGAGAAAAAAATAAAGAGAGAGAGGATTAAATAAACCACAACCATTGGCAAGCAGGGACTGTCCACACTGCCCACTGGGACAGCCACCCATGCCAGCAGGGTGCCAATGAAAGGTGACCAGCCCTTGACCTCAAGAAGTCACACCACTGAAGTCACAGGCTACTCCACAAGGGTCCTGGTAGCCCTTGGCAAGACCCTCCCCTTCTCTGGGCCTGGCTTGGCTCACTGAGAGCTCCCAGCATGGGGGCAAGGAAATCTGTGATCCTACCTGAAGTTGGGAATTGGGAACCTCCTAGTCTCTCTCCCCTCTCAGACAGGCTGGTCCCCCTGTTCTCAAAGAAGGCTCTCAGCTAGCTCTGGAGGAAGGGCGGCCACTCCATCTCACAGAAGTAAACACAGGCTCATAGCTAAGCTGCCCCCATCTGGTCCCCACTTGCCTGGAGGGGTAACACATGTGCCTTAGAGGCTTGACTTGAAAGTGGGGTGTGTGTGTGTGTGTGTGTTCAGATGGGATTAATTTCAGATTCAGAGTCTGATCAAGCGGGCCAGGGGAATGGCAGGGGCCCTGTGGCTGGCTAGACCAGCACTTTCGAGTGACAGAGCTAATTTTAGATGGTGTGGTTGGAGTCGCAGTGACTCCAGGTAGACTCAGCACGCAGGGACTGGCAGGGTTCCCGCCCTAAGCAAGTGTTTGGATGCGGATTAGCTTCACACACGCTTACGTGCAGGGCTTCTCTTGCCTTTTGCAATTTGGGGAGGGGAAAAAATCACAAACACACACAGAAACTTCAACTGAAGGTATGCAGTGGCCTGGAGGCAGTGCGGGTGCAGGCGGAACAGACAGCACGGGGCTCCCACCCGGGTGTAGCCAGTAGCACAGGGCAGGTTCTCATCTGTCGTTTGAGGGACTATCCTGCCTTATGGGGAGGATGGGGGGGCTCCTGAGATGATCATGCACGTGCAGTGCTTGGCAAAGAGCCTGGCATAGTCAAAGCACGGGTGCTGTCACTAATCGTATTATTATTGGAAGAGCATGCAGAGGCAGCATGACAGAGACTGTGAGCTCCGGCATTCCCCAACCGAGGATGGTGCCTACCCTTACAATTACCTGTGTGATCTTGGGGGAGGCGCTTAAGCTCTCTGAGCCTCAGCACTTGAATCTGGAAAACGGGGCCAACACTTGCTTACCAGGCTGTCTTAAGAATTCTCAGAAGACAGCCCTCTCTATGGCTCAGGTGGTCCCCACTCAGGAATTGAAACAATTAACTATTGATATTAGCCAGTGCCTCCATCTGGAGGCCCAGGGAGAGATGGAATGTGTCAACGTTCCCTAGCATGCCAGTAGCTTCCACCCTGACACCCTGCCCCAGAGCTCCCCCTGCCCCCAATCCCCATGGATGCTCACTCAGGAGTGTTCACCCAGATGATGTCCAAGTGGCAGAAGTAGACGCACTCCTTGTCGAGCCAGGAGCTGCAGGAGCAACGGCGAAGCCGAAGGTGGGTGCCTTGGGCATGAGATGAGGACGCTGGCTGCTCCAGGGTGGCAGCAGCCTGGCCCTTCCCTGCATGCACAGGAGGGAGAGAGAGGTGGAGAGGTGGGTTGGGGTGCCTGGCACATCCCAGAGTGGGGGACCCACCATGCCCCTCCTCTTGCATAATCGAGGGAGTTGGCACTCTTGCTGCTCAAGAGCTCCAGGCCAGCCCAGGGAAGTCCCAGCAGCCCGTGGGGAGCCTGGGCACCTCTGTATTTGCAGAACCTTTCCCCTGCCACCACTGCCGCCAGGCTCCCGCCCCTGTCTGCCCCCAGCTGGCTTGGGAGGCACTGCAGCCCTAGAGGGAGACAGAGATAGGCAGACCCAGGAGCTGTAGGCAGCAGGTGAGGCCAGGGCAGCTCACCTTCATGCAGGGCCACGAGCAGGGCTAGCGCAACGGAGCACCAGGTGGTAGGCACGGAGACCATAGCGGCGGTGGAGCGCGCAGGCTGGACTGGAGCAGGGAGTGCCTGTTGCCAGCGTCCTGCTATTAAGCTGAGCAGATAGCTCATTGCCTCGGTGCCCTGGCTGCCTCTTATACCAGGCACGGTGCCCCACCCCTTCTGGTCCAGCCCTGCCCCGCTGCACCGGCGGGCTGGGAGCCAGGGACACCGCCTCCTCCCCGGGCGCCTGGCCCGACCCAGCCTCTGCAGTGAAGGGGGGAGGGAGATGGAAGGCCCATTCCTCCCTCTGTGCCTGGAGCACCTCTGGGAGTCCTGAGGCTCCCTGGCAGTCCCCAGGGGCCCCTCGCAGTCCAGCTGGACTTCCTCAAGTCACCCCCAGCTGCCCCGAGCCCCCTCCCTCACTCTGTTGGCGGCTGCTCCACAGGTCTCGCCCAGGGCTGTGAGTGTGGAGGAGGAGGTTCCATGAGCAAAACCCCTCTCCTCGGAGAAGACTCTGCCATCTATCCTGCCTGCCCTCTGCCAACCAGGCTGAGGATGCCCCTCTGTTGTGTGGGATGTGAAAGGCCCACGCAAGGCTGTGTGGCCTTGGGCGAGTCAGAGCCCTCTCTGGGCCTGCCTCCCTCTGTGAAGGACACAGCTCATGCCTGACTTCTGACCAGCCTGGAACTGCTTCATCCCCACCTCACCCAGGAAATGCCCCCCTCAACCCCTGCCCTGTCACCCCAGGGCCTGGGGCAGGAGTTCTAGTCCCTTCCAGAAGCTGTTCAGCTATGCAGCCATGGCCAAGGGCATCCTTCCTGGGCCTGTTTCCTTGTTTGCAAACAAGGCCAAAACAAGAAGGTACTTCACCTGCTTGGCTTACAGGCTCCTTTGAGACTAAGAAGGTGGCTTCAGACCCCTTTCCAGAAAGATGTCCCTGAGGACACACACACAAAGCGCCCCTTGAACAGTCTCCTGTCCTGGCCATGACAGGATGTCTTGGCTTCCACCGGGGGCTACTGTCTGCAAAAGAAGTAAGCCAGGGGACTTCTCTGGGGACTGGCATTCTGCTCCTGCCCCTCTGCTGGCCCAGAAGCCTTGCCGGGGAGGGGAAAGCAGGGATGAACCACAGCTGTGCTGAGCAGCTCAGGGAACCGGCAGGCACCCTCTGTTCCTGCCCTGGCTGAGAGTCCACTTCCTGCTGGAGTCTTCTCAGGGACCCTGTCTCCAGGCACAACAGGAAAGGCCCTCTCGTTTCTTGGAATTCCCAGGGCCTGTGCCTCTCGTGCCTGCCTGACTCATCCCATTGCACTTATCTCCCCTGCAATCTCAAGGTCCAGAGCCCCAGAGGAGGCAGGGCCTGACACCTACCCTGCACACAGTAGGGGCCTTGCGAGTGCTTCCTGAGGGCAGGGGGGTCAAGAGATGCACACCTGGCTTTCCACTTACAGAACCCAGGATGCCCAATGCTCAGTTCCTGTATTCAGCAGCTCCTTTGTCCTTGGACATTTATGAAGGGGACAGTAGGTGACCACCAGGAACAGGCAAGTTTGCATCTTCCTAGGGTGTGCCCAGAGCAAGCGTGCATGTGTGAAATCCTGGAGAAACTGGCAGAACTGATGGAGGGTGAGAGCAGGATCTTCCTTCCTGGAGACTGAGCTGGCTCCTGTGAAAAAAACAAACAAATGTTTCCTGAGCACCTACTACGTGCTTGGAGCACTATCGACTCTTCCTCACCACAACCCCAGGAGGCAGCTATTATCACAGGGGAGTCAGCTCAGGACTGCCCACGAGGCTCAGAGAGGAGCAGGGCCTGGTCAAGGCCACCCAGCGGGCAGGTGGCTTGGTCTATCAAGCAAAGCACAAGGGACTCCCCGTGAGGTGCTCTCTGCCCTCCCACGTCGTGCCTCTCGAAGAATTTAGAAGAGTATTTCTGGAATGAGGTGAGCAATACTCACAGTCATTTCTATCAGCCTCTGCAAGAATATGAATACGGAATTAAGCAGGGCTGGGGGCTGCTTGGGGGTGGATAGAGAATTCAAATCGCTGGACCGTGAAGAGAAGAAAGAAGGAAAAGCAGGTCAGCGGGGAGACGGAGGGGGTCACGGTGGGGAGGAAAACAAACAGGGAGGCAGATAAAGACAGGCAGGGAGAGAGGGGGAGAATGAGGAAGCAGTGCGTAGCCAGAAAGAAAGAACTCAGATTTGAGAAAGTAAAAGAGGGAAACCATAGGGAGAAGAGGGAAGGTTATAAAGCGTCTAATCTTTACACAAATGCAAAACGCCTGCTCAAGACAATAGGGAACCAGAGGCTCCGAGCCGGGGAAACATAATAGAAGCATTAAATGAACCCAGAGACAGGATCCCTCCCGGGTGTGAAAGAAGGGTGACTACAAGGCAGGGGCTGCTGCCCGAGCCCCGCAGGGTCAGCACAGCCAGCTGCGAGCTGGGCCGGGCTCCGGTTTCTCTCCTTCTCTGCCCTCTGCCTGAGCTGAACAAGCAGGGCTCCTGTGAAATGGAGAGGACTGGCCCAGGAACCTAAGCGAGCACAGATCTTAGGGGATGAAGCCATTCCCGGAACAGCGCTGCTCCACTGACAAGAGTTAGTTTCCAGGTAGGGAAAATTAAGCTGAGTTAAAAATAGCCCCATCTCCCTGGGTCGCTTAGCCTGGGCCTCTGTCCGTTGCCTCTGCCCCTCGTGGCTGGTCGGACTGCATGACCCTGCCACCTATAACTGTCCTGGCCTCACTGTCCCTGTCCTTTCTAGGTGGCCTGGCTTCACGACCCCCTGGCCCCACTTCTCTGGCCCTGGCACCTGCCCGAGTTTGTTGAGGCTGCAGGGGGAAGGGCAGGGAGCCACCGAAGGTCACCCTCTCAGAATTTGAAGAGAATTGCTTTACTCGCTAAGCGATTTGTTTCCCTTATGCTTGCAGCAGCCCAATCCAAGAAAGAGGGATGTATGGGGAGGGAGGGCTGGCAGAAGAGAGCAGTTGAGTGTATTTCTGAGTCAGACACTGGGCTAGAAACTTCCCCCTAGAAATCCCCGTCTCCACTCCCATTTGGTAGATGAGATAACTGAGGTGCAAGAGGAGGAGCAACTGGCTCAAGACACTGATGGGGCTGGGTGTGTTCTCTTGGTTCCTAACCTGCCTCACCCTTTCCTGTACACCCGTGAAGCTCTCCCAGGGGTCCAAACTGAGCCCAGGATCCTGGGTCCCTTGGAGAAAGGCCGTCAGGAAGGACCCCACTGGCAGGAAGGCTGGGGCATTGGGATGAGGTTAGGCTGTCTCTCTGTGCACCCCAAAGCTCCCTCTATAGTCCCAGCTCTAAGAGCAAATATGGTCCCGTCAAGCAGCTGTCCAGCAGCTGTGGACACTGAGCTGAATGGAGGTTGCATGGGAGTGAAGACTAAGTCTCCTAGTGATGCCTGACACAACAGGGCTGGGCTGCAGCAGGTGCCTGGGATTGCAATCGAGGCCCTGGACCAGGAAGCTTTGTCCCAGCTCTGCTTTTCATGACATGTGGCCTAGGGCTCCTCTCCCTGGCCTCAGGTGTCCCGCCTTCCCATTGATGGCGAGAGATGCTTTCACCTCTGACTGCCTGTGACATTCAGGATCAAGCTGACCTGAGTTTAGAGCTCCCCAGAAGGAGGCCCAGGAGACTCCAGCAGCATGGCTCTTGCAGCTTGAGCCCTTCTGCTCCTTCACCTGTGCAAAACCAGTCATTTCCCCATCGACACCTGGCCCCACCGGGTTTTGGGAAGTTCTGTTTGCAGCCCCAGTAGAAGGGACACAGTGTCTTTGCTGCAGGCACACACTGTGCAGACGGCCTAGCAGAGCGAGCAGCTGGGAAGAGGGGCTGGCCGGGGGAGATGACAGGAGCTTGCAGGGGCTGGGGGTTGGGGAGGGTTTGGCCCTGGAGCCGCCTGGGCTGGGGCTTAGGGACTCAGGAGACTCAAACATTCCCATCACCACTTGTCCCAAATGCTGTGGGTCGGGCTGCCCCCACTCAGGCCTGGGGCCACTCAGCCTCAGGGCCTCTTTCTGGTGGGTGGTCTGGGCTTCCTGCCATCAGCCATAGCTCACCCTGAGCCAGTAGGACCAGCCACTACCCACACCACTGTCCTCAAACTGGGTCTTTGCAAGGGCAGCCTCAGCCTGCGGGGCCGGCTCCCCTGGTCTCCATGGCTTCCCTTGGAGGACACCCTTGGTCCTCTTCCCTCTGTCTCAGCCCATTTGGAAAGATTTATATCTCCCACATAAACTGTACTTTCAAAAGAATAATTCATGTGCTCTCTTTGTTATCAGTCTAAGGGTAATCAGAGCAGGGTCAGCCAGGCCTATGAAACTGCTGGAATTTCAGCCAAAAGCAAACATGGTTCAGTCAAGACACTCTTGTTAAGAGGCCATGTAAGTCCTCCTGGACTTTTTGAAATGAGGAAACTAACTCAGGACTCAGCATCTAGGATGGAAATCTCTGGACTCCAAGGCTTTGAGTTACCTCTAATGGGCTAAGGGCCAGATTCCCCACTTAGCCTTTTAGGAATAGAGGATAAATAAGCATTTATTGAGCATTGAATATATTCTGAGCCCTGTGCTAAGTGATTTAGGTATATTAGCTTCGTGAACTGTCACAACATACCTGTGGGGTAGTTACTATAATGAGTCCCTGTTTTATAAATGAAGAAACGAGGCTCAGAGAGGGTGACTTGCCCCATGTCAGACAGCTAGGAAGTGGCAGAGCCAAGGTTAGAAAGCAAGTCAGTGTAGCTCCAAAGCCCGGCCCTGAGCCTACGTGTCCCCAGTGTGCTTTCCTGACACCCAGCCCTTGGGGAGCCCTCCCGCCTCACAGCAACTCTTCTCCAGGGCACACTTCCCTGCTCTCAGCAGGCAGAGAGCCCTAGGCAAGAACTTTTCCCCTTATGCTTGTCTGCTATGGGACCAACAATCTATACCATGCCTATCCAATGATCCTCCCATCTATTCACCTACCTACCCATCTATCCATCAATCCACCCATCCACCCGTCCATCCACCTTTCCTCCCAACCACCTTCTTTCTATCCATTGATCCATCCATCCATCCATTCATCCATCCATCCGTCTACCCACCCATCCATCCACCTTTCCTCCCATCCACCTTCTTTCTATCCATTGATCCATTGAGCCATCCATCCATCCATCCATCCATCCATCCGTCTACCCATCCATCCATCCATCCACCTTTCCTCCAACCCACCTTCTTTCTATCCATCGATCCATCCATCCATCCATCCATCCATCCATCCATCCATCCGTCCATCTACCCACCCATCCATCCACCTTTCCTCCCATCCACCTTCTTTCTATCCATTGATCCATCAATCCATCCATCCATCCATTCATCCATCCATCTGTCCACCTACCCACCCATCCATCCACCTTTCCTCCCATCTGCCTTCTTTCTCTCCATTGATCCATTCATCATCAAACCTTTTATTCATCCTTCCGTTCACACATCTACTCAACCAGCCTCCCATGCACCCATCCTCCTTCATGAGAAACAAGATTGGACAGATTAGGAGGGTCGAAGCTTGAAGAGCTTTGAATGGTATATTACGCTGTCCTGGAAACATTATTTGGTTGCTTCCTAGAGCTGGGTGTGTCTCCCCATTGATATGATGAGCTAACTGAAACATGGTCTTCTCTGGAATTCCCGCCTCAGAGCCTAGCATGGGCCTGGACCCATGATCTGTGCCAAACACTGGGGTGAAATGAAATGCAACTAGATGGCTTCATCTCACCAGACAAAGCTTTGCATAGACACCCCTTCTAAGGAGGTCTAGGCCCCTTTTCCCATCTGATGCCGTTCTTCAAAATGCTCTAATGATGAAGACTTGAGATCATATTTAAGGAAAAAGTCAGAGATGAAAGGGCCCTTGGTCTACACCCAGATGATGAAGCTGGGGTCTAGGGAGGATGCTGCCAGAGGTCTCCCTGCCAGGCCTGGGTCCTGGAGACCCAGGATGTCTGCATGCTTTTCTCTCTGAGGCCTAGGCCCCTGTGCTCAGAGGGGCTGGAACCCCAACCTTCTCCTCTATCCCACCATCACCACCAGCCAAGACACGTAGCTGGTATTTTTTCAGAGTCACACCCACTGTGTTGCTTAGAACCGATGTTTTCCAAGGCGCACCCAGGGCCCCACCAGGAGACCGCCTTTCCCCTCTGGGAAAGGGTGAGCCACCAGGAGGCTGGGCCACGCAGGAGTACGGTACTTCATGCTAGAATGAAATGTCAGCTAAAAATAAGTGCTTGGTGCCTCTATCATCAGGATAACTTGGTGCCCAGGAGGCAGGCAAAGCCAGGGTTCCCACTGTGATTTTAGGCCAGCATTCCTAAGCAGAGGTGTGCCTGGGGCACCTCCTTGCCTGAAGGCCTTGGCCTTCCTGCGCAGCTACTGGGAATCCTGAGCCATGAATGACCTAGATGGGCACAGCTGGGCCCTGGTGGACAGAAAGGTGGTCAGGAGCTGAAGCCACTGTCCACAGGGAGCTCAGGGTGTGGGGGTGAGTCAGAGGCCAGCCCACCCTTGGCACCTCTGAGGGTTGGCAGATCCAGGTTCCAGCTTCAAAGCTCTGTGACTCAGGCTTGAATCCCTCCTCACCCACTGTCCCATTATGGACAAGTGCCTAAGACTGTGCCAGGCCAGGGGGTAGTCTGGGCTGGGGTTTTCCAGTCTGGGGGCTGGTTCTGTGGGTCACTAACCGTGTAACTAAGGGCACACCATGGTTTAGTCTTCCTGAGTGTCAGAGGCCACATTTGTCAAGAGCATCGAAGAAGAAAAATCCCACCTGGCAGCTGCTGGGAGTGCTTCATGGTGGAGCCAGTGTGAGAGCTGGCCTCTGCCTGGCTCAGGAAGGCACTGCCCACCCACTTCTGCTTCCCTTCCCCACTCACCTTGGGATGCAGGGTGCTGTGGGCCTTGTAGTGTGGACAAAGTCCTGGAAAGAAGTGGTGTGTGTGTGTGTGTGTGTGTGTGTGTGTGTGTAGGGTGTTATTAGAATGTGCCATCTTCATGCCAGGGACCAGATCCCCACGACAGGTCCCTCCTCTGCTCTGGGTCACCAAATCCCTCCAAGGCAAGTGGCCACCCTGGCTTCCGCTGCCCACTCATGTTTGCTTTGGCACACCATTCAGCGCCACACCAGACGAGAAGTGTGCGGAGATTTGGGAGGTTTCTAGGCAAAGCTGCCTTCCTGCAAGAACCAGGCTTCAGCTTGAAATCTGTGGTCTGATCCCAGCTTGGCACCAGGGTGAAATGTCTCACCAACTCGAAATGCCCACCCTGGCATTGGACCTGCCTGGGTTCTGACCCTCAGCTGTCTTTCCTGCCTCATCCCACTAAGGCTGATCTGGGTGTCCAAGACTTTAGTCCACCAGACCCCAGGGTGGGCCACACTCTGAATGCATAGCGGACTTCCTCACCTTATGCCTCTGGGCAAGCTGGGGCCTCCCATCCTCTTTCCATTCCTACTTACTTGGTTTACTCTGACCATTCTTCCAGGCCCGTCTCAAATGTTACCTCTCCCAGGAAGCATTCCTAACTCTGTCCAAGCATCTTCAGTGGACAGATGAGCTCTGAGACTCCTAGAGGGCCTTCTTGAGACTGGGAAGTGAGGGTGTCCTGGCTCCAGGCAGGCAGCTCCCAGGCTGGGAAGAGGGGGACATGGAGTTGCAGGCTTGGGCTTGGCTTCTGGCTGGGTGGCTGCTGGCAAGCCCCTTCTCCTGTCTGAGCATCAGCTCTGTCCTCCATGAAGTGACGTGGCCCTGGTGGTGACTTGGGGACTAAAGCGTGAAGTCAGCAGCAGCCCAGACAGACTTCTTAGAGCCTTTGCACCTACCTGGGTAAGTTTAGTGCTCGGCCTGCAGAGGGCGCTCCAGAGGGACAGAACCCCAGAAGCCCTTCCCTGATGCTACTCCATCAGCAACAGGAGAGGCCGGCCATCTACTCGCCACCTCCCCATCGTGCACTGAAACCAACCTGGCCTACTGTGTGCTATCATAAGAATCTATGTGAATCATAAGAATTCATCATAGCTACTGTTTACTGAACTTTCCAGTGTGCCAACACTTACAAAACCCACTATATAATACATATCATCACAATTAATCATCCCAGTGGGAAGGCACTTAGTATTATTCCCATTTTATAGATGAGGAGCCTGAGGAAGTGAGGAGACTCAGGAGGTGAAGTGGCTTGCTCAAGGTCATTTGAGTCTAGATCTCCCTGCTACATGGCCTGCATTCTTATCCACTATCCCAGCACATATGATCCCAGGTAGAATTTTCATAGGATGCAGCTTATTATTACCTTTAGTTTTCAGATGGGTAAACTGAGGTATCTTGTCCATCTAGCAAGAAAGGAGCTGGGATCTGAACCTAGGTCAGCCTGAGTTCTTGGCCTCAGCACGAAACCTCAATTTGGATTTTCTTGTCAGAACCAAAGAGTCCCCCAGAACAGGTCCTGGGGATCGACCTCAGGGCCTGAGTCTAGGGGCAGCAGGAGAAGTTCCTCCATCCCTCAGCCTGGTCCCAGCCTCTAGGAGCACGATCTCTGGGAGCTTGCCAGGAGGAGCCGGCCGTTAACGCAGTGTGCTGGGTGGTGAGGTGAGCAATGACTCAGGGTGGGAGGCCCTGAGCGGGGAAGGCACACAGTGGAGACAGTACTTGCCTGGTCACACCAATCCTGGGGTCCCCTAGGAGGAGGAGGTTTGGGTGAGGCAGGGCTGAGTCATGGCAGTGAGGTCAGACAGGGAGCTGGGGTGGCCCAATGATCTCACACCTTCATCTGGGCCTGTCAAGGGGCTGTGGGCCCAGGTGGGCCTGGTGGGCCCAACCTGGCAGAACAGGCACACCCCCTCCTTGGTTGTCCATAGCCAGGGGGTATCTGTGAGACCAGAGGGTCTCCCTTTAGGCTTTCTAAGGCCTCTGTTGCTGGAGCCCCTAAACCCTGCCAGATTGGGGAGGCAGCTGGTATAGGAGGCAGAGTGGGGAAAAAGGGACAGAATCTCACTCTGCCCCTTAGGATGTGTGCCCTGGGCAGCAATCACAGCTCCTTGAGCTTTGGCTTCCACTCTGTCCCATGGGTTCATGTGAGCATCTCAGAAGCTGATGGTCTTGTCCAAGCCCTGGCACATAGCTGAAGCTTGGGAGAGGCAGGTGGAAGAGGGGATGGCCATCACCAGCCAGGAGCCCACCAGAGAATGGGGGGCTGTAGCAGACTGACCTCGACCACCCTGGCCCAGTGCCACACCCCAGTGTCCTGGCCACTGCCTGTGTGGCCTTGGGTGAGAGCCTTCCAATCACCGGGCCTCAGTTTCCCAATGTATCAAATAAAAATAATAGCCTCAGACTCTCAATAGGAGATAGGGGATGATGTCGCAGGGTTCCTGAGAGTTCCCACCAACCCTGTGTACCAGATATGGTGGGGGTGGGGCGGGGGCGAAGAGAGCCAGAGCCAGAGCCATTCCTCTGGGGCCCAGATGCAGTGGGTGAGCCCCGGCCATGCCACTTGGAAGTTAAGCCTGGGAGCCTTGGGAGTCAACCGCTTGCCCCCCACCCGGCACTCCCCAAGGCTGATCCAGAGAGGCTGAGGGTGTCCAAGGTCACACAACAGCCAGCTGATGTCCACCACCTAAGGGGAGGGGGCCTTTATCTCCCCAGATAAGAGGGCCTGAGTGGGCTGGGAAGGCCTCGTGGCCTCAGATATGGGTGGAACCTGGGGGTGGGGAGTGGAGGGCCAGAGCCTGGCTGACCCATAACCATAAGGCAACCGCTTCTCCTGGTACCTCCTCGGCCTGCGTCAGCGAGGGGCTGTGGATGCTTCTGAGTTCATTGCCTGCCACCCAGCCTTGGAACCCAGGCCTCAGGCACAAGGGAGGTCTGTAATAATGACCCGGTGAGAATGACAGCTGTGTGGGGAGCTGTGCCCACGTGCCAAGCACTCTTCTTGCCTTCATTCATCTGGTCCTCCAAACAGCCCTAGGAAGAGGGCAGGGCCTGGGAGTGAGCTTCAGAGAGGCTGCATAAGCCGCCCAAGGTCACACAGCCAGGGGTAAAGAAGAAGGGTCTTCAGCTCCACGGCTATGCTTTCTGCCATCATGCAGCAAACATGCCAAGCCCACTCTGTGTCAGGCCCAGGGCTGGGGCTGTGGATCTCTGGCCCAGCTGGGATTTGGGGAAAGGTACCCCAAAGGCATCACTATTTGCCTGGGAGAGGGAGCTGGGAGTGTGTAGGGCCTTTCCGTGCTTGGCTCTTTGTTGGCCAAAAGGGAGGGACAAATATGGACCTGCAGAACCCCGGAGGAATGAGGGATGCCTCTGCCTGGAGACTCGGGAGGGCATTCTAGCCAAAGAGACTTTGAGCGAGGCTGTGGAGGTGGAGCGCGCATTCCTGGTAGAGGGATGGCCCAGGCAAAGGCCGGTAGGCCTGAAAGGGCATGAAGTACCCCAGGATAGGGAGTGAACAGCCTGAGGGATTCCGTGGTAAGAGAGGAGGTTGAGGCCAGACCACAAGGATCTTGAATACCAAGCGGAGGACCTGACCTTTTCCTGAGTTCAAAGTGGAGTCAGAGGAAAAGGTGAGGGTGGGGGCAGTGGCCTTGCATCTGTTCTGTTGAGGCCTAGGCCAGGTGGTCTCCAGCCAGTGGGCGTGGGGTGGGTTCCTTTGGACTCTCAGAAGGGCCCCAGGTGGGTGACGCCACAGCCCAGTCTGTCTTGGCATCTGAGAACAAGGCCATCTGCTGGCTGCCTCATTCCTGCAAACTCAGGGTCAGAGGACCTCTGATGAGCCCAGCACCCCACAGCTCCAAAGAACTCCACGGTCTCTGAAACCAGGCTGCAAGGGCGAAAGGGGAAAGGCTGGCAGAGACATCCTGGGCAGGGCCCCTCCCACTACCTCATTTTCCAGCTCTGACAAGTGCTTACCCTGTGGGGGACAGGCAGCTCACAGCTCGGAAGTCGCCTGGCTGCCCTAAGGAGGCCCATCCCAGTATGGCCCTGCCCGGCGGGGCTTAGCTCGCCCTTCTCTATACTTTGGTGTTGCCCGTATCACCGGAGGGTGCTGGGGACGCAGGTTTGTTAAACCCTTTCCCTCTTCCTTCCACCAGACAGTAATACTTGGATCCTCACTTGTGATTTTCCCAACAACCCCTGGGGGGCCCCCTTCTGCCGGCACCTACTTGATGGGTAAGAGAATGGAGGCTTAGAAAGGGACGCATCCCGGAGCCCCACGGACCAGTCTCAACCACCAAAGGGCAGGGAGCCTGGAACCCTGCGGGCCACAGGCTGCGCAGCTCACTTGAGGGGACACATGTAGATTCTGAAACCTTACAGCCCGGGTTCAAATCCTTGCTCTGCAGCTGACTAGCACCTCACCTCAAGCAAGTCAGTGTCCATGTCTCATTCCCTGCCTGGAACCGCCTTGTGCCTCAGTTTCCACATCTAAAATGGTGATGCTAATAGCACCTTCCTCGGGGTAGGTGTGCGACTTAGGTGAGATAACTCATACCAAGTCCTTACAGCCGTGCCTGGCAAATGCCCCCTCGGCAGATGGAGAAAATGAGGCTGAAAGAGAAGAGGGGCCCCCCGGCAGGGATTCGCCCCCCGCCACGGGCCCCACGGCCGGGCGGTTCCTGCAGCTGCCTCTCCCTCTCCGACGTGTTTGGGAAATCCTCGGGCTGGGGGCCCGAGCGCGAGCAGCCGCGGCGGACCTGCAGGCGGCGGCGCTCGGCCCGCCCTCGCCTCCCGACCAATTTTGGGCAAAGCAGGGGCGGCGGCGCGCTACGTGCCGGCCATGAGTCAGCGCGCAGGAATGCGCAGGACGCTTTGTTCCCTGCGCGGCGGACGAACGTGCTGGGACCGGGGCGCGGCGGGGCCTGACACGACCGCACGGGCAGTACGGCCACGTGCGCCCCCAACCCCACCTCCGAACCGCAGGGCCACCCGCGCCTCGCCTTCCCCTGGGGCCCGGACCCCTGCGGGGGCCCTGAAAGCCCAGCCCGGACTCCAGCAGTCCCCGGGGAGCTCCGGCACCCTCCCTAAGCCTCGGGCCGGGGGGGTCTGGTCTGAGTGGTCCTGGCCGCCCAAGCCCCTGGGTGGCTCGCAAAGAATCAGCAACTGCGGGGAGGGCTGCCCAGGAGGAGGGGGGGAGCTGCCCCAGAAAGACTGGTGGGAGGCACGGAGACCTCGAGCGGCCACAGCAAGACCTGACGCTGCCCTGGGGAGGCCGTGTGGGGCCCGTCACCCCTTCTCCACATGGAGGCTGGTGTGGGAAGGAAGCGGGGGCTGGGTCCCCCAAGTCCTGCCTCCAGCTTGCGGGGTGTTTCCCTGAAGCCACTCCCCTCTCTGGGCCTGGGCCTGTCCAGTGGGAAATGGGATGACCCTGGCAGTCTTGCTCTTCCCCAGAGTCCTGGGCTGTGTAACGAGGTCTCCAGCCCAAAAGTGCTTTGGAAAGGAGTGTAACCACCTTGAGAAGTCTTGGCAAACTCCAGATGGCCACGCAGAGGGCCTTTTGCGGGTGCCAGGCTATGTCTGGATCTGACCGGTAACGCTGAGTGCTGGGCATTGCTGCTGTGGAAATGCAGGTGCAGAGGGGGTGACGTCATCTGCCCCCAGCCACGGGAGGACTGGCAGGGCAGTTAGAGCCCCAGGGCAGTTTGACTGGGCACCCCTTCTCCTGGATGGGTGAAGACCCTTCTCCTGGGGAATGGCGGGGTGGCTCCCACAGCTGCTGGACGCTGCCGACCGTCAGCCCTGGCAGAGGGAGTGGGGAGTCTTGAGGCTCCACTGCGGGCTGCTCTGAGAGGGTGCGGAAGCTGCTGGAGTCGGGGTCCCTCCTGCCCTGTGTGGCCTTGGGCACCACTTGCCTTTTGGGTACTCCTGTGACTGCTCTATCTTCACAGGAGGAATTCCATTTTAGCTTCCCCATCCCTGGTGGGGGGCAGCGACTAAATGGCCAAGTCTGAGCTTAGGACGGGAGGTTCCTCGGAATGGGATTTTTTTTTTTTTTTTTTTTTTTTTTTAGAGACTGGGTCTCGCTCTGTCACCCAGGCTGCTGAAGTGCAGTGGTGCTATCATGAATCACGCAGCCTCTAACTCTTGGGCTCAAGCGATTGGATGGAATTTTTTAATGCTGTCTTCCTTCCCCCTCATCTGCAAGATCCCTAACACCAGGGCATAGCAGCCCACAGTTCTGCCCAGCAAACAGGGCTGGAGCATGGGGGTCCCAGCTGGCCTGGGGGCCCTTTGCAGGAAGCCACCTTTGTCACCCTTGGCCTCAGGGACTCCGCAATTGAGCAGGTCCTCACTGGGGTCCTTGCCAGCCCCTGGGACTCAGTGTATTCTGGAACTCTCTGGCTTCTGTCCCTCTTAGGCCACATGTTCTATATGGGGGACATGGATGTCCTCTAAAGAGGATGACCTGTCTTTACACCAGGTCCTATCTTTCATGGCCTTGTTCATACCTTCATGTCTGTCCTCTCTTGGTACCCTGACCTGGTCTCCACCCAGCCTCAGCTGGCCCCCTGTGACTGGCACTGGTAGAAGAGGCTGAAGCCCCCCCGCCCCTCCCTCCCCGTAACCATTGGCTCTGCCTGACTCCTCCCTGTGTGGTGGTCTTACCCATAGATAGCATGGCTGCACCTTGGGCAAGGTTGATGCTGTAGGGGATGGGGAGGCTGCTCTCCTGTCTGGGGCCAGAGGTCCCTGCATTTGGGAGAGTGTCTTTCATTCTGCCAGCAATACCGAGGCCTCATTTGCAAACCTCTCTGCCAGGGTGTGAAATGTGCATGGAGGCAGAGACCACACAGCACAGTGGTTAGCTGCTGGGCTCTGAAGTCAGCCAGCTCTGGGACAACACTTCTCTGCACCTCAGATTCTGCATCCATAATTGGGGGGCCAGCTCCCCTTTGTGAGCATCCAGGGAGTCAGTAGATGCAAACATCTTAGAACACAGTGATGAGTCAGCGTGAGTCCCCGCAAGCCTGCACCTGGAGTGTTATAGTGACTTCCACATCATCTTTACCATCTCTCTTGACTGGAGTCAGTGACACCAGTCCTCCTCCTGTAAATCTCTGTGGTCATAGATTCTTCTGATTTCCCAGCAAGGAAGACTGCTCGGTGTGGCCCCTAACATCTCGCACTGTAGCCTAGAGAGCGGCAGAGCCCTGCCACATAGCATGGCTGGGGAGGTAGAACCTGGCCTCTGCCCCCGGTACAGAATGGTCTCTGAGCCCTTTTGACCTCCAAGTCTCAGAGACTCTGAGGACACAGGGTGACAGGAGAGACTGGAGCAAGCAAGTATCTGCACGTGCCCCACCCCCTGCAACTACACAATTCCTGGCACTCACGGGCCCCGCCTTGGCCTGGCACGCCTGCTTGGGTTTCTGCCCGTGTGGTTTCCCCTTGGCCTTTCTATCACGTCCGCTGGCAGAGCATCCCCAGCTGTCTGCATTCCTGTGCCATGAGGACGGCCACCTTGGGGCCAGGCCTGGCTAGGACGCCCCCTGAGAGTGGAAGCGTGTGTGCTGGCCAGGATGTGCAGGGACATAGCTTCAGGCACCTGCTTCTCCATGCTTGTGCATGGCTGTGCCCGTGTGTCCGTGTGTGCATAGGTCTGTGCATGCATTGGCAGGTATGCACAGAGTGGACACAGACAGCTGTGTGGATACACATGAGTGCCATGCAGTGGAGGCCTATGTGGGAGGAAACATACAAGCTCCTGGGGGCCCCACGGGCCTGTGAGTGGGGACCTGCACTCATGCATGATGGTGAGGCACGCATGTTTCCCATACCTGAGGGCCCTTGCATATGTGAGGGTCATGTACCCAGGTGTGGCCCTTCTCAGGTCAAGCTCACAGCCACAGGAGGAAGTTGGAGGAATTGAAAGAAGGGGGTCAGGATGAAATCAAACGCAGAGAACCCATTTGCCCAGCAGAGCTGGAAGCTTCCCACATATTCCCCTATTTACTCTCATACCAATCCCTGGAGGGATAAATGCGGGAGAAATGGCCCTCTCTGAGCCTCTCTGTTTGAAGTTAGGGTTAGGGTTATGGCTATTTGAGGCTCAAAGAGGGACCAGTCACTTGCCCAAGGTCACACAGCCTGTAAGTGGTGGAGCCCCTGCCAACTGTGTGTCTACCTGACTCTAGAAGCTGTCAGTCAGGGAAGGGAGGCAGAGGAGCTGCTGCCAGGGCCTGAGAACAGCAGAGACCTGTCCACTGTGTAGCCCAGGGCCCAGCAGGTCCTTTGGAAGATGAGAGCCTCTGAGTGGCCTACCCAGGCTACGTGCACCCTGGACCCCAGCTGCTACAGCTGGTTACTATTCTAATAAACATGTGTAGCCGTTGCTCTGTGCCAGGCCCTGGTGTAAGTGCTTTGCACACAACAATGCATCTAATTCTCTCTAATGCCCTAGGAGGCCAGTGCTATTATTATTCATTATTATTATACTATGTATAAGATTTATATTATGTGATATGTAATAATAATTATTAATAGACTATTATTATTCTTATTTTTAGAGATGAGAAACTGAGGCACATTAGGTAAAGTAACCTAACTGAAGTCCCACTGCTAATACCTGGCACAGCTGGGATTCCAGCCCATGCAGCTTGGCTCCAGGGTCCGAGGGCAGCCCCCAACACATGCCACTCTGACTGGCATCTCCTTGTGCGTGAGACAGAACCCGACCTCACCCTCTTTCTGCTGGGTGGTCTCTACATTCAGGCCCAAGGAAGTTGAGGGCTGGGTGCACCAGCCTCTTACCTCACAGACGGGGAAACTGAGGAAACTGTGTCTGTACTGGTATAGTGCCTGGGCCTTCAAAGGTACTCCCGGTGCCCAAGCAAGCGCTGACTTTGTCTGTTCCTCACTTGCTATGGGAGTTGAGACAAGTGCTTGCCCAGTTCCCAGGGAGAGCAGGTAGGAAGGAAGTCCTGAGAGGAGGCGGGGCAGGCCTGGCAGCGGGCACTGCGTGGGCAGGCCAGTGAAGGCGAGGCTGGGCCAGGGCTGAAGTCAAGGCTCTGGAGCCGGTTTTCCCAGGCTGTATCTGAGTAATCCTGTGTCTATATTTATCTCCTCCTTTCCTGGGTGAGCAAACAGAGCCTGATGCCAGCCAGGCCCGCCAACGCCCCCCCCCCATGCCAGCACGTTTCCTTCACCTGTAGGGTGGCCCTGGAGAACACCGCAGTCTTGGCCCTCAGTTCAGCTTGGCCTATGTAGGACACACAAAAGGGTGCTTGAACCCAGTGGCTTCTGTGAAGAATCTAATTGTCAGAGGTGGCCAGGGATTATCCAGTCTGGGTTGCTGCAGACATGGGCAGTCATAGCCTGGGCAGTGTCGGTGCATTGGAGGCCTGGGAAGCACCCTCTACTCTCAGCACTCAGGAACAAAGGGTCCTCTTATCTCAGATGTGTCAGACATGCCTTTCATTCCCGCATTCACACGTTGCTCTAGATGTTGGTCCCATTTCCCTCCAGGATGGTAAATTCCAAGAGAAGGTCTGCGTGCCCAGAGGTCTAGAACACAGGCTCTAGAGTCAGACTGCTCTGAAGCTGGATCCTGGCACCCTGACCTTAAGCTAATAACCTCTTCATGACTCTATTTCCCTGCTTGTTAAATGGGACCCAATACTTCCTACCTTCCAGGGATCATATGAGTGTTAAGTTAGAGGCATTATGCGCTGACAGATTGGATGGGCTGTGCTGGGGAGGGGCTGTCTGTCCCCACCTGCAGGCCACAGGGGACATACACACATGGCTCTCACAACAGGCACACACTAATGGATACCCCTACTTTTGAGAGGAACATGCGGCCTGAACCCAGGGTGGATTAAGTGGGTTGGAGCTTGATCCCTGGGAAGACCCCAGAAGTTGCAGAAGCCGGATACTAACTTTGCTGAGAGCCTCTTCAGAGGTGGAGGAGGCAGGCTAGGTGGCCATTGTCAAGAGATGATGCAGCGTGGACCAGGCCTAGGTGTCATCACCCTGGACCCTCGCCAGGATCACCATGGCTAGCTAAGCCCCTGCCCTGACTCTGGCCTCTGCCCTGGTGGTGCCACCTCCCTGACCTTGGAGCGGCCTGGGTCTGGTGCACGTGCACGGCAGGCCCATCTGCTCCCAGGCTGGATTAGGCAGAGTCCGAGGACGTGCCGGGCTGGCAGGCTCAGGGGCGGGGCGGGCGCTGGTGCTGGGGCTGCCCTATGCCAGCTCAGGCCTGGGCTGTGGCAAAGCCTTTTATGGCTCTGGCGGAGAGCTCAGCCGGCAGCACCCATTGGCTGGACTGGCACTCCCAGCTGGGGCTGCCCAGCCCCAAACCACGGGTAACTAGAGACGCCGGGAGCAGGTGGATTAGCATGCCCGCCCGCCCGCCTGCCCGCCCGCCCCAGGGCTGTTCTTTTCCTTTCCTAAAAAGGCAGAGCTGGGCAGGAGAGACGGACAGTTGAACTCAGGCCTGGGGTAGAGGAGGGATGGGTGGGGTGGTGCAGGTGGCTTTGTTGAGGGATCGGGAATCACAGCCCTGACCTTGGGCCAAGCACTTCCCAGCTCTGGATGTCAGTTTTCTCATCTGGAAGGGAAGCAGTAGGCAGCGGGGTCCCCCTGAAGTAGGTGATGCCTGGAAAGGACCGAGGAATATGCATGTTGGGGTCCCCCAGCCCCAACCCAGGTTCCAGGGCTGCTTAGTAGCAAAGAGGCCCAGATTCTCTTTCCATAGGAAGCTAACCACTTCCCAAATATCGGGACCTGGTTTCAACTCCTGGCCCTGACACTTACCATGATGTCCTTGGGAAAGCAGTGTCACCACTCTGGCACCCTGAACCTGGGCAAATAACTTCACTGTGACTCAATTTCCTTGCGTGTTAAATGACGCTGATACTTCCTACCTTCCCACTCTAGAATAGATAATGAGGTTATAAGGCATCTCCTCCCAGGGTCTCCTGAGCAGTGCCCATAATGAATCCCAAGAAGCACAGCCCCATCTGCACCCTCTTCACCTGCTCTCTGTCCTCCACCAGCTCTTCCTTCTTCTCTGCACTCCTGCCCATCTCAGGCTGGCCCATCCTATCTACAGTGGCCCACACCCCACCGGAGTCTCCAGGACAGAGTGTGGCCTCCAGGTTCTGAGCCCAGAGAGGACCCAGGCCTAAGGGTGAGTGTAGGATCCCCGAGTCCTGCATCCCCAGCCCAGACTTGGACTTGGACCCAGACAAAGCTTGGTGAAGGCCTCAGCAGCAGCCAGCAGTGGCCACCACCCTCTGAGGCTGGGGTCAGGGGGACAGGTGAGTGGTCCTGCCACTTGCCAGGGTGTGATCTTGGGCTCTCCCCTTCATCTGCAAATGGGAGTGTGCACCCTGTCCTAGTCCACTCCAAATGGGAAAGTGCTTCATGAACCTCAGAGAGCAGCCTGGGAGGCCTGCTGGCCAGCGATGTGTGAATGATTGGTGGGCCTTGGGCCTGTTGGCAGCCAGTGGAGGAAAGAATTCACAGGCACTTTTCACGCTCTCAGTTACTGGAATCTAGGCCCTGGTGTCGGCTGGTCATTCCTTGCACCTGTGGCCTCAGGCACAGGGACCTAAAATGGCTACCAGATGGCCATACTGACAAGTCAGGAGGCTGCTGGAGAGAAGCCCCAGCTGGACCCTGAGTGGTCACAGCTGGACAGTCTGAGATTCCGGGCTCCCCTGGAGCCCGAGTGTGAGATGGGAGGAGGAGGGAGGACCTCAGTTTCCCTGAAGGACTACATGGGAGCCACACAAGGGTTTTCTAGTCCTCATACTGCCCCTACCTAGCTGTGCACCTTCGGCTCCTGGGGGCCCTTTGGAGCTTCTGTTTTCCTCTCTAAAAATGGGGACAGTAACTCTCATCTTGCTGGTTGTTGTAGGGACTACAAATCAAATTTGTAAAATGCTGGACACTGGGCCTAGCACATACTATGCTATTCTTCTTCTCCTTCTGGGGCTGATGCGGGGGGTCTACTTCCCCACTGGCCTAGACTGAGACATGCCCCCCGCATGACCCAAGGACGTGCTCCCCAGGCACCTGCTCCAACGATGGCTCTTCGTCCTATGATTCTAAAGCCAGCTGCCACGTTTGCTCCCAGGGCCTCTTCTGAACTGTATTTTTTTCACTCACTCACTGTAAAAATCCAGCACCTTTGAGGCTAACACTGTCAGGCCCTCCTCCCTCCCATCGCTGACATCTGCTCATCTCCTCTTCCAATTCTGAGAAGTCCTAGCCTTGTATGATTATCATTACGGCTGTTTCCAATTATTCTCATTCTCCTTCATTAGGCATGACCACGTGACTTGCTTTAGCCAGCAAAATATGCATGGAAGGGATAGTTGTAGTTTCCACGTAAAAGCATTTACTTGCCAGTAGGAGGCCACGAGTACTGTATTTGCCTCAGCCCCTGGGGTCATGGAAGCACAGGGAAGGAGCCTCTATCAGTTTAGGTTTCTGACTAGGATAAGCATAATTCCCCTGCTGACCCACAGTGAACATATAGTGAGGGAAAGAAATACACTTCCCTTTGCATTCAGCCACTGAGTGTCTGGGTTGCTGGTTTCTGCTGCGTAACAGAACCCATCCTGACTGTTAGGCCTTGGCTCACAGCCCGGATCTCCACTTAAGCCCTGCAATCCTCAGTGATGGCCTCATCTGCCACCTGCACAGCCCACTCAGCACCCTGGACTCTCACTTCCTGATCTCTTTCATCGCACCTCAGCCACACCTGTGGCTGACACGGTCTTCATCCAACGAGTTAAGACAACTCACAACATTTTCCTGTTTTCATCCAAGTGGTCACTTGACCACTGGCCTTTCTCCTTATCAACCAGGCCTCTTTGTTCCCTTCTCAGCGTGTGGGCTCAGTGGCTGGTGGCTTCAACCTCTTCACTCGCCAGTGACTCACCTCCAGTAACTCATTGTCCTTGTGTCCCATGGCCTGGCTAACCCTGGGCCACCTTCCCCATGCCTACAGCCAGCGGCTGAGGACTGCTGGAAAAACCACACCGCTGAGCAGACAGAGGGCAGCCGGCCCGTGATGCTATGCAGGTGCCTTCCCTGTTTCCCTGGCGGCTTCCTCTGGCTCCCCTCAAAGGTCATTCACTCCTACTCAGGTGTCTTTGATCTTCTCACCCAGCAGCTTCCTCAGGTGACTTCACTCTATTTCCCACATACAATCCATTCTTAAGAGTGTCCTCAACTTCCCGTCACCAAATAGACACACTGACTTCATCTGCACTTCCTCCCTCCCCTCCTTTTAGGCCACTGTGGGAGAGGAGTCTACATCTGCTCTTCATCAAGCCAGGCTGAATTCTCATCTCCTCACCAGCCAATCACACACTCAGCTTCCTTTCCCTGCACTCCACGCGCCCCCCAACAACTGCCCCAGCTCTCCCCTGTCTCTAGCCTAGGCCCCTAGAAGGTGTCTGTGTCTGCTACCTCCACTTCCCCACCTTGCCCTCACTCCTCAACCACCACCATCCACAGCCACCATTTATTCACTCAACACTCAGCAGCATCTATGAAGGGCCCACTGTGCGCCAGGAACTGTACTAGTCCAGCTTTCCCAAAAGCCGGCAACAATTCATCCTCTGATTGCTTTGAACGAACAGACCCTCTTAGGCTCTTAGCACTAAACTTCTGGACGGCGTTTACCCTGAGAATCCCCCTTGATCGTCCATTAATATCTCCTTCTCATGGCTCCCTTCGTCCTCCCGACCCTTAGGACTTTTCCAAGGAAAAGTCCCCTGGGTGATGCAGACTCACTCTGGATTAGCACTGTCATTCTCTTCCACCACAGCAGTGATGGCCGCTGTGATTGAGTAACTGATGATGGCCTCCCCTGCTACAATGTGAGCTCCTCGTGGTGGATCTGTGTCTGTCTTGCTCGCTGTTGTATCAATGACTGCCTCTCGTTGGCACTCGGCAAATCATTGCTGAATACAGAAGGTGAGGACTCCCTATCTTTTCCGCCCGTGTAACCCCAGAACCCTGTGCAAAGCCTGCTCGGAAACAAATTGTTGAAGGCTTACTATGTTCCAGGCTGTGTTAGCCACCCTGTATATGCCATCTCATTTAATCCCCACGCCAGCCCTTATAGATGTGGATCATGACCCTCCACTTTACAGATTAGGAAACAGAGGCACAGAGAGGTTAGGTGAGTTGCCCAAGGTCTCACAGGCAGTAAGCGCTGTGCCTCCCCCACTGCCAACACTCAAGAACCAATTCACTACTCATCTTGAAGTGAGGTGAATGGGGGTCCCCCCGAAAGTTAAGTTTATGTCCTAAAGCCTGGAATCTGTGAAAGTGGCCTTGTGGAGGCAGGGTCTGGAGTGATGAGTGTATAAACCAGGGAAGGCCAAGCATTGCCTGCAGCCACCAGAAGCTAGGAGGGGCATAGAATTGATTCTCCTTCAGAGCCTCCGGGAGGAATCAACTTTGCCAACACCTTGACTTTGGAGTTCAGGCTTCCAGAACTGTGAGAGAATAAATTTCTGTTGTTTAAAGCCACCTAGTTCGTGGTGATTTGTCACAGCAGACTAGGGAACAAATACAGGCCCCAAACCACATGGTGCTATATCTGGTGCTTCCTCGCGAGGCCTTTCCAGGGTCTGCAAGAGTGTCCTGGGCTGTGTGACCGCAGCCTAGTCACCTCCGCTCTCTTGGCCTGACTGCTCTGAAGCAAAATGAGCACTTGGGATGCCAAGTATCCTTCCAACTCTGACATTGTGGAACCCTCTAGAAAAACCATGAGCCAGGCAAGCAGGGCTATGTTGGGATTTTCAAATTTATTCCAACATGCTAATTCTTTTTTTTTTAAAAAATATCCTCAGGCTGAACACTCAGCCAGAGCTGTAATAAAGGCAATTATTATACTTGTAAAAACTTCTCATTCACAGTACAGATGTAATTTACAACAAAGGTCACACACATCAATACTGAGCATTTTTCCTTTTGTACGTCAGACTCTGTGCTTTAGACCTGCGTGGATTTTTGTTTTTTTTTTTTGTTTGTTTCTGTTTTGTTTTTTCTTTTGCACTGATATATACCATACCAACATTGCAAGATGCAAGTGTGGAAACTGGAGTTTAAATAAAATTACAGGCAAAACTACCCCATCCCAGTGCGGTTGCTGTACATATCTACAGTACAATTTTTGGAATGTATTGCCATTTAAGAACATAGAAACTTTCTACAGACAATTTCACATACAGAATACGTACACCTTTTAGAAAAAAAGGCAAATATTTATCTTACAGAGAGCATTGTATTTTACATTTGCCTGCACGTTTCTTTTTTCTGTTTCTTTTCTTTCTTTCTTTTTTTACATACTAGATTTATTAAAGTGACCATAAGTGCCGAAGCGGTTTTCTAATGGAAAGCAGACTGGATTCACAACACAGAAGCAGAATTGGTGGAACAGGCTTTCGGGAACTTTCTTCCCCTGGTCACACGGCAGATCGGTCCCCAAGGACAGGTGCTCAGCCAGGACTTTTGCTTTAAGAAGGATTTGTCTGGAGAAAGGACTAGAGAGAAATCCAGCTCAGATGTATTGCTCATTCCTCTTCAGAAGGACTGGGTGGGAATGGAGCAGGGGCTAGAGGAATCTGGAAGCTAATTCTTTTAGGCTTTTTCCAACAGAGGGAAGCAGAGGGACTTCTGGGTCTGGAAGTTGGAGCTTACGGAGGCGACAGTGCAGGCAGCTGGCTGCTGTCGGGCTCCTGGAGGGTTGCAGGGGTTGAGCCCAGAGTGAGAGCCACAGGTGCGGGCGGGAGCAGAGAGGAGTGGGGTTACTACCCAGGATGGCCCTGAGATTGCCAAGGGTGAAAGGCATCGTGGAGCGCAGGCCTGGGGGGCAAGGACTCACCAACCAAAGGCAAGGTTTGGCTCTGAAACCTCGACCAGTTGGTTCCTCCCCCACTGCCCACACCCAAGGACCAGGACTAGTCTGTACCGAGGAATGGCCACCCCGCGCATTTCAACAGAGCACGTAGCAGGCATCTGTGCCAAGTCAGCCACTGCCTCCTCTGCTGCTTCCCTCAACAGGCACAATAACATCACAGGCAAACAGGAAGCTTGGAAGTGACTGGGAGCAGGGCAGAAGGCCCAGAGGAGGGCGTGCATGGGGCGAGCGTCTTTCTCCAAATCATGAAGGTGTACCTGTGGGCTGGGGGCTCTGTGCGCAGAGGAGCGGGACTAGAGTCCGGAGGAGGGGGTTAGAGCTGTGCCCAGTGACATATACCCAGGCTGGTGGCATTGGTTCTGTCCCTCTGGGCACGGCATCAATGTGGAGGCAGCCCTTTGGTGAGATTCTATTTGTGCATTTACCCCCATCATTTAGAAATAGTCTCCAGTGACTCCTGGCCCCTGTGGCTTCTCTGCCTGAGCCTGACGGGCCCGGTGACTGCCGGGCCTCTGCCCTGCCGGCTGCACTGTTCATTGCTAGGCTGCCCAGGGAGGAAACCTTGGGTGGGTAGGCTGTTTGAGTACAGGGAGAAAAATGCCCAGGAGAGCTGGAAGGCAGGGTGGGGTGGAGTGGTGTGGGGCCCCCCACCAATGTCAGGGGCTAGTCCACCAGAGCCCCCGGTCTGCTGCTTTGTAGGTCTGGGGCAGGAAGAGCTTGCCCAGGCAGATTTCTAACCTGGGCTGAAGCAATGCCCTTTATGCAGCTCCCAGACCTCAGCCCTTGAAGTCTCCAATCCGTGGGCAGTCCCATGGGTTAGGGCTGAAAGGCAAGGATGAGAAAAGCCCTGGCCTCCTGGGACTTGGAGGAGTCACTTTCTGTCAGGCCACTGTCCAGCAATATGGACAGTGTGGTCCAGGCTGGGCTTGCTGCTTCTCTTGGGGAGGATGAGAGCCCTAGTCTCTGAGGGAAGCAGCCAGGAGCTGCTGGCTAACCCTGATTCCCCAGAACCCTGGAGCACAGTGGACTCCCAGGGAGCCCTGCCTTCTGTCTCATTTTTGTCTTAGCTCTGAGGCAAAGGAGAATGAGTGAACAAGGTGGTCTGGCTGCAGGCTGGACTGTGGCTGGTTTGTCTGTCTAGTAGGGACCAAGCAGGGAAAGGCCACGAATTGGAAGAGGCAAGTACAGCCCCGCACAGGGAACTCACAGAAGGGTCTTAACCCTCCCCACCTACTGTGTCCTGTACCCAAGCAGCTTCAATAGCTCAAGAGCCCTGGGGCAGGCACTTGATTCACACAGCCTGGCTGAGGACTGGGGATTAGCCAGAGAGGTCCCTGCTCTGTATAGGGTGGCATCAAACCCAGCCTTCACGGGCCTCAACCGTAGTCCCTGTGCTGCCCTCCCTTGTAGAAAGTAAAGAAAATCAGTTCTGAAACACTGGGAAAAAGCTCACCTCTCCCAGTTGGGGCGAACACGCTAGAGTTCAAGTTCCATAGTTCAATTTGGGATTTAAATTTCTGGTCCTATTATTTTTCTTACAAAGTAGAGTTTTGCCCCAGGAAATGCAGGGCAGCTTCTTGAAAGTAGAGATGTGGGTAAGGAAGAGGCACTGGCTCACACTGATTGCTTTGGAGAATTCCAACGAGTTAGGACAATTCAAAAATCCTCTAGGTCAAAAGAATCTGTGGTGGCTGGGTGAAGTATCAAACACCATCCTCTCTCTTTTTAAAAAAGAGGTGTAAGACAGCAAACAGGTCCAGGCCGTATCCACCAGCCACAGTTGTGGGTATTTCCTTGGGGTAGTGGAGACAGGGGCAGGGACGGGGGGAAACGGTCCTGTGGCAAAGTGGTCCTGAAACAGTTCCCCGCAAACCTCTGCTGTGGAGAACTGGAAAAACCCAGCCATGAGGGGAACAGGCTCCCTTGTACCCCAGGGACCAAGATGAAACAAAACCCAAAACCCAGTCTCAGGAACGGCCGCTAGGGCTCGGGCCCTGCCACTTCTGCCTTTGTGGGTGGTTTGGTGGTTTTAGAACAGAGGAGGCAACAGGAGAGTGAGGCCTCGGTCAGGGGCTTGGGAGCCAGGGACGGACAGTCAGGGCTCCTTCCCCAGCCCAGGGGGCCAGGGTGGGGTGCAGAAGGGAGGTGTCTGGAGTGGGGGTGCGTGGGTGGGGTGGCCTGCCCACCTGTGGAGTGCCAGGATGGGCCCATGACTCAGACTACCAGAGTATCCAGGAGCCCTTGGGGAGCCAGCCCTCCTCCTTCTACCTGCACCTATTATTTTGTGTTGAAATCCTAGGAAAAGTATCATTTTATTTTCTTGCAAAAAAAAAAAAAAAAAAAAAAAAGGAAAAGATTAGTTTTTCTGGGCCTGCCTGCTGGGGCCTGGGTGGGGGTCACCTGCCTGTGTTTGTGCCCCTCTGCCTGGGGACACTGGCCTTTCTGCTGGCAGAGAGGGGTGGCTACGAGCTGGGCAGGGGGGTGAAGTGGCAATAAACAGGAACCTTGATCGCATCTGTACACAGGAGTGCTTCCTTTTACATTTAATTCTATATTGTTTGAAGTTTCCTTTTCCTTTCTCCCTCAGTGTACCCCTTTCCCTCTGCCAGCCTCTGGGGTGGGTGGCTGCCAACCACAGCGGGGAGGGTCAGGAGGCTTCACCATCAGCCTTTCCCCAAAACCATAAACTATTCACAGCCTCAGACTCCTCGTGGGTTGTTGTTTTTTTTTTAAATGTATGTATGTGATTTGTTTTGTTTCTTTTTAAGCAACAAAAGGTGTAGAAAAAGGCACAGGTAACTGCATACATGGGAAGGTACAACAGATGGGGCCGTGAGAGCTCCTGGACGGAGGGACAGATGGGGCTGAGGAAGTGGGATGATTCGAGGAAAGTGGCTGGAAACGTCTGTTGCTGGACACTGGAAGCCAGATGCTGAAGCAGTTGGAGAGAGGCTAAGCGTTGGGGGGAACCCTGTCCTCAGGCTGATGTGGATGTGCCCTGGGCTCCCCACTTCCTGAGGGCTTGGGGGAGTCCTGCCTGGTCCTGGGTTCCCCGGAGAGGTTCCTCGTCCGGGCTGGGAAGCGGGCAGAGGCCTCTGCCAGGCAGCCCACAGAGCTGCTGCGGTCCAGCGGCGGGGTGGCAGAAGGCTCGGGGTTGGTCGGTGCACGCGGGGACTCCAAGCGGGGGCTCCAGGACTGCGCTGCCCGGCGTCCCTGGGGCGGCCGGGGCAAGGTGTCGGGTGGGGTGCAGGGGCTGTGCGTGGGTGTGGGCTCTGCAGGTGCCCCGGTCCCATGGGGTGTCCAGTCAGGAGGCCTGCCCGGGCCTCCGCCGGTCCTCTCCCTCTCCTTGGGGTAGTCCCCGCCCTCCAGCTCTGAGGAGAGTGTGAATTTGGAGACCTTAGCCACAGGCGACACGGAGGCTGACGAGCTCTCAGTGGGACTCCAGCGGCCTCGCTCCTGGGCCTCCCGGGCCCCTGTCAGGTCGCTGCCACCCCCGGAGAAGCCACTGACCCAGGCTGCGGTGGGCCCTGGCAGCAGGGTGGGGTGGGCTCCTGGCCGGGCCTGCACCATCTGGATCCCACCGATGGGAATCAAGGGACATGGGGCACGGGTCAAGTGCTGGGAGTGCAGAGGCAGGTGGCTGAAGATGTTCTCCTCTGTCCGGGCCAGGATGTGGCCGTGGAAGTCATGGAGGGCGGAGAAGGGTCGGGAGGAGAGAGGATGAGCAGGGCCGGGTGAGCAGGAGGGACTTCGGGACTCGGCCTTCTGCTGGGGTCAGAAAACAAGACAAGGTAAGGTGAAGGTTACATGCTGGGCACATGGGGAGCCGAGGCCTGGAAGTGGGAGGGGGACTCGCCCAAGATCACAGAGCGAGTCCAGGGTCCCGGCTGAGCTGAGCCCAGAACCAAGTTCCTGACTCCCTGCCCACAGATGCTGAGCCAGCTGCCATCTCTGGAATGGGCCATCTCCAGCTCGACAGTGACCATGAGTATGCTCAGGCCCCATGGTCTCCATGCCTCTAGCCAGCATATCTGTCTTCAAAGGAGGGGATACTTGAGCGACGTGGGGCCCTGTTGTCACCCATGAGCCTGGCCTCTATGTGGGTCTGCTGCCTGTCCTGTTCCTAAAATGGTCTTCACCCAGCTTCACTCTTGGACATGAGTTCCCACCTGAGGCTCTTTGCCCTTCTGCTACCTCCAGGAATTTGAATGTGAACCCAAAATTAAAAATCAAGGAAAGATTCCTAGATCAGTGTTCCTCCAGGAGTGACAGGGCTGGGTCATGGCAACACGGGGACAGAGAAGGTGTCGGAAGGGGGTCAGCTGACAATGATGGTGCTATCGGTGGAGGGGTCATGGCAGCTGAGGGGACAGGGATGGTGACTGTGCTCATGGGGTGGCAGCAGTGGTGTGTTGGTGCAATGGTGACAGTGGTGGTGCTGGCCATGGGGATAGTGCTGATGGTTGACAAGGATGATATTGGTTGTGGTGTCTCTGAGAGCACTGGTGACAGTGATATTGGAGATGGTGATGGTTTTGGTTAAGTTGTGCCATCTGCTCAAAGAACACAGGCAGATGGGGATGGGGTGGGGGATGGGGAATTGCACGAGTATTTACAACCTCATCCAAGGCCACACCCCTTGCAAGTGATATGATATCGTTTGGATATTTGTCCCCGCCCAAATCTCGTGTTGAATTGTAAACCCCAGTGTTAGAGGTGGGCCTGGTGGGAGGTGTTTGGGTCATGGGGACGGATCCCTCAGGGCCTGATACTGTCCTCCAGATAGTGATTTCTCATGAGATCTGGCATTTTGAGCGTGTGGCACCTTTCCCCCAACTCTCTCTCTTGCTTCCACTCTGCCATGTGAGATGCCTGTTCCCGCTTTGCCTTCTGCCATGAGTAAAAGCTGCTTGAGGCCTCCCCAGAAGCCGAGCAGATGCTGGCACCACGCTTCCTGTACAGCCTGAAGAACTGTGAGCCTATTCAACCTCTTTTCATTATAAATTACCCAGTCTCAGGAATTTGTTTATAGCAATACAAGAACGGACTAATACGTGGTAGAACCCATTTCCCATGAACTCCAGAGTCCATGCTCTGTGCTTCTGAGGCTAAAATAAAGTTTAATAAGCCAGCTGATTTAGGGCAGCCAGCATGGTGCATGGCACAGTAGGTGCCTAATAAATGTTTGCGAAATTATTAATAACTACTGAGCTGGCAGAGCTGTTTAGTTCCAGGTGTGATACCCAGGAGGGTGTGAACTTGCAACCCCTGCACCCACAGGGGAGAAGCGGCCCAGCCACCAGGGGCAGGAACTCACCCACGGGGAGGCGCAGGTCTCTGGGCTTCTGCTGAGGAGCTTGTGAGGTAGAGGCGCGGGCGGGAAGAGAACCCGTGGGTCCAGCCCCAAGCCTGGGCCATGCTCCCCCGCTGAGGGGCTGCCCGGCCCAGCCAAGGCCCACTTCCCTGGCGGCGCTGACCGTGGTGGTGACTCGGCCTGACCTGGAGACCATCTCCTGGTGGGCGAGTATCTGGGGAGGCCTGGGTCGGTGGTACCCTCGAGTTTGGAGAGCACATGTGCTCGAGGGGCCAGTTCTCTTCCCAGGGGGCAGAGGGTGAGAGGAGACAGCTGAAGTCTTGGAGACCCACAAGGGAGAGCGCCCATGCCCCTTCCTGGGTCCACGTGCAGGCCAGGTGGGCTTGGGGCTGAGGCCTGTGGTTCTCGGGCCGGGGAGCATCGCTGGGGAGATGAGTCGTTTTTGGTTAGCGAGTGTTTGCGGGCTAGTGGTGGACGGCTGCCTGCTTCTTTGCTTGGGGACCACGGTCTTCTTGGGGACACAGGCTTGTAGCTCAAGGCTGAGCCTGTGTCTTTCTCCACAGAGCCCAGAGGGGCCGGTCCCAGCCAGGGGAGGCCCGGCATGCTCTGGCTGGACATGGAGCAGCTGCTGGCTGTCAGGCGCTCAGCTTCCGAGACCGAGCTGCCTCGTGTAGCCTCCGTGCCAGAGGCGGGGGCATCTGGGGGCTGAGGGCCCAGGATGGGTGAGGAGTCTGCCCGCAGTGCATGTGGTGGGCCAGGCGGGGGCGCCTCTGAGGATGGTCTGGACAGCTCATCCTGGCTCTCCTCCTCATCCTCATCCTCGTCTTCGTCCAGGTCTGAGTCTGAGTCCGAGTCCTCCAGGTCCGAAAACTGGTGCTCCTCCACAGCCTCTGAACCCTCTCGTCCTTCCGAGTCCTGGAACAGGTCGTCACTGGTTCCTGAGGGCAAACACAGAAGACCCAAGGTCACAGTTGGGCCTTGGCCCCACTGCCCACACGGCTGCTCCTCTCTGAGCCCCAGTTTCCTTGCCTGCTGACTGGGCAAAATAGCCATCGCAAGGGCACAAGATTGTTGGGACAACCAAGAAACGTAACAGATATGGGAGCGCTTTGTAAATAATAATGAACAATAATTCCCTTATGCCTAGAATGTGCAATGTTCAGTTCTGAGAGCTTTAGGTATATTTATTCATTTAGACCTCAGAGAATCCTGTGAAGCTGGTACTGTTCTCATCCTCATGTTACAGATGAGGAAACTGAGGTAAGAGAAAGTAAGTAACTTGCCCATGGAAGACAGCAGTAGGGCTGGGATTGAGCCATAGCAAAGAAGACAGTCTTTGTTTGTTTGTTTGTTTGTTTGTTTGTTTCACTAGCATCTCAGTGCTGGCTTCACCATGGGCAACTTACCACCTTGCTCTGCTTGGTCTCCCCCTTTGTCGAATGAATGTGATGGTCTCACCTCACCAGGTTTTCTAGGAGGACTAAAATGAAGGCCTGGCACATATTGAGGGCTTAAAAATAATTATAGCTACCATATTAATACATTAATGATGAAATCTGTTATTCCAGGACAGGGCAGTCACACTGGCTGGTCCAGCAGCACAGAGCCATCCGTGGTCAGTGTACACACACATCTGCCACGGTGACCAGGCTCCCGGTGGCTGGCACAATGGCATCTGGCAGGTGGCGGACTCTGGCCTCTGTGGGCGGCTTGACTAAGCTGGCCTCAGGCTGCAGAGCAGGTCCCCATCCCAGCCACGCTCTTATCTGAGGAGCCACTGCCCTTTTGAAGTCCAGGCTGCCTCTAGCCTCGGGGCCCTCCCATTGCCTGCCAGCCCCAGCTCCACCCCATAGTTTTCGACCTACATGTGGCTGAATGCCCACTTTTGTCCACTTTGGACATCTGACTGCTGCATGTTGAGTGACTTGGAAGCAATTGTTCACAAGAGTAAACAAAAAACAAAATTGTGATACTTGTTTCAGATATTGTTGGACATTTAGGTCACTTGCACTCCTTAAACAGACTATAAGAATAATGACAGAGTTATTGAATAGAGTCTAAAAGTGGGGGTTAGGGCTCTGGAATACTAGCCTCCTGGTCTGATTCCTCTGGGATGACCCCAACCAGTCGGGTCACCTCTAACATGTCAGGAGTCTAGTTTGGGCATCTCTGAAATGGACAGCAATCCGGATGCTGGGGAGAGCTCCGCTAACATCTGGCCTGTTCGCTGGCCCATCACTAGACCATTGGAACCTGTTTCTGGTCTGCAGAGTGAGGTTGCTGACAGGTGGGTTGAGCTGGCCAGCCAGCCCCATCGCTCACACATATCAGTACTGCACCCACCTGACCAGGAGGGCTGGCACAGAAACTGACTCAGGCCGCTGGGGCAGCTAGGCTTTGGCTCTCAACCATGCCCAGCTGCCCCGGGGCCAGAAAGCCCGGAACTAGCACTTCCAAGTCACTCAATATGCAGCAGTCAGATGTCCAAAGTGGACAAAAGTGGGCATTCAGCCGGATGTAGGTCAAAAGCTATGGGGTGGAGCTGGGGCTGGCAGGCAAAAGGAGGCCCCTGAGGCTAGAGGCAGGGTGATGAGACCAGAGGAGGAATGAAGGATTAGGATGAGAGCAGGGCTGGGGATGGGGGTGAACTTTGTAGTTATGCCCCAGGCATTTACCTCCCTTGCCTAGGACTTTGGGAGGGGCCTAATTCAACACCTGTTCACCTGGCCCTGCCCCTCATTTACATACAGCAAAATCCAGGCACAGATGACCCAGTGAGAGCTGGTGGCTGAGTCAGAACTAAGGTTTACAGCCCTTGCATTATTACGCTGACAGTTTAAAAATGATGTGCTGCACTAAGAAGCAGGGAATGGTCGGGTTTGAATCTCAGCACTACCACTTCCTTGCTGTGTGACGTTGGATACTTTACTTTCTGTGTGTCTGGTTTCCTCATCTGTAAACTGGGTAGCAATAAAAGCACTCTAGGAAGCTGTTCAGAGGACTGTGAGGGTCTGGCACACAGTAAGTACCCAATAAACTTCAGCTCCTGTCATCCCATGATACCCTGTCCCCCCAGTCTCAGCAGGCAGGTAGCTGGGGTGGGATTGTCAGCATTTTGCAGATGAAGGTCACAGGGGTAGTGTTAGGAGTGAAGGAGAGTCAGGACCAGCGTCTCCTGATGTCCAGCAGGGAGGGCTCCTAAAGATCCTCTTTACTAATGTGGAAGTTGAGACCCAGTGGGGGTAATGGCCCGTCCTGGGCACTCAGTGCATGAATGCTGGAAGCCAAGAGTCCCCTGCCCAGCTCGGGGCTGGCCGGGGCCTCCACATCTGCGTTCCTGCAGGGCGCTGAGGGAATGCCCCTGGCTGGGCGGCCCCGCCCCTGCTGGGATCCAGGCCAACGCTCCACAAATGAGAGAGCTTGAGCGCGCGGCGGGCGCCGCTGGGAGAGGCCACACGGTGGCGCTAGCGCCCAGCCTGGCCAGCACCATGGGCAGGGCCGGGGCGCCTGGCTCCTTCCAGGCAGTTCTCCCACGCGCCACCTCGCGTCCCACAGACACGAACTCCTGCCGCTCCCCCCGGCATCTGTCTCGTCGCGGGAAGTGGAAACTCCATCCTTCAGTCTCTTGGGCCGTAATCCTTGGAGTCCTCCATGGCTCCTTTTCGTTCTTCCCCCTCTCTTCTGCCCCATATGGGGTCATCTGAGCCTGTGGGCTCTCCCTCCGGAACCTCCCCAGAATCCCGCCGCTTTTCCACCTCCTGAGCACACCCGTGCTCCCCGCGCCCACGGCACAGGCCAGAGGACGCCCTGCCTCTCTCCTCCGCTCCAGGGCACCCCCCCATGCCCTTCAGCCCTCAGGCTCTAGCTCTCTCTGAACCGGCTGCCCCCGCGTCCAGCGGGCTCCAGCACGCGGGCCAAGCGCCGTGGCCCCCGGGGACCCCACACCTGCTGCTCCCTCTGCAGGAGAGCTCCTCCCTGACCCCACGTGGCTCCTGACCCCGGTTCCTCCGGGTGGGTTCTCTGCTCACACCGCCCTGTCTAGCACAGCGGCCCTCCCCACGGGCCCCAGCCCTCACTTGGCTCTTCTGCTTTCTCTTTGGCTTCACAGGCAGGGCCCCTGCTCTACTCCACCATCGTTCCTTGCCCAGCTCCCCTGCCATGCCGACTGCCTGAGGGCAGGAGCTGTTTTATTTATTGCGGAACCCCCAGCACCCAGAACAGAGCCAGGCACAGAGACTGTGCCCAGTAATTACTTCTGGAATGAATGCATGGATTTCGTCCTCCGAAAAGTGGCTCTGAGCATCCTCGTTTGCTCCACTGGGAAAATGAGGCTGGGGCAGGGCAGGGACCTCAGGGGAGGGCTCTGGCTTAGGTTCAGGCTCCCCTGGTCCAGCCCACCAGGCAGTGGACTGGCATGCAGCCAGGGTTTTTGTGTGACCTTGGGCTATTTTTACCTGTCTGAGCTTTGACTTCCCTGACTTAACATGAGTGACACAAGTTTCTGCCACCTGTTTTGAGGACTCAATGAGACAACATGTGCATATGGCCCAGTGTATCCTTGACAAGCATAGTGAACCCCATTCTAGCTTTGGGGGGGAACAGCCCCAAGTTCACTGTGTTCTCCTCTATAAAAATGACTTATTCCACCTAAAAGGAAATATGACTTAACTCTTTTTTGTAAGACCACAAATACATCCCCAAATTGGAAAAACAAAAACAGAACAAGACACACAGTGCGTGCATACACACTCCTCTCTGTCACACTCTAAGTCCTGGGGCTGATTTCAGGGAATCAGTATGCTTCCTGCTTTGCTTGGTGCTGGCGAGATGGCTCCAGCCTCCTTCTGTTGGAGGGACTGCCGTCCACCACCAAAGCCCCTCTGGCCACCTGCCTGACTGCTGAGGCTGGGCAGTGCTCAGCCAGACCCACTGGCTTCGACTCCTCTGCCCTGTCTTCTCAGAGACTGACTCTAAGATGCCTCCTGGGGATTGACCACCATGGCCGGGGTGTGTACGGGGATGGGGCTGGGAGGTGACAAGCGGCTGTCAGGTCTGGTTTGGGCTTTTTTGAAACTCTCCTAGCTCCAAAAGGCCCATGTGTCAGGCCCATGCCAGAGTGTGTAGGCAGGAGTGTGGGTGTGGAGCTTCGGAGAGTATGTGTCCCACAGTGTCACTATGAGGGGTTGGCTGGGATAATTCAGGGCATGCATTTAGAACCCGCCTGACACATAGTGGGCACTCAATCAACGTTGGCTGTAAGTTCTCTTGTGTGCATTTATTCAGTAAACATTCACTGAGCACCCATGGGTGCCAGGCGCTCCACCTGCATGGCAGATGGTAATGCATGATAGCTAGGGCTGCAGAGCATATCCTATCAGCATGTGGGGAGGTGGCTCGATCATTCAGGGAATTTAACCTTTGTCTGATACTTGGGAGAACTGAAGGTGAAGCTATTGGAGGGAGAGAGGGGAGGAGGGGGAATGGGGCAAAGCAGACAGAAAGGAAGCAGGGAAGGCAAGCAGGAAAGGTGGAGGAGGATAGGGAAAGCGGACAAGGGGAAAGGGGACGGAGAAGGTTGGCAATTGTTACCTTCTTCGGCTTCCAGCTCCTCCAGCACCCCTGTCTCTTGGCACTTTTTGCTGTGGGCCTTCGACTTCATGTGCTTAGTCAGATTCCCTAGAAAGAAACGAGAATACTTAGGCTCTGCTATGGGGCAGGAGGCCAGGGCGGACCCAGGGCTCATGGAGGTAGCACCTGGCCGGCAGGCCATGGTTTCTCAGGCCAGTCAAGGCCCTGCCAGCTGCAGGGCTGGGCAGGAGCTGGGGTATCCCTCTGCCCCGGTGCTCAGGCCCAGAAGTGTAGCCACAGCTGCTGTTCAGGGCAGTGCACAGCAGCTAGGTGGGGTGGGCGAGGGCTGTGAGGGGACAGACAGTATAATGAGGAAGTGAGATGCTGGTTAAAAAACAAACAAAAAAGAAATTAAAAGACAACTCAAGTGCAATAGGTTTTTTTTTTTTTTTTTGCTTCTGATTTAAGTCTGGCCCTAGTAGCTGGTGACACTCATCAGGCAGGACTATTGGCCATCTCAAGTGTGGGATGACGTGGGAGGCTCCCATTGACCGGCATGACGGGTGAGGACTGAGCATGCCCTTCTGGCTGAGGACACCTCTAGGGCAGCTCACAGGGCAGAATTCTAAAGTGTAGGTAGAGAAACCAGGGCAAATTTAATATTAGGCATGGCGAGAGGGCAGAAGGTGAGAGTAGGGAAGTCTACTAGCCAGGGACTCAGGAGCCACAAGGCTGGGGGCCCAAGCTTGGTTTCCATAGAGAAGTCCCATTTCTGGGCCTTCAGTTTCCCCAGGCCAATCTACAGTGCAGACACAGGACCAGGGTGGTTCAGGGAAGGCCTGGGCAAGGCCTCTGTCCTGCTCCATGCCTACAAAGCCCTCAGAGGGGAGGCTGACTTTGCCCCAAGTTGTAGGTCCAGCCCACAAGCTGAAGAGTGGAGGCAGCAGCTCTGTGGAATCAGGGAACAGTAGCAACAGCTTCAGTTCCCCAACAGGTGCACAACATTTCACAGGCCACACAGCTCTGTGGACAGGAGCGTTCTAGGAAGGACAGGCAGAGCATCCCAGCCTGCCCCAGAAGAACACAGGCCAGATGCCTCAGGATATTCCTTTGGGCCCAGCAGCTACTCCCAAACCGTGATGTGCTCACTGTTGCCCTGGGGATGGCTATATTTCCATATGGTCATTAACATCATAAGTCATAAGTTCCCTGAGTCAGGTGCTCTGTCCCATTAGTCTAATGAATTGGTAAGTTTGAATGGATGGATGGAGGAGAGAAGAATGGAAAGAGCTAAGCCTCCTGGAGTGGATGAATAGAGCGATTGGTGCGTGGATAGATAAAGTGGATAAAGGAAATATAAAGAGAATGAAGAACAGGAAGAGGATAGACAGAAGGATGGAACGCTAGATGAGCAGATAAGGAGATGAATAGGCAGACGGAGGATAGGTGAGTAGATGAAAACAAATGGAAGGATAGATGGAGAATGGGTCAATAAACAGATGAGATGATGGAGAGCTGGATGGGAGGACAGAGACGTGGATGAATGGAAGAATGGAAGAATGGCTGGTTGGATGGATGAATGGATACATGCACTATTACATGCATGAGAGTACAGACAGAAGGATGAAAGAATGGGAAGTTGGATGGGTGGGAGGACAAATGGGAGAATGGTAGGAACAGATAGGATGAGCAGATAAATGAACAGGAAAACAATTAGATGAGATGGATGGATAGGTGACCAGGGAGAGGGCCCATGGATGAACTGAAGGGTGCTTCTTAATCATTCCTAGAATTAGAAGAAATATTTAGGGTTTTGCTAAGAGGTTAATGGGGGACCCTTAAGCTGGGATTCCCTGAGGTGTCCAAGTCAAGGGCAGCAGGGATGGGAGGGGAGCTGTTTCCTTTCCTCTTTCTTCACCTTGGTCCTAGTTCATGACTCTATCCTTCCCAATTTGGGTTTTCCTCCTACAACCGGAAATAAATCTGGATGTCCTACTCCTGGCCATAGTGGGAGCAAAGCCATAAATTTCAGAGTCATCTTGTAGCCAGAGGGTCCTCAGAGGTCCCTATCCAACCTTGTGGACTTCGGCCCTCATTGTCATGAGAAGGCAAAGCCAGAGTAGGACAGTCAAGAGGTGGGAAAAGGCAGCTGGGGTCTTCCGCGGATCAGAGATACCCACTGTCCTAAGGTCGTGGAGCCAGGCCCACCCTACCCTGACTACCCCAGGCCACAGGGCACTGTGGACACTGCTCATTCTGGCTATTACCTCACTTGTTGCACCTGTTCTGCCTGGAAGGTTTAGGTCTCTAATGAACCAAGCTAGACGCTGGGCACACAATGGGTGTACAATAGCCATGTATGGGAAATGCCCTTGTCATCGCAGGAGGAAAATGTTGGAAGGAGCTTCAAAGTCCATGTAATTCAACCCCCGCCAGGCTGAGGTTCTCCCTGCTTCTGATCTGACTCTGGGCCCAGGTGCTGATGGCACCATTAGACAAGATCACTGGCTGTCTTGGATGCTGGCAGGGCTGCTTGAACCAACACAGTGAATCAAGTGGTCCACAGTCACAGTGCTGGTTGGTGCCGAGTTCCATCTAGACCCAGGTCTCAAGACTCGGGGGGCCTTTCCCACTCCATGTGGAGGCAGAATGGAACCTAGATGGAACCTGGCAGCCTTGGGTTTGACTGTGGGCTCTGCCACTTGCCAGCTGTGGGCTCTTGGGCAAGTTCCTCAACCTTCTGAGCCCTGGTTTCTGCAACCGTGAAGTAATACCTACCTCGTGGGGATGCGGGAGGACTTGATGAGGTGACACAAGTAGAGTGGCAGCAGAGTGTGCCTGGCAGAGAACAGACCCCTGTCCCCATGTGAGTCACTCTATTGAGCAGCCCAGGGGCTCTGCCACGCACCATGCTGGGTGTGGAGGAAGAGATGCTAAGATGATGCTTTTGGTGAAATGGTTTTACCTTTCTCAGGAGAAGGCACCAGGGAGCCCCCCATAGGCCTCCCTCTCCTCTGCCCCCGCCACGGGGGTGCAGGGAGGAGTCAGGATCGGAGGTGACTTTGCGGGTCCAGGAGTGGACACTGGATGGGCAGCCCTGAGTGCTGTCCGGGTCCCTCTGTGACTTCCCCTCTCCAGGCCTGTCTCCTCCTCTGTGAAAGGGGAAGGTGGGGCACACGGCTGCAGGCACAGCCTGAACACCACTTCCCTGTTGAGGGCCAGGGCCTCAGCTTGTCAGGCAGAGCCACAGCTTCTCACAGTCATCCCAGACCCCACCAAAGCCTGACAGGCCTGGAATGAAGAGGAAAGGCAAGTGAGAGGTAAAGTGATGGGTGTCGGGAAGAGGCGGAACCTCCGATAAAAGGGCATCCACCAACAACCCTGCCTGCCTCATTTGGCTTTGATCAACCGCTCTGTCCCTGCCCCTGCCGCTGGCAGACCTGAGGCCATCTCTGTCCCCTGAGGCGATCGGTGCAAGGGCCTGGACATGGCACAGCCATCCGCTGGCCTCTGGGAACCATCTGAGAAGAGGAAATGGGACCCCCAGCCACCACAGGGCCACCCACAGGCCTCCCCAGCCCCACCTACTGACGCATTCCTTAGCCAGTTTCCAGAGGCCTGAGCTGCTGCCACGACGTCTGACACAAGAGACGAGACACACACGGCAGACAGAGACAGACAGGAAGGCAGGAGGGGCTCCCCAGGCCCTGGTGTAGCCGGGTGGTAGGGTCGGGAGGGCTGCCTGGGGCAGGCCTGGAGGTGGCCCAATGGGGAGGCACACAGCCCCGGAGACAAGGGGCCTGTGTTGTCTGAGCTGATGGCTGACGGGGCCCAGCACTCCACAAAGACACCTGGCCCCAGAAACAGACAGGAGCTCCAGCGCCCTGCTCTCCCTTCACCCCCATACTGCAGAGAGAGTTAACAGGGAGACTTCCCTGCTTCCATTGCCACCATCCCAACCTGGCCTTCCCTCTATTAGTCAAACAGTTTCAGATTCCACCATTTCCCATCTGCTCCCTTCGTTGGTTCTGGAAGGTTCTAGTCTTCTAGAAGCCCCTGTGAACAGTTGAGGAAGAGCTCAGGGCACTGCTTGATCACTGGTTGAGAGCACGGCCTCACAGCCCTGGCCTTCAGGACAGCAGGGGCAGCCTTACCTCGGGGGATGCTCTACACCCCTGGAAATGGGGAGGGCCTACAGCCCCTCTGTTCAGATTACGCCCTCTGGACCCTCCAAAGCCCTCCAGGGCCCTGGCTCTGTGCTGGCTCAGAGAGACCCAGGAAGGGACTGCAGACAGGCTCAGTGTGGCTTCCAATGAAGGCATCTCCTAGAAAGTACGGGCTCCTGCTAGGGACCCAAGGCAAAGGGAATTGAGTGGGCCCCCTGTGGGAAACTGCTTGGGCTGGAAACTTCCAGTCTCACGCGGCAGAGTGATGGTTTCCTGAGGCGATGGGCAGCCCAGGCTGCGTGTGGGGCACAGGTGTGCTCTGCATGGCCCTGGGCTGGCAGTGTGGTCCCCTGGACACAGGCCACTCCAAGTGCAGCTTTTTGCCACCCACTCCAGGGAAGGGAGGGAACTAACTGCTCACAGAAAGGAAGATGATGGGGTGATGCCCTGGAGCTCGGGGCCCGTGTTCTAGTTACAGCTCCAGCATTAACAGTTATTCTGTTTTCTGGGATCACTTTCTTCACCTTCAAGGGGACTTGGGTGATAAGTTTTCCACTTTTAGAGTTGACGACCGTCCATTGAATTGTCAGTCAGTTATCCCCGTCTTGCTCTTCCATAAAATCTCGACTGGCTGCAGAAGGCCAGAGGAAGTGCGGTTGGAGGGCGTGTCAGGGACAGCCCATGTCCAGGGCGACGCATGCTGGGCAGGGCTGCAGGGATGGAAGACACCTTCGAAGCACCCATGGGGTGGGTGGGGAGTCCTGGGCCAATGTGCCCTCTCTGGGCAACCTTTGGGACATTGTTTATGAGACACCAAGAGAGAAGAGGATGGGGGAAAGGCAGTGGGAGGGCAGGCACCTCTGTTTAAACCAAAACCTTGACAGGAAAATTTGAGCTCAACTTGCAGATGATGGCGAGGGGACAGAGGAGGGCAGGGGTTCAGTTAATGGGGTGAGGAGACCAGAAATGGGAACACAGTCAGAGAAGAGGCCACTCTCCCAGGGGATGTGATAAACTGGCCCCTGACCTGGTATAGAGAGAACGGAAGGGGCCAAGCAGCAAGAGCACGGAGGAAGTGAAGAAGGGTAGGGACCCTGCTGGGCCCCCTCCAGAGCAGCTGCCCAGCCTCGCTTGCTGGGAGCAACTTTGCCAACAGAAGAAAGGTCAACAGGTGGCACAGCTGAAGGATGCCCTTGAGTTTCACCCCCTGAGAAACCGTGGGGCTCCCAGAAGCCCCCAACTTGCTCAAAGGAGAAGACAGGACCCTGATGTCCAAACCCTGACCCAGGAATCTATCAAGCTCCAGAGGCTGAAGACACTGGGGTGCCGAGAGCCCTGGGTCTCCCTCCAAGGCGCTTCAGTCTGCAGTGAGCAAGCTGCCAGGACCTTCCCTGCCTATCCTGCAGTAGGAGAGTGCAATCCAAGAATCTCATGGACTCAGCTCCTTTGTCCACACCAGGGGCCTGGCCTGGGTGGCTGTGGCAGGCCAGGCCATGCCCATCACCCATCACAGCTCTCTGGGATGCATGCCTTTCACAGCAGGCCCCTCCTTTCACCAGTGACTGCCAGAGCCTATCCTGACCCTGATGTGGGGTGTGGCTGGGGCAGGGGTGACAGGGCTGTCAGTCTGGGAGTGGGGGGCTGGCCCTGTGCTGAGAGGTGCAGAGAAGCTGGGTGGAGCAGGGGCATGGTGGGAGTGGAGAGGTGGGTGGAGGTCGGCGCGCTCTGGCAGGAGAAGAGAGCATGCGAGTGTGTTAAGCAGCTGGGAGTGGAATGGATTTCCAAATGCAAGAGTGGCAGTGACGAGCATGGATGCTGGAGTGTCTCAGATCAGTGGATAAACGGCTCAGGAGACATGCAGAAGGGAGGGGAGATGAGAGAAGATGCAAAACCATGAACGGTGAGCAAGAGTGCCGCACCAGGCTGGGCAGGCCAGGGCCGGGTGGCCACAGGTGCAGGGGCTGTGTGTGTGTTCCAGGAGGATGGCTGGGGGCAGCCATGGGGAGCCACAGGCCAGTCTGGAGCCAGCTGCTCTGCCACTGGGCACCAAGCTGGGTGGGAACCCAGGAAATGGGGCTGCTCCAGGCCCCCTGCAAAGAGGTCTGGGCACCTGAACTCTGTGCTGGGACTCCCAGAGGGGAGCTCCCTGCAGCGGGCAGGGGCAGTGCCCCAGCTGACTCTCTCTTACCTTTGGTTTTAAAAGCAAAGTGACAGTGCTTGCACACATAGGGCCGGACGTCAGTGTGGGTGCGGATGTGTTTCTTCAGCATGCTGGGCTTCTTGCAGCGAATTCCACACTCCTCACAAACATATTTCCCTCGGCCGCGGCCTCGCACATATACATACTCTTCGTTTGATTTGTACCTATGAGCAACAGGCGTCATAGTAAAGGGAAAAAAAAGGAGAAGAGGCAGGTTCCCACCTCAGAAGACGCACGCGCTTCCTAGATTCATCCAGCCCGTTACAGACGCAAGGAATGGAGGCCACGGAACCAGAGAGGACCACGAGAGTGGGAGGAACTGAGTCACCCTGGTGATCCACTGCGGACCCCTGCGCCCCTCCCCCTCAGACGGGGGGTTGCACTATTCTTCCTCCTCCAGAGCAGCAGACACTGGCGCTTCCCACTGAGGGGATGTGGAGCTGCAGGGTGCCAGACAGCCTCCTTGGCACAGCCAGCCCAGCTACAGCTTCGCCCACAAAGAACAGCCACCGCAGGCCACCAGAGTCCCAGAGAGGGAATGATGATAATAAAACAGCAGCAGCAGCTCGGGCAGCCGCCATTCACCAAGTGCTCACTCTGCCAGGCACTTTACCCAAATCAAAGCACAACCACCTCACCATGGAGAGCCTGTGAGACCCCGAGATTTAGAGACAGTGAGAGACTTGTCCAAGATCCCATAGCCAGAAGGGGCCAGAATCAGGCTTTGAACCTGCCTGCCCCAAAGCCTGTCCAGTCTGCCAGGAAGCCGCCTTGATATTCATGGGAGGAGAAGGAACAGGGACCACCATTGCTTCCCTGGCTTCAGAGTTTGGAATGAGGAGTCCTGAGCTCTCCCCCTCACCTGCACGTCAGCCTGCAAGCTCTGCAGGATGCAGGGTCCCAGCCACCTGCCACATCGCTTGGGGTTCTATCTGGAAGTGCCACCAGCTTTCAGAAGCTGCGCCTGAAGCACGAATCAGAATGCTCTTATTTCCACTTAGAAGGAAACCCACGAGTCCCACATGCGCAACAGGATCACGATGAAGCTGTCTTGTTGGTCTAATGCTATACATGTGCAAGTCTCAGATGCGGTGGGGAGGGTGGCAGGGGGCGCGCCAGGAGAGGGGACCCTGGCATAATTCCAGGAGAAGAGCCTTCTGACTCCTGAAGCCTGAGAGGCCACTGGCACGGCACGTGGAGGAGGCGTGGCTTCTCAACCTGTGGGGCGCACCTTCCAACGCCAGCCAGAGTTGCCCTCACATACTCACGCCGCACCACCTGCCCCTGCCTGGTTCCAGCACAGAGGGGCAGGAGGTGGCTGGGAGGAGGTGAGCAAGGGACAGCGTGTCGGGGCGGGGGGGCTCCACCCTGCTCCAATGGGGCCATCAGCTTACAGCTGAAAGGACTTGGGAAGGAAGGGCTTGGAAGAGGGGACTTGAGGGAGAGAGCCCGCTGGCAGCAACAGAACCACCACCACCACACCCCCACCCTCACACTCGCCCTCACACATGCTCACACCCACACACTCACCCTCACACGCTCACCCTCACACACACTCACCCTCACACGCTCACCCTCATACTAAAACATGCTCACACCCCACACTCACCCTCACACTCACCCTCACACGCTCGCCCTCACACTCACACATGCCCACACCCCCACACTCACCCTCACACTCACCCTCATACGCTCACCCTCACACACATGCTCACACCCCCACACTCACCTTCACACTCACCTTCACACTCCACACCCCTGCCGTCACACTTGCCCTCACACATGCTTACACCCCCACACTCACCCTCACCCTCACACACCCTCACACATACACCCCCACACTCACACCCTTACACCTGCTCCCACCCCCACCTTCACCCTCACACACACCCTCACACCCCCACACTCACACTCCCCCTCATACCTGCTCGCACCCCCACACTCACCCTCACGCACACTCACCCTCACACACACCCTCACACACTCACCCTAAAACGTGCTCACATCCCCACACTCACCCTCACACTCACCCTAACACACACCCTCACACGCTCACCCTCACACATACACCCCCCCACACTCCCTCACACCCGTTCACACACTCACCCTAACACGCTCACACACAGCCTCACAAGCTCACTCTCACACTAAAACATGCTCATATCTCCACACACACCCTCACATGCTCACCCTCACACATGCTCACACCCCACTCATCCTCACACTCACCTTCACACTCCACACCCCTGCACTCACACTCGCTTACACCCCCACACTCACCCCCCACCCTCACACACCCTCTTCCTCACACACACCCTCACATGCTCATCCTCACACACACCCACACACCCACACTCACCCTCACACACCCTCTTCCTCACACACACCCTCACACACCCTCACATGCTCATCCTCTCACACACCCACACACCCACTCACCTTCACTCCCACTCCCACACATGCTCACCCTCACACACTCACCCTCACACACTCACCTCACACACACACACCCTCACATGCTCACCCTCACACACCCTCACATACACCCTCACACCCTCACACTTCACACCCCTGCACTCACACACACATCCCACCTTCACACTCACCTTCACACTCCACACCCCTGCACTCACACTCGCACTCACACTCCACACCCTGCCCTCACACTCACCTTCACTCACACTCCACACCCCACCCTCACCCTCACACCCCTGTCCTCACACTCACCTTCATACTCACACACCACCCTCACACACACTCACACACCCCCGCCCTCACATGCTCACCCTCACGTATACACCCCCACACCCTCACACTCTTTCACACTCCACACTCAAGCACTCACACTCATTCGCATACTCTACTCCCCACCCTCACACTCGCACTCCACATCCCCACCCTCACACACCCGTTCTCACACATTCACACATCCCACCCTCATGCTCACCCTCACACACCCCCACCCTCACATGCTCACCCTCACACATGCACCCTACACCCTCGCATTCACCTTCACACTCCACACTCCTGCACTCACACTCGTTCTCACACTCTACACCCTACCCTCCCACTCAACTTCACATTCACAATCCACTTCCCCACCCTCACCCTCACACCCCTGTCGTCACACATTCACACTCACACCCCACCCTCATGCTCACCCTCACACACACACCCCTGCCCTCACATGGTCACCCTCACACATGCACCCCACACCCTTGCATTCACCTTCACACTCCACACTCCCGCACTCACACTCCACACCCCGCCCTCACACTCACCTTCACATTCACACTCCACACCCCCCTCACTTACCTTCACACTCATACCCTTGCCCTCACACCTTCACACTCACACCCCACCCTCACACCCTTACCCTCACCTTCATACTCCACACCCCTACACTCACACTTGCCCTCACACTCCACATCCCCACCCTCACCTTCACACACCCCTGCCCTCACACCTTCACACTCCACCCTCACACCCTCACACACTCACCCTCACACCCCTCCACCCTCACACACCCTCACATACACCCCCACACTCACCCTCACACTCACCTTCACACTCCACACCCCCACACTCACACTCGCCCTCACACTCCACACCCCGCCCTTACACTCACCTTCACACAGTCCACACGCCCACCCTCACCTTCACACACCCTTGCCCTCACACCCTCAGACTCACATCCCACCCTCACACACACCCCACCCTCACCTTCACACACTCCACACCCCCACCCTCACTCACCTTCACACTCACACCCCTGCCCTCACATTCACCCTGACTCACACCCCACCCTCACACACCCCACCCTCACACACCCCACCCTCACACACCCCACCCTCACACACCCTCACACTCACACCCCACCCTCACACTCACCTTCACACACTCCACACCCCCATCCTCACCTTCACACTCACACCCCTGCCCTCACGTTCACCCTCAGACTCACAGCCCACCCTCACACTCATCCTCACACACCCTCACATACTCCATCCTCACACTCACCTTCACACACTCCACACCCCCACCCTCACACTCACCTTCACACTCCACACCTTGCCTTCACACTTTCACACACCCCTGCCCTTACACTCACCTTCACACACTCCACACTTCCACCCTCACACCTTCACTCCACACCCCGCCCTCACACCTTCGCACACCCCCGCCCTCACACTCACCTTCATGCTCACATTCCACACCCCCACCCTCACACTCACCTTCACACTTCACATCCCTGCCCTCACACTCACACCACTGACCTCACACTCTCCCTCACACATGCTCACACCCCCACCCTCACCCTCACACTCACACACATCCTCACCCCACACCCTCACACATGCTCACACCCCCACACGCCCTCACACAACTCACCCTCACACACACCCTCACCCTCACACATGCTCACACCCCACCCTCACACTCACATGCTTACACCCATACACTCACACCCTCACCCTCACACATGCTCACACCCCCACTCACACTTACCTTCACACTCACACATGCTCACACCCCCCACTGACACACCCTCACCATCACACATGCTCACACCTCCCCACACCCTCACATTCACACATGCTGACACCCCCACACTCACACGCTCACCCTCACATGCTCACCCTCCACACACATGCTCATACCCCACACCCTCACACACACCCTCACACATGCTCACACCCCACACCCTCACACTCCCCCCAAACTCACACCCCATACTCACATACTCCACACCCCATCCTCACACTTATGCTGACACCCCTACCCTCACACACCCGACTCTCCTCCCCCCACACCCCACCCTCACACATACGTCCCCACCTTCATACACATACATACACTCACATCACTCACCCCACACCCCCCACACCCTCACACACCCCACACTCACGCCCCTACACACTCCCACAACCACACTTGCATCTCCACTTGAATACTCATATACCCCATATTTACACATACACACGCCACCCTCACAACCATCCACACACACCCCCAGACTCACTTCCACATCCCCACACACTCATACATACACATAACCCCACAATCACACACCCCACACACCCCCACATTCACAGTCACCCCCACAGTCACACTTACATCCTCACACTCCCACTGATGCATACTCCCACAATCAAACCCACACACCAACACCCCCCACCACACGGACATGCACCCCCCACCCTAACACGCTCACAGTCACACACGCTCACACCCATGCACACACACCACACACTTAGACTCATTTGCACACTCAGACCACACTCACGCTCATACACTCTCCTGGCACACTCACCCTCACCTCACACATGGACTGCTGTCCACCAGTACAGGTGGACCCTGTTTTTTTGTCACCTCAGATTTGGCCAACTGATGCCGCCAAGGAGTCTAAAACTGCCCCTTCTCCACCATGGCTGCCCTGACCAGCCAGTTTTGGCCGTGTCCCCAGTGGGGGTCACCTTTCCACGGGATCCAGGACACGCGCCACCTTGCGTCCGAGAGGACGAACTGAAGGCCGTGGCGGCGGTACGCAGAAATGACTCGGTTCTCTTAGGAAGGGCACTCTGTGGCCAAGCACGAGGCATCTGCCTCGATGTGACAGCGGCTCACCCTCACGTAGCAGATCTCCAAGACCAAAACCAGTTGCTCACACCTGGATCTTAATTCCCATGTCCCTCCATGCCCCTGGGACCTGGTGGCCAGGGAAGATGGCTGAGATGGGGCCCCCTTTCCCAGCTAGAAGAAGACAGAGTGAGGACAGCTTGGTCTCCCCTTTGCACTGGAAGCCCCGCAACCTCCTGGACACTAGCCTTCACCTGGCCTTGCTTGTCGGGTCCATGGCACTTGCTCCCCTCCCGCCACCACCTGCAATGGTGTCCTTCAGCCTAATGGTGTCCTTCAGCCTAGCCTTCACCCTGCTGATCCCCACACAGGCCCACAGCCACTCTGACGTCTACTGGGCCTGTGTGCCAGCCAACCTAGAAGCAGGTGCCAGGGTCCATCTGCCCCAGCTGCTCTCCGACCCCTTCATTTCCTCCTCCACATCAAGCTTAAATGGTACATGGTCTTTCCAAATGGAGAGAGAGAGATAGGAAGGGGAGGGAGAGAGAGGACTCTGAGCCTTCAAGGTTGGTGCCTTGACTTGGGGCGGGGTGTACACAACCACGTGCAGCACCTTGTCACATCAGGGAGGGAGTGTAGCCTGCTGGGGAACACGAGGGAGGAGCCTGGGTTGGGTGAGGCCAGGGATGACAGGAGAGATGGAGGACAGGAGAGATGGAGAATGGGAGAGAAGGGAGGACAGGAGCGAAGGGAGGACAGGAGAGATGGAGGATGGGAGAGAAGGGAGGACAGGAGCAAAGGGAGGACAGGAGAGATGGAGGACAGGAGAGAAGGGAGGACAGGAGCGAAGGGAGGACAGGAGAGATGGAGGACTGGAGAGATAGAGGACAGGAGAGAAGGGAGAACAGGAGAGATGGAGGACAGGGGAGATGGAGGACAGGAGAGATGGAGGACAGGGGAGATGGAGGACAGGAGAGATGGAGGACAGGGGAGATTGAGGACATGAGACATAGAGGACAGGGGAGATGGAGGACAGGAGAGATGGAAGACAGGGGCGATAGAGGACAGGGGAGATGGAGGACAGGAGAGATGGAGGACAGGGGAGATGGAAGACAGGGGAGATGGAGGACATGAGAGATAGAGGACAGGGGAGATGGAGGACAGGAGAGATGGAAGACAGGGGCGATAGAGGACAGGAGAGATGGAGGACAGGGGAGATGGAGGACAGGAGAGATGGAAGACAGGGGAGATGGAGGACAGGAGAGATGGAGGACAGGGGAGATGGAGGACAGGAGAGATGGAAGACGGGAGATGGAGGACAGGAGAGATGGAGGACAGGGGAGACGGAGGACATGAGAGATAGAGGACAGGGGAGATGGAGGACAGGAGAGATGGAAGACAGGGGCGATAGAGGACAGGAGAGATGGAGGACAGGGGAGATGGAGGACAGGAGAGATGGAAGACAGGGGAGACGGAGGACAGGAGAGATGGAGGACAGGGGAGATGGAGGACAGGAGAGATGGAAGACGGGAGATGGAGGACAGGAGAGATGGAGGACAGGGGAGATGGAGGACAGGGGAGATGGAGGACATGAGAGGTAGAGGACAGGGGAGATGGAGGACAGGAGAAATGGAAGACAGGGGCGATAGAGGACAGGAGAGATGGAGGACAGGGGAGATGGAGGACAGGAGAGATGGAAGACAGGGGAGATAGAGGACAGGAGAGATGGAGGACAGGGGAGATGGAGGACAGGAGAGATGGAAGACGGGAGAGAGAGGACAGGAGAGATGGAGGACAGGGGAGATGGAGGCAGGAGAGATGGAAGACATGAGAGATAGAGGACAGGGGAGATGGAGGACAAGAGAGATGAAGGACGGGGAGATGGAGGACAGGAGAGATGGAGGACAGGGGAGATGGAGGACAGGAGAGAAGGGAGGACAGGGGAGATAGAGGACAGGAGAGATGGAGCACAGGAGAGAAGGGAGGACAGAAGAGATGGAGGACAGGAGAGAAGGGAGGACTTGGGTAGGCACCCCCCGGAGCAACGGCAGAGTGTTGAGAGCCTGGAGTATTTGGTTGCAGAGAGGAGATGAGGCTGGAGGAAAGGCAGGCTGGATCACCATTGGCCTTGAACACCATGCTAAGTTTGGGATTGATAAAAGCCTTAAAGAGAAATATAAAGTCTCTAAGAGAGGATATTCCCTGGCCATGGGAATGGCCTGGAGGAGGAGAGAATGAATCCAGGCCCAGGCTCATGTTCTAGAACAGCGATTTGAGATGCCTTCTGGGCATAGGCTCCACAGGCCTCAGTGGCCATTTGGATGGGGCAGGGGTCAGAACGAAGGAGAAACCAAGATCCAGAAGTTTCAACTTGGCTCTAGTGGCACCACCCCCGAGCTTGGGGGGAAGTGATGGAGGACTCTAGTCTTTAAGCATTGAGTATGAGATGCCCATGAGGAAGACATGAAGAAACGTCCTTGTGTCAGAAATCAGTGGGACTGAGAAGGGGATATGTAGATTTGGGAGGAGGATGACCCCACAAGACAGAAGAGGGTAGTGCCGACGGCAGAGACCTGGGTGGCACCCAAATTCAAGGGTGGGCAGAACAAATGGCACCCCAAACCCTGCCCTCAAAAAGAGAAAGGTCAGAGAAGCAGGAAACTGGGAGAGAACTGTGGCTTAGCCAAGAGGAGAGGGTTTAGAGGAGGAGGGGCCCATGGCTGGACATCCCAGAGAGCTTGAGGAAGACGGCTGCTGAGGACCCAGGACTTGAAAGAGGGCAGTCCTGGTTCAACGACCTGGAACCTGTGGCTCCTCTGCTCGTTGAAGGCCAGGACCGAGGCTTGTCCAGCTTTGAGGTTCCCAGAGGGTCCAGCCAGGGACAGGCCTATGGCAGCTGTCTATCAGTGTGGACCTCCCCAAGCCTGAGGTAGACCTGCCGGGCTCTGGGTCCAGCTCCTCCTGCGGTGCCAGAGCCCACCCCACCCACTGTCCTCTCCCACAGCTTCCCAGCAGTGTCATTGCCTCCCTCTCCTAGCCCCTTCCACCACCACAGACACAAGCCCAGCTCTCTTCCCATCACAAATCAACCAGCCCCAAGCCTCCCTGGGCCCAAATCCCGGGCCAGCTCTGCTGTCCCTCTTTCCTGCACAGCCCGGATCTGGAGAGGGCTGTCCACACCTCCTCCCCACTCTATGCTTTTGAGCCGCTGCAGCCCAGCTCTGATGACCAACTGTTCTTGCCAAGGTCACAGCTTGCTCCATTGAAAGTCCATTTGCCTCATCCTGTCCGCCCTCTTGCTGGCCTTCTGGAGGCACCTCATTCCCTCCTGCTTGTGTCTCCTTTGCAAGCTCCTTTTTTGCCCACCCTTTCCCATGCCGACATGGCCCCTGCCAGCCTCCGACCTGCACTCTTCTCACCACACACCTTCCCCAGGTGACCCTCCACCTGGGTGCTGATGGCCCCCAGCCACTTCTCTCTCGAGTTCCGATGCCTTTGCTATACATCTAACTGCCTTAGTATCACCTCTGGTGGTTTTCAGGCACCTCATACCTTGCGTGCCCAGAACCAGCCTTCCAAGTCCCTCTACCTGCAGTGTCTGCTCCTGGGTCCCCGTTCTCTCTCAGCAAGCAGCACCTGCACTCGTGTGGCTGGCCAGCCCACAGGCTGGGCTTCATCCTTGATGGCTCCATTTCCTTCATGCTCCATAATCAATCCACCACCACAACCATCAATGCTACATGCAATGCATGCTCCAAGGGTGCCACCTCTCTGTCCCCACCAGCCCTGGCCACCACCCTCTCTCCTATACCACTGCCTCCTTTCTTCACAAAACAGCCAGTAGGAGCTGTCCCCAAATCCATCCAGGCTTACCACTCCTTCCAGCCTAGAGGTCCCACTTCATGCTTCTCCCACTACCATCGGAGCGAAGCCCTGCATTCCTTGGCAGGAAAGGCCCAGGGCACCATCTGCCCTTGCCACCTCCCCAGCTCATCTCCCTCCAATTCCCACTGATCCCCCCATTTCCTGCTGCACTCCCCCTCCAGCCATGCCAAAGGTCACCTGGAGCCTTGCATCCCTGCCCCAGCACCACCCCCTCTCCTGTAAGACCAGCTCCTCCACTCTACCAGAAATTTGCACCAAGGTCCTGTCCTTCGGAGGCCTGTCCCACACCCCTCCTCTGGACCTGGGGATCTCACCCACTTCTGCTCCAGGGCACTTGTCAGACTGTGTGTACTGCAATGGCCTTTTCACAAGCACAGCCCCCATCATCCCTGCGCGGGTGAGGACCACATCTACCTCATTTGTCAGGACATCCCCAGCAGGTGCCCAATACATATTCATTAGCTGCACATCAGAGAGACCAGCGAGGCCTTCTTTCCTGGGGCCTGTGATCCTCAGATTCTAGCCTTGACTTTCCCACTCCAGGAGTTCCTGAGCACAAGTTTAACTCAATGCTGGGCTCCCAAAGGAGGCGGGACACAGGCAGTGCCTCAGAACCTTGATGGGCGCATACGCTGCCCACCTTCTGAGAGGAGTGACTCTGCTCAGAGCGGGAGAGGTGGGCAGGACACTTGGGTCTTGGTTCTGCTCTTGTTGGAACTCGCCAGGTGACCTTGGGCAAGTCACTTTCTTTCCTTCGGAAATAGTCCTCATAACCTGAGACACGGCAGAGCACGGTCACATGGCGGGCATCACTCGATCCTCCCATCAACCATTTTACCATCGTCCCCATTGTATAGAAAAGGGAACCAAGGCCCAGTGGGTTCATTGACATGGCCAAGACCACCCAGCCAGCAATTTTACCACGCAGCACCCTGTTCCCGCACATCATCTAAACACTTTTAGATGATGCCGACCAAGGTTTTGTTAGCATCTTCCCTCTCCCAGGGACCTGTTACACTGCAGACAAATAAGAATGGCATCACTCCCCGCCCAGCCCTTCCAGCCAGCGCTGGGGTGGAACCCCAGGTGTTGACAGCTGTAGAGAAATGCCGGGGAAGAGCCAGGGTGGGAAACCGGAACACCATGATGGGGGTCCCTGGGGATATAGTCCTGCTTGCCTGGTCTGCTGGCCTCTTCCCTCCTCCACCCAAGGCAGCCCTTTGGAGGCCTACGCCACAGGCTGCCCTTTATCAGGGGAGCAAGTGACCAACTTCCCTGCCTGTTCTGAGGCTGCAAGACGGTCCACTGCTGGTGGGTCTGGCAGGGCTGACTTATGGAGTAATTTCTCCCAGTGTCTGGAAGCAGCTTTCTGCCCATGCCTGGGGTCAGGGCAGGACAGAGGCTATGGGGAGGGGTATGGCGAGACCAGGGTCTTCATGGATGGATCTTTTCATTCTTATGCTGTGGCTCTAAGACTCATGGACTCAAAGGAAAAGAAAAAGATCCTTAAACAACCCCTTGATCAGGAGGGTCTTACAATCTTCACTGAATACAGAAGGAAGCAGAAACAGAGAGGTTGAGTGTCTTGCCCAAAGTCACAAGGCAGCTCAAAAGTGGTGACGCAAGGACTGGACCCCAGATCTGACTTGTGTGCCCTGAAGAGCAGCACAGTATGATCTAGTGTGATGTCCTCTCCTGCCCCCGGCAACTTCTCCTGCAATCCCCATGGCTGGTGATACTGAGCTGCCTGTGAACCATCAGCACATGATATCTTGGGTTGTAGCAGACCCACAGCTTCTGCTAAGCACAAAGGAACTCGGCACAGAGCCCCCAAAGGACGTGACACGTTCCTCTGCTCAAGATGTCAAAGAGGGGTTGTGGTGGAAATTGCATGGCATTTCAGGCAAGGTGATGGAGGAGGTTGTTGTTCCCGGACTCTGAATATAACAAAAGATGGAAAGAAGCTGCTCTGCCATGCAGTGGGCTCCCCGTCACTAGCACTGTCCACCTAGAGACCAGATGAATAGGCTATGAGGTCTTCTAGTAGTAGGTAGTAGGTAGAATAGCATTATTCTACTACTCCTAGCTAGTGGGAGGGAATTCATGACGTCTACGTGCTCAGGACACGTCCAGCACACCGACAGAGCGGCTTTGGGTGGATTAGCTTGTGTATGAGTGTCATAACATTGTAAAGTGGATATATTTAGTTCACTTGGATATATTTAGTTTAGCATATTTGTTCCAGTAAATATAAGTGGCTATATTTACTCCTAAGACCAAGTGGAGGCTCAGGGCACTAGAGGGGGATGGGCTGGCAACATGATCAAGCAAAGCAGGGGAGGCGTAGGAGGGGACGCGGTGGGGACTGTGGTGACCTGGGAGGCAGGGCATATCCCTCTCTGAAGGGGCAGTGGCTATTCCTGTCCTGCCAAATGTCACATGAAGTTGTTACATCTTCCAGTTTTTTCAATGAAACCACAGATTCAGATTTTTAAAAAAAAACTAAAAATATTAGCAAACTCTTACACTGGGTGCCAAGCACGATTTTAAATGCTTTACATGCATTACCTCATTAAATCACATGACAGCCCTATGTGATGGGGCTGTCATGATTCCCATTTACACAGGAGAAAACAGTCCCAGAGAGGTTAAATAACCTGCCCAAGGTCACACAGCCAGTTAATGGAGTCAGAATTTGAACTCAGGTCACCTGGCTACAAGGTTCATGTGCTTAACTGCTGTGCAATTCTGTTTTTTAAAAAACACTGTGTAAGTCAAATAAAATACAAGAGGCGGATCCAGCCTGGAGCTAAACTTCTGGCTCAAAGTAATTTCCCCAAGGTCATATAGCTAGTCAATAGGGGCATGTCTGACCTTCAAGCCCGTGACTTTTCACTCCACCAAGCTGCATTATTTTCTGAAATGAAGGGATGAACTCAATGGCCTCCAAGTTACCTTCTTAATCTGAGATTCTATGTATTAAGCTATTCTGCATTTATATTATGACTTTTCCACCTATTATTCATATTTAATTAGAAAACTCTTGCATCTCTTCCAAGTCTGGATATTTTAAAGGTTTGCTGCATTTCTGATTTTATTATGATCTGGTTGCCAAATATGCTTTCCTCCCAGGGGGCACACTTCTTGGGTGTAGTCAGTCATGCAAAGCAAGAGGAAGATGTGACGAGCAATGCACACACTGTTGCTCTGAGACCCACTTTGGCGGGCAGCCTGTGTCCGTGAAGTGAGGCTCAGGGCCAGTTCCCAGAGGTCTGGTACCCTGGGAGGTCCAGCCATGGTGAGCTGGCTGGCTTGTCCGCAGTGACACGCTGCTCTTCGAGTGAAACTCACAGAAGAATGGATGTCTGTGGAAAGAGAGGAAAGTGCCAGGTGGTACAGCCTGCTGAGCTGTGTCTCTCTTAAAAATATTCAGTGGCCAAGAGGTAGTAGACACATCCCCTGGTGGAAAGTAAACTGGGGAGGCCATGTGGGTCATGGGGAAAGTTCACACTGGTTTCTGGGTACACCCCAGATTCTCCTTTTGTTGGGGTTCTGCAGAAACTACATCATGTCATAACGCTCAGGCTGGGGGCCATTAGGTGCACCCTCAGGGACAGGCCACTGTGCCAGGAATTCCACGGCACGCAGGCACAGAGCCCACCAGCACAGTCTCTGTTCTAAACAGCGACGTGAGCTGCAAGCATGTGAATTTACTCAACAGTATTTCCTAAGGTCTGGTCTGAGCCTGGCGCTGGGCCAGGGCCAGAAATATAAAGCTAAATAAAACCCTGACCTTGGTCTCAAGTGTGACTAACAGGCACTTAAAAGATCGTAAAGCAAAGAGATGGAAACAGTAATACAGACAATGAGCAAAGTGCTACGGATGATGAGAGGAGGAACCAGTGGGGGTGGGTGTCAGGTGGCTTCTGCAGAAGAAACACCTTTGTCTGAGACTTTTTGGGTGCACAGGGTCAGACCTGAGACTCCTGTTTTATGAGTCTCCGCCTGAGTGCAGTGTGGAGGATGGTGTGGGTGGGGAGGTCTGGAGGCCAGGAGAGGCTATTGTGACTGTAGAGAGCCCAGCTGGACAGAGGCGAGGGCAAGAGGAAAGAGGACCTAGATATGAGACAGTTCAGCAGTGGCCCGACAGAAATAAGAGGGGAGAGTGGGTCAAGGATGCCTTCTTATACACCTTCCAGAAGGATTCTTGCTGATGAGGCAAGCTCTTGTCATTTTGCAGGCTTGCTACCTACAGTGGCATTTTCACCATTTCCTGGGTTTTACTATTGTGATTTTTTTAATACTAGGAAAACATCAGCTCCCAGTGGCAGCAGCTGGGAAGATGGCAGCAGCTCAGGGGTCTAATGCCCAGCACAGCTCTAAGAATAGCAAACGCCTTTATTCTACAGAATTGGATATGATAGGTGGAGGTCCTGTGGAGTGACTTCTGGGTGACGAAGAGCAGAGGCCTAAGAGCCAGCAAGCAGGCACCAAGCCTGGGCTGAAGCCAGCTTGGGTCTGTCAAACACAGCCGATACCCCATTTCTGACCAGATAGTGGGGTTAGGGAGGCAGGCAGGAATGGGTTGAAATGAAATGAAACTGTCAGAGGAGTGGATGCCTTCACTGCGAACATTAGGTGGAGTTGCTCCAGCCATGAGCAGCCCTGGCCTGCAGGGTTCTAGAACAGTGACTTCCAATCTGTGCTCCGGATTCATGGGGCATGGGGGTGGGGAAGCCGAGCAGTGGGGCCCTGGGTCCTCCTCCCCCACCCACAGCAGCTCTGGATTGCGTTGGTTTTCAGAGTGAGTATGTATGTAAACTGAACTTTGTAAAAAGGAGTTATGTGAATGTAAAAACAATTTGAAAATTACTGTTAGAGAACATTCATGCTTGGAAGTTCCTTAAAACCTCTGATGCAGAGAAGCCTGCTGCATCCTTGGATTAGGCCATTTTCAGGTGGATCCCGTCCACACCCTCCCACAGGTGCATATTCCTCCGGCACCAGGGGACTCACAGTTTCCCAGCAGCTCCTGCGACTTCTGGGCAGCTCTCTCACTATTAAGCTGAAGTTGTCAACCTGTGCTCACACCCATGCTCTGAGCTCTGGGCAGTCCAGCTCCTCCTTCACACAAGTCTCCAAAAGCCATGATGCTGCTCGAGACTTCTTTCCTCCAGTCTCAGCATTTCCATGTCCTCAAACAATTCCACATGTGAGAAATTCTCCCCAAACTGTCCATCTTCTCCCAGAATGGCCCAGAGCACAGAAGCCCTCAGGTGGGGCTGGACCTAGCCCAGGCCGATGCAGGACCATGGTCTCCTCTTTCCACTATTCCAGCCTCACTCCCTTATGTCCCAGACCCAGAATGGGGAAGTCACTAACTAGACCCTGAAGAGGCGGGAGCCTGTCTGGTGCTCCACACCACACAAATGGCCAGAGCTGGGAGGGCTGAGGCCTCCCCAGACCACCTGACCTCACAGTGACCAGGCCCTCGCTATGTGCCACACGCTTTCCGTAGGATATCTCCTTTCTTCTTGGTTAACATTTATGAACACTTCTTCTTCTCATTATTATTTTTGCTAAAAACCGCTAAAAAAAGTCAACCAGGGTCATAGGTGAAACCTTTCATCACATAAAAATAAACAGCTACAATTTGTTAAGTGCTGACTCTGTAGTAGGCACTTTTTACAGAAATTATATCGTAGAAACCTTGGTACAATTCTATGATGACAGTGCTGAGTACGAATAGCAGGTATTGAGGCAGAAAGGCCAGTTGGAGACTGGCTTAGAAAAGCCTCAGTGCCCGGCTCTAAAATTCAGCCAGCGTCTTACAGGTGGTGAAGGAGAGGAAAGGAAAGGTGTACTGTCAGAGGTGGGACCTGCGGAGCTGCAGCTGGAAGCCCCCCATTGGGGCTGTGCGGGGCAGCAGCCAGAGAGGACACTGACCAAGGCTCTCTCTAGTAGCAGCTGACACTATGCGTACACCAGGTGCCTGGCCAACGCTGGGCTACTACAACCTGAGACCTCGGTGTTCCTGGCTGCACAGAAACACACATATGCTGAGGTACACATTAGGTAAGAAAAGGCTGTGAACAGTTTTAAATCCTGCAATGAGCTCAAGGTGTCAGCACCATGAAGGCCGTGAAACAGTTTTTGATCTATCTGAATGGGGCAAGGTAGCCAGGGCTCATGAAGGCAGTTGGTTGGCATCTCTTGCAGCTGTCCTTACAGATTAAACCTGAAGAACACTGGGTTGGGGCGTGGGGGAGGATACATGCTCAGACCCCAGAGTTACTCCAATCTGGAAAGGAGACGGATAGAGAAGGCATTCTAATTTCTGCATGACAACAGGCACCTTCTTACCCCATACCCCAAGCAGATCTGTTCCCCACCAGTTAAGATTACAGGAGAAACAGGGACCAAGGAAAACCTGTCTTTGGACACCTCAGGTCATATCTGTGACCACTGTCTCAGCCTCCTGGGAGGTAGCTCAGCCAAAAGGCAGAACCAGGCATGGAGGAAGATCCGGGCTCCCTTTAAGAAAGAGTTTTCTGACCCCAGGGCTACAAACTTGGAAAAAAGCAAGCCTGAATGGTAGTGAGCTCCCCAACAGGTCTAGTATTCAAGCCCAGATTAAATGACAATGTAAGTCTGGGGCAAAATAGATTCTAATGGTAGGAGCTGGGCTGGACTCCAGGTCCAGCGGGTTTAGCTGGACTCTAAATGGACACTGCAACCACACTGGTGCTCCAGACATAAACAGCCAGTAGGTGAGTGGGTGGGAAAACAGGAAGGAAGGGAGGGTGTGGTCACGGCTCAGAGGACTGAGGTGGCCTGTCTGATTAGGACGCTGCGAGTGCAGTGGTTAGGCATGGGGTGTTGATGCATCAGACTGCCGAGTTCAAATCCTGCCTCCTCCGACCAGCTGTGTGATCCTGAGCAAGCACCCGCCCATGGAGGGTGTGCTGATGCTGCCCAGAGGAGACCAGCTATGGCTGTGGCTGTGGGATGGTTTTACTATTACACCTCCCAGCTGTTATTCTCAGACTGAGCCACCTCTTCCAATGAAAGCCCTATTTCTCTAATCCACTCTATGGAAATGTGACTTTCCCAACTCAAAGTGGGTTTTCCTTGCAGCGAGCTATTTAGGGATGCCTGTTGTGAGTCCTTTTGTGGAAGGAAGAATCCCTTTGTGAGCCCCATGGCTGCCCTCCAGTGACTGGTGAGTCTGTGTGTTGTGGCCGTGACAGGCTGTCCACATCGCCTCCCTCCTGAATCCCCACAGCAGATCTGCAGGCCTCTCAGCAGATCACCCTGCCTGGAATGCTCTCCTTCCCTCTTTCTGATGAAGCTCCAGTTCTCCCCTGAGCTCAGATCCAACCCCAGCTTCTCAGAAGCTTCCCCTGACCCTGAGATGGGTCATGCTCTCCAGGTCCACCTTTTCTATGGGCAGTAGAAAACAGAGCTGGGCTTACCAGACAGAACTCCTGAGGCGGAAACCAGCCTCTGTCCCTTATTAGCTGTGTGACCTTGGGCAGGTTACTTAACCTCTCTGTGCCTCAGTTTCTTCATCTGTAAAATAGGGATAATGTCCTATTTCTTGACCTGTGGGTAACTGGGCACAATTCCATAGGTATGTTCACTCTGTAATAACTCATGGTTGTATACTTATGACTTGGATTGTTTTTTGTATGTATGATCTGTTTCAATTAGAAAATTACTACAAAATAATAGCATATGCTCCAAGAGGTGTTGCACATTTTACTTAGTTAATATAGGTTATGTGCTTGGAAGAGTGCCTAGCACCGAGTGGGGCTCAATCAGTATTTGCTGTATCTGGCACTCTGCCTTGATAGCACTCATTACAGTCAGATTCATTCTTCAATAGTGGAAGGAAAACCAAGTGCCCCAGATTTCAATAGGTTCAGAAGCCTGGAGATGTCTCCCTCACCCACCTCAAAAGCGAAGCTAATGGTTTCGTGCTAAGAGGCTGGCTCAACTGTCTAGCCCTGGCAATATTGGGACCAGTTGATGGAGTAAGAAGTCACGATGGAGTCTCTCTACCATCTCCTCCTTCTCTCCAGCCATGGCCAGGTTTGCGGAGGAATCCATAACATGCTGATGGGGATACAGAAGCCCTTGGAAGCTCTCCAAGATCACAGCCAAGGGGACCATGAACTTCCCAGGACCCCCCCGCTGGAGGATGATGGAAATGACCACACTCATGCCAGGATGGGGTCCGAGGCGCAGGAAGCTCCTCACAGAGAAGATTCCTTTGTGCCCATCTCTCCTGATGAGAGTCTTGTCCCCAGGAAGGTCAATATTCCGATGAAGTAGAAGAGGAGCAGCATGAGGAAGAGGAAGATGATGAAGGTGACGAGGATGTAGAGGAAAGAGAGGATGCAGACAGAAACATCGTCACAGAGCCACAGTATCCTGCAGAGGCAGAGGCAGTGCAAGGGGATGATGGCAGGGAACAAATTCCAGGGATGAAGACAGAGCCGCCAACATGGAATGTGAAGCATTTCAGCTTCCAAACTTTGACACTGAATACAGTGCTGAAGAGCAGGCTTCAGTTCCTCCTATGACACATGATCCGTATGACACGGAGCTTGAACCACTCTTCCACTTTTAAAATGGCTATCAGTGGGATGCAGGATCATGGTCCAGATTAACAATACGCAGGGGGCAATAAAAGCCTCAGGAAAGTTAACCTAACTGTTAGGTTTCTATCGGGATAACGGAGGCGCAAAATGGGTGACATGTTTAGAAGAAACTCCAAGATGAAGAATAAAGGGGTTTGCTTATCTGCACTTGACAAACATGAAGCAGGAATCCCTTGGTGAGATGGTAGGCTGGACCATGCGCACTATAGATCTGTAAGTAGCCCCTCACCTACCCGCTGCCTTAAATGTCTGACCACTCAAAGTGGGGGCCAAATTAGTGTCCTCACCAGCAGAAAGTGGGGTCGAGGAGTCAAGGCACAGCCACGAGCTGGCGTGATTCAGCTCCTGCTCCTGCCTGCTGATCCTGTCTCATCTTCCCTTCAGTTCAAAGTACTTAATGGTTTGGGCAGTTCTTAGCATGACAGATGGACAGATGGTTTTCACGGAGGTAGGCAGGGTGAAAAATGTGGTTCTGAAAAGCTTCCAGAGCTTGTATGTAAAGATCAGACTGTGAGAGTTGTCACTGCTGGCCCGGCTATCCCTCAGGAAAGCCATTTCTATGAAAACTTGTCAGAGATTAAAGGAGGTGGTAACCAGTTAGCAGAGAACACTTTGTCTCTTCCCAGTCACATGTGGGTAACTGGCTGTGTAACCTAGGCCCAGGCCCTTGCCCTCTCTGGTCTCCAGCCACCTCACTGACTCTACAAGGCCTCATAGCTCCAGGGGGTGAGCATAGACCCCTCAACACCTGGGGGCTCCTTATTTAGGTCCTTCCTGGTGTATCCATATTGAGACTGGGGCTAGACCCTCTTGAGAGCTGCACAGTGAACCTGACCACAACCCAGATGCTGGAAACGAGAAAGCAAGATCAGAATAGGGAAATGAGGTGGAGGCTGCTATAGACGTGGCTCTTTGGTCTCCTCCAATGTAAGCGCAGGGGAAGTGGAGATGCTTCTTCGCCGTGTTGAAAGTTTTTCGTTGACTGGGATCAGCACCTCCTACAATGGTCCAATCTCCTGCTCAGTCTTTGTCATGCTGTTCTCCTCAGGCCTTCATATCTTGGAGCTGGTGGCCTTGCTGTTGTTCATTCCAGTCATAAGGGCTCCTCCTGGTGCTGCAAGCCATAAAGGATTTTACAGGTCCTGACACAGCCACCAAAGGGTCGTCTTTATCTTCTGTTGGAGTAGGAAGCAACACCTTTATTGATCAGAGCACCATGCCACCTTTATGATCAAGATGAAGAGGAACGTCTCTCCAGCCCCAAGGTATGCCTGTACCTCGTGGCTAACTGGACCCCACACTGCTCAGCCATTTTCTGCATGGGATAGACAGCAGCAGCCGCAAGAACACAAACGAACATCTGTGATCCTCTAGCACTACAGTGCATTCTCCTCACTCCAGGACCTCCTCATCCTTACTAGAAACCAGTGAGGGGGGTTATGTCAGTCCTCTTTTTCAAGTGAGGAAATGGAGGTTCAGAGAGGTAAAGTCACTTGCCTGAGGTCACACAACCAGTGGGCAGGAAAAGAAGGGCACCAATCCCCCCTCTTTGAATTGATTAAACACCCTCTGGCTCTCATGGTTGAAGATGTTGCTAGTGAGAGAACTATTCTCTAGGGCATGGAATAACTGGACAGGGAGGGGGATGTCTCTCCACAGCAAACCCTCACCATAGGCCCCAGTGAAGCACCACGACCACCTCTACCACCATCACTACCATCACCACCACCATCACCGCCACCACTATCATCGCTACTACCATCACCACCACCACTACCACCACTACTACCACCACCACCACCTCTACCACCACTGCTACCATCACCACCACCACTACCACCTGTACCACCACCGCTACCATCACCACCACTACCACCACCATCACCACCACTACCACTACCTCTACCTCCACTGCTACCATCACCACCACCACTACCACCTCTACCACCACCATCACCACCACCACTACCACCACCACCACCACCACCACCACCACCACTACCACCTCTACCACCACCATCACCACCACCACTACCACCTCTACCACCACCATCACCACCACCACCACTACCACCTCTACCATCACCACCACCACCACTATCACCGCCACCACCATCGCTACCATCACCACCACCACCACTACCACCACCACCACCACCAATACCACTACCACCACCATCACTACCACCACCACCAACATCACCACCTCTACCATCGCTACCATCACCACCACCACCACTACCATCATCACCACTACCACCATCACCACCAACACCACCTCTACCACCATCGCTACCATTACCACCATCACCAACACCACCACCACCACTATCGCCACCACCACCATCGCTACCATCACCACCACCACCAATACCACTACCACCACTACCACCACCATCACTACCACCACCACCATCACCACCTCTACCACCATCGCTACCATCGCCACCATCACCACTATCACCACCACCATCATCGCCACCATCACCACCACCACCACTACCACCACCACCAATACCACTACCACCAATACCACCATCGCTACAATCACCACCACCACCACCTCTACCACCATTGCTACCATCACCACCACCAACACCACTACCACCAGCATCACCACCACTACCACCATCGCTACCATCACCACCACTACCATCACCACCACCACCATCACCATCACTACCATCACCACCACCACCACCACCATCACCATCACCACCACCACCACCATCACCACCACTACCATCACCACCACCATCACCACCATCACCACCACTACCACCCCTGCCACAGCCACCACCACCACCATCACCACCATCACCACCACCACCACCACCACCACCAATACCACTACCATCACCACCATCACCACTGCCACCACCACCACTACCATCACCACCACCACCACCACCACCATCACCACCATCACCACCACCACCACCACCACTACCATCCTCAGCATTCACTGGACATTCCAGTCCTGGCCCTAGTCACAGAGAGGAACAGTAACAGGGTCTCACCAGAGCCTTGCCATGCAGAAAGCTGACAGTTGGAAAATGCAGAAAGTAGGGCTCCCAGTTAATGGCAGTGAGGTGTGAAGGAAAGGACACAGGCTTTGAAGCCAAACACGGCTGAGTGTGAATCCCAGCTCTGCTCCTTACAACCTGAGTGACCATGGCCCCTCTGAGTTTAGTGCTTACTTCTGTGCCTGGAGCATGTAAGTCCTTCAGTCAACAGTGACTGCAGATGGGGTGGAGGGTGGGCAGCAGGGCGGGTGACTACAGCTGGAACAGGCTCAGTCCCTGGGGACCACGTGCTGCACCTCAACCAGTGGTCCCCAGAGGTGAAGTTGTTCGAGGTCCCTCCTGAGTGTGCAAAGTGAGGACTGTAGTGGAGAAGGCGGGGGGCTCAAGTCTCCCAGGAGCTGCCTCTCTCTACCCCAATCTGTGCTCGAATCAGCTCCCTTCATGGCCTGAGAGTGGGAAATTCAGGGCACAGAAAAGCAAGGAGTGCTCTTCTCAGCAGGCTCAGAGCTGACAGAGAAGGGTTCCCGAGACAGAACAGATGCAGCTGTCCAGAGGACCTGGCATCATTCTCAGAACAGACATGCCAGGAAGTTTCTAAGTGAGGAGCCCCCAGGTGTGGAGGGACCTGTGCTCATCTCCTGAAGCTGTGAGGCCTTGTAGAGTCAGCAAATTGGCTGATGACCAGAGCAGACAAAGGCCTTGCCCAAGGTCACACAGCCATTGGCAGCAGAGCCAAGACTACAAACCTAGACTTCTGCTTCTTGAAGCAGGGCTGATGTAACTGGGTGTGGCCTTGCTACAGATGACCACTCACTCCTTACATGCCTCCCTGCATCAGGCCTGGTGCCCAGTAAAGAAATGGATCAATGCATTGTCTCCAGAAAGCTTGTAGGCAGCTCTCCAGCAGCACTGGCCCGGCCTGGATGCAGTGTCACTTGCAAATACTACTTAAAGCACGTGTAGTGCCTTTCAGAGAAGCCATCAGCCAGGAGGCAGCCCTGTGACTAGAATCAAGCCCAGATGCAGTCATTCCAAATGACAGAAAGAGAACAGCACTTGCTCACACTGACTGCAGATCTACGCAGTGCTCATCGGGAGTGGTGGGAGGTGCTGAAGTGTCCTCTAGTCTCCTGGCTTTTCATGACAGCCCTGTGAGGTAGAGAGAGCTGTCCCTATTCTGCAGATGTGGACACTGAGCTAAGAGAGGCACAGTGACTTGCCCTCAGCCACACAGCTAGTAGGAGGTGACACCATATCACACTGAAGATCATCCTGCCCAGGCTTGCGGATTTAAACTTCCATGTTTTAAAGCATCTACGGATTTTATTAACTGTACCTTCCCTGCCTGTGGGCTCAAAAGATGGCCAGCAGAAGAAGCATAGTTTGCCTGAAGCAAACAGAAAATAGTAAAAGTCAAGCTAAGGGAAAATAATCAGTCGGTCTTGGGGTTTGGAAGGATAGCTGTTGACAAGCAGGCAGTGGCAGGGTTGGGGAGGGCCAGGGAGGCTCCAGGGAATGGGGGTGCCTGGCCTGGGCTTTGAAGATGAAGAAGGGGAAATGGCCCTGCAGGTGGAGGGGATGGCAGGAGCAAAGGCACAGAGGCAGGGATGCTTGGGATCCACCGAGGGAATGGCTTGGCTGGTAGAGCGAGGAGCCCGAGGAGGTGGCCTGGGGCCAAGGCAGCCTCCGGCACTCTGGAGGGACCTGGGGACCAGCACAGACTCCTGCTGGGCCAGGCGTTAGGGCCAACCATGTGGCAGAGTTATAGCAATACCAGGCTTTGGGGATTTATTTAAAAAAGCCCACAGAGCATTTATAATTTACAATAATTGACAATAATTTTCATGTATTCATTGCCACTCTCCCCTCACAAAAGTGAGATGAGTGATGTGGCCTCTTCCATTTGATGGAAAAGAAGCAGATATCCTTTCCTCCACACTCCACGGACACCTTCCACCTGACCATGGGCTCCCAGGCCCCTCCCAGGCTGCCCACTGCTTCCCCTCCTCTCTGGCCATCCCCCACTCCAGCCTCCCTAGCACCCCTTTCCTGCACGGTGCTAATGCTCTGTCCAGCCTCCGACCTTTGACCCTGCCAGTTCCTCCAGATGGAACAATCCTCCCTCCCCTTCCATCCCCATGCCTTTGTTAACTGCCCCAATCCTCAGACCTCAGCTCGAATGCCAGGTCCTCAGAGGTGCTTTCTGAGCCTTCTGTGACCCTCCCAATCAATGGCCTCATGTGCAAAGCAGTCCAGGAGGTGCCAGAACTGGGCTGCAGGACTCAGACAAGCTAATGTGTGTATGTGTGTGTTGAGCATTGACATGTCCCAAGCACCATGCAGTCCTTAGAATGACACATGCTGTGGTAGCGATCACTCTCCCCACCCTGCAGATGAGAAAGGGATTCACAGGGGCATTAAGTAACTTGCCCATGACCACATGCCTGCGCTCTTGGCTCCCAGCCACTCCTGCCTTCATCCTGTCCTGCCAGCTTCCTCCAGGTGCTCTGCAACCTCAGCTTTGTGTGTCTGTCTGGGCTCCAAGCTGCTCATACTGCACTTTTTTAAGCAACTCTTTTTAAAATTGTGGTAACAAATACACAACCTAAAATGTACCACTTGAACCATTTTGGGTTTGTTTTTTTTTTTGAGACCGAGTTTTGCTCTTGTTGCCCAGGCTGGAGTATAGTGGCCCGATATCGGCTCATTGCAACCTCCACCTCCCAGGTTCAAGTGATTCTCCTGCCTCAGCCTCCTGGGTAGCTGGTATTACAGGTGTGTGCCACCATGCTGGCCAATTTTTTGTATTTTTAGTAAAGACGGGGTTTTACCATGTTGGCCAGGCTGGTCTCGAACTCCTGACCTCAGGTGATCCACCCCACCTCAGCCTCCCAAAGTGCTGGGATTACAGGAGTGCACCACTGCGCCCAGCCCTTGAAACTTTTTATTTTCCAACTCATTATTTTATTTTATTTTATTTTATTATACTTTAAGTTCTAGGGTACATGTACACTAAGTGCAGGTTTGTTACATAAGTATACATGTGCCATGCTGGTTTGCTGCACCCATTAACTAGTCATTTACATAAGGTAATGCTATCCCTAATGCTATCCCTCCCCCTGCCCCCCACCCCCCAACAGGCCCCGGGGTGTGATGTTCCCCATCCTGTGTCCAATGTGTTCATTGTTCAATTCCCACCTATGAGTGAGAACATGCGGTATTTCGTTCTCTGTCCTTGTGATAGTTTGCTCAGAATGATGGTTTCCAGCTGCATCCATGTCCCCACAAAGGACATGAACTCATCCTTTTCTATGGGTACATAGTATTCCATGGTGTATATGTGCCACATTTTCTTAATCCAGTCTATCATTGATGGGCATTTGAGTTGGTTCCAAGTCTTTGCTATTGTGAATAATGCCACAATAAACATATGTGTGCATGTGTCTTTATAGTAGCATGATTTATAATCCTTTGGGTATATACCCAGTAATGGGATTCCTGGATCAAATGGTATTTCTAATTCTAGATCTTTGAGGAATTACCACACTCTCTTCCACAATGGTTGAACTAGTTTACACCCCCACCAACAGTGTAAAAGTGTTCCTATTTCTCCACATCCTCTCCAGCATCTGTTGTTTCCTCACTTTTTAATGATAGCCATTCTAACTGGTGTGAGATGGTATCTCATTGTGGTTTTGATTTGCATTTCTCTGATGACCAGTGATGATGAGCATTTTCTCATGTGTCTGTTGGCTGCATAAATGTCTTCTTTTGAGAAGTGTCTGTTCATATTGTTTGCCCACTTTTTGATGGGGTTGTTTGTTTTTTTCTTGTAAATTTGTTTAAGTTCTTTGTAGATTCTGGATGTTAGCCCTTTGTCAGATTGGTAGATTGTAAAAATTTTCTCCAATTTTGTAGGTTGCCTGTTCACTCTGATGGTAGTTTCTTTTGCCGTGCAGAAGCTCTTTAGTTTAATTAGATCCCATTTGTCTATTTTGGCTTTTGTTGCCATTGCTTTTGGTGTTTTAGACATGAAGTCCTTGCCCATGCCTATGTCCTGAATGGTATTGCCTAGGTTTTCTTCTAGGGTTTTTATGGTTTTAAGTCTAACATTTAAGTCTTTAATCCATCTTGAATTAATTTTTGTATAAGGTGTAAGGAAGGGATCCAGTTTCAGCTTTCTACATAGGGCTAGCCAGTTTTCCCAGCACCATTTATTAAAAAAGGGAATCCTTTCCCCATTTCTTGTTTTTGTCATGTTTGTCAAAGATCAGATGGTTGTAGATGTGTGGTGTTATTTCTGAGGCTTCTGTTCTGCTCCATTGGTCTATATTTCTGTTTTAGTACTAGTACCATGCTGTTTTGGTTACCGTAGCCTTGTAGTATACTTTGAAGTCAGGTAGTGTGATGCCTCCAGCTTTGTTCTTTTTGCTTAGGATTGACTTGGCAGTGCGGGCTTTTTTTTGGTTCTATATGAACTTTAGTTTTTTCCAATTCTGTGAAGAAAGTCATTGGTAGCTTGATGGGGATGGCATTGAATCTATAAATTACCTTGGGCAGTATGGCCATTTTCACAATATTGATTCTTCCTATCCATGAGCATGAAATGGTCTTCCATTTGTTTGTGTCCTGTTTTATTTCATTGAGCAGTGGTTTCTTTGTAGGTCTCCTTGAAGAGGTCCTTCACATCCCTTGTAGGTTGGATTCCTAGGTATTTTATTCTCTTTGTAGCAATTGTGAATGGGAGTTCACTCATGATTTGGCTCTCTGTTTGTCTGTTATTGGTGTATAGGAATGCTTGTGATTTTTGCACATTGATGTTGTATCCTGAGACTTTGCTGAAGTTGCTTATCAGCTTAAGGAGATTTTGGGCTGAGATGATGGGGTTTTCTAAATATACAACCATGTCATCTGCAAACAGGGACAATTTGACTTCCTCTTTTTCTAATTGAATACCCTTTATTTCTTTCTCTTGCCTGATTGCCCTGGCCAGAACTTCCAACACTATGTTGAATAGGAGTGGTGAGAGAGGGCATCCCTGTCTTGTGCCAGTTTTCAAAGGGAATGCTTCCAGTTTTTGCCTATTCTGTATGATATTGGCTGTGGGTTTGTCATAAATAGCTCTTATTATTTTGAGATATGTTCCATCAATACCTAGTTTATTGAGAGTTTTTAGCATGAAGTGCTGTTGAATTTTGTTGAAGGCCTTTTCTGCATCTATTGAGATAATCATGTGGTTTTTGTCGATGGTTCTGTTTATGTGATGGATTATATTTATTGATTTGTGTATGTTGAACCATCCTTGCGTCCCAGGGATGAAGCCACGTTGATCGTGGTGGATAAGCTTTTTGATGTGCTGCTGGATTCAGTTTGCCAGTATTTTATTGAGGATTTTTACATCGATGTTCATCAGGGATATTGGTCTAAAATTCTCTTTTTTTTTGTTGTGTCTCTTCCAGGCTTTGGTATCAGGATGATGTTGGTCTCATAGAATGAGTTAGGGAGGATTCCTTCTTTTTCTATTGCTTGGAATCGTTTAAGAAGCAGTGGTTCCAGCTCCTCTTTGTACCTCTGGTAGAATTGGGCTGTGAATCCATCTGGTCCTGGACTGTTTTTGGTTGGTAGGCTATTAATTATTGCCTCAATTTCAGAGCCTGTTATTGGTCTCTTCAGAGATTCAGTTTCTTCCTGGTTTAGTCTTGGGAGGGTGTATGTGTCCAGGAATTTATCCATTTCTTCTAGATTTTCTAGTTTATTTGCATAGAGATGTTTATAGTATTCTCTGATGGTAGTTTGTTTTTCTGTGGGATCAGTGGTGATATCCCCTTTATCATTTTTTATTGCGTCTATTTGATTCTTCTCTTTTTTCTTCTTTAGGAGTCTTGCTAATGGTCTATCAATTTTGTTGATCTTTTAAAAACACCAGGTCCTGGATTCATTGATTTTTTCTGAAGAGTTTTTGTGTGTCTCTATCTCTTTCAGTTCTGCTCTGATCTTAGCTATTTCTTGCCTTCTGCTAGCTTTTGAATTTGTTTGCTCTTGCTTCTCTAGTTCTTTTAATTGTGATGTTAGGGTGTCGATTTTAGATCTTTTCTGCTTTCTCTTGTAGGCATTTAGTGCTATAAATTTCCCTCTACACACTGCTTTAAATGTGTCCCAGAGGTCCTGGTACATTGTGTCTTTGTTCTCATTGGTTTCAAATAACATCTTTATTTCTGCCTTCATTTCGTTATTTATGCAGTAGTCATTCAGGAGCAGGTTGTTCAATTTCCATGTAGTTGTGCGGTTTTGAATGAGTTTATTTATTTATTTATTTTTTCATTATTACTATACTTTAAGTTTTAGGGTACATGTGCACAACGTGCAGGTTACTTACATATGTATACATGTGCCATGCTGGTGCGTTGCACCCACTAACTCGTCATCTAGCATTAGGTATATCTCCCAATGCTATCCCTCCCCCCTCCCCCCACCCCACAACAGTCCCCAGAGTGTGATGTTCCCTTTCCTGTGTCCATGTATTCTCATTGTTCAATTCCCACCTATGAGTGAGAATATGCGGTGTTTGGTTTTTTGTTCTTGCAATAGTTTACTGAGAATGATGATTTCCAATTTCATCCATGTCCCTACAAAGGACATGAACTCATCATTTTTTATGGCTGCATAGTATTCCATAGTGTATATGTGCCACATTTTCTTAATCCAGTCTATCATTGTTGGACATTTGGGTTGGTTCCAAGTCTTTGCTATTGTGAATAATGCTACAATAAACATACGTGTGCATGTGTCTTTATAGCAGCATGATTTATAGTCCTTTGGGTATATACCCAGTAATGGGATGGCTGGGTCAAATGGTATTTCTAGTTCTAGATCCCTGAACTCACACCAGTTAGAATGGCAATCATTGAGTGAGTTTCTTAATGCTGAGTTCTAATTTGATTGCACTGTGGTCTGAGAGGCAGTTTGTTGTGATTTCTGTTCTTTTACATTTGCTGAGGAGTGCTTTACTTCCAACTATGTGGTCAATTTTGGAATAAGTGCTATGTGGTGCTGAGAAGAATGTATATGCTGTTGATTTGGGATGGAGAGTTCTGTAGATGTCTATTAGGTCCGCTTGGTGCAGACCTGAGTTCACGTCCTGGATATCCTTGTTAACCTTCTGTATTGTTGATCTGTCTAGTATTGACAGTGGGGAGTTAAAGTCTCTCATTATTATTGTGAGGGAGTCTAAGTCTCTTTGTAGGTCTCTAAGGACTTGCTTTATGAATCTGGTTGCTCCTGTATTGGGTGCATATATATTTAGGATAGTTAGCTCTTCTTGTTGAATTGATCCCTTTACCATTATGTAATGGCCTTCTTTGTCTCTTTTGATCTTTGTTGGTTTAAAGTCTGTTTTATCAGAGACTAGGATTGCAACCCCTGCTTTTTTTTCGCTTTCCATTTACTTGGTAGATCTTCCTTCATCCCTTTATTTTGAGCCTATGTGTGTCTCTGCACATGAGATTGGTCTCCTGAATACAGCACACTGATGGGTCTTGACTCTTTATCCAAATTGACAGTCTGTGTCTTTTAATTGGGGCATTTAGCCCATTTACATTTAAGGTTAATATTGTTATGTGTGAATTTGATCCTGTCATTATGATATTAGCTGGTTATTTTGCCTGTTAGTTGATGCAGTTTCTTCCTAGCATCGATGGTCTTTACAATCTGGCATGTTTTTGCAGTGGCTGGTACTGGTTGTTCCTTTCCATGTTTAGTGCTTCCTTCAGGAGCTCTTGTAAGGCAGTCCTGGTGGTGAAAAAATCTCTCAGCATTTGCTTGTCTGTAAAGGATTTTATTTCTCCTTCACTTATGAAGTTTGGTTTGGATATGAAATTCTGGGTTGAAAATTCTTTTCTTTAAGAATGTTGAATATTGGCCCCCACTCTCTTCTGGCTTGTAGGGTTTCTGCCGAGAGATCCACTGTTAGTCTGATAGGCTTCCCTTTGCGGGTAACCTGACCTTTCTCTCTGGCTGCCCTTAATATTTTTTCCTTCATTTCAAGCTTGGTGAATTATCAAATTGTGTGTCTTGGGGTTGCTCTTTTCAAGGAGTATCTTTGTGGTGTTCTCTGTATTTCCTGAATTTGAATGTTGGCCCTGCCTTGCTAGGTTGGGGAAGTTCTCCTGGATAATATCCTGAAGAGTGTTTTCCAACTTGTTTCCATTCTCCCTGTCACTTTCAAGTACACCAATCAAATGTAGATTTGGTCTTTTCACATAGTCCCATATTTTTTGGAGGCTTTGTTCATTTCTTTTTACTCTTTTTTCTCTAAACTGCTCTTCTCACTTTTTTCATTAATTTGATCTTCAATCACTGATACCCTTTCTTCCATTGGCTATTGAAGCTTGTGCATGCGTCACGTAGTTCTTGTGCCATGGTTTTCAGCTCCAACAGGTCATTTAAGGTCTTCTCTACACTGTTTATCCTAGTTAGCCATTCGTCTAATCTTTTTTCAAGGTTTTTAGCTTCCTTGCGATGGGTTCGAACATTCTCCTTTAGCTCAGAGAAGTTTGTTATTACCGACCTTCTGAAGCTTACTTCTGTCAGCTTGTCAAAGTTATTCTCCATCCAGCTTTTTTCCTTTGCTGGCAAGGAGCTGCGATCCTTTGGAGGAGAAGAGGCACTCTGATCTTTAGAATTTTCAGCTTTTCTACTCTGGCTTTTCCCCATCTTTGTTGTTTTATCTACCTTTGGTCTTTGATGATGGTGATGTACAGATGGGGTTGTGGTGTTGATGTCCTTTTTGTTGATGTTGATGCTATTCCTTTCTGTTTGTTAGTTTTCCTTCTAACAGTCAGGTCCCTCAGCTGCAGGTCTGTTGGAGTTTGCTGGAGGTCCACTCCAGACCCTGTCTGCCTGGGTATTACCAGCAGAGGCTGCAGAACAGCAAATATTGCTGCCTGATCCTACCTCTGGAAGCTTCATCCCAGAGGGACACCCGCCTGTATGAGGTGATAGTCGGCCCCTACTGGGAGGTGTCTCCCAGTTAGGCTACACGGGGGTCAAGAACCCACTTGAGGAGGCAGTCTGTCTGTTCTCGGAGCTCAAACACCATGCTGGGAGAACCACTGCTCTCTTCAGAGCTGTCAGACAGGGACGCTTAAGTCTGCAGAAGTTTCTGCTGCCTTTTGTTCAGCTATGCCCTGCCCCCAGAGGTGGAATCTACAGAGGCAACAGGCCTTGCTGAACTGTTGTGGACTCCACCCAGTTTGAGCTTCCCCAGTTGCTTTGTTTACCTACTCAAGCCTCAGCAATGGTGGATGCCCCTCCCCCTGCCAGGCTGCTGCCTTGCAGGTTGATCTCAGACTGCTGCATTAGCAGTGAGCAAGGCTCTGTGGGCATGGGACCTGCTGAGCCAGGCGCAGAATATAATGTCCTGGTGTGCCGTTTGCTAAGACCATTGGAAAAGCACAATATTTGGGCGGCAGTGTTCCGATTTTCCACGTACAGTCTGTCATGGCTTCCCTTGGCTAGGAAAGGGAAATCCCCTGACCCCTTGCACTTCCCGGGTGAGGCGATGCCCTGCCCTGCTTCAGCTCGCCCTCCATGGGCTGCACCCACTCTCCAACCAGTCCCAATGAGATGAACCAGGTACCTCAGTTGGAAATGCAGAAATCACCCGTCTTCTGCGTCGATCACGCTGGGAGCTGCAGACCACAGCTGTTCCTATTTGGCCATCTTGGAACTGCCCTGAACCATTTTTAAGTGTGCAGTTCAGTGGTATTAAGTACATTCACATTGTTGTGCAACCATTACCACCATCCAGCTCCACGACTGTCCAGCTCCAGAAAAATTTCCATTTTCCAAACGGAAACTTTGTATCTGTTAAACACTCACTCCCCATCTCCTCCTTCCTCCAAGACCTGGCATCCACCACTCTCCTTTCTATCTATGGATACGACTAGTCTATGTACCCCATATCAGTGAAATCATACAGTATCTGTCCTTTTTCGTGACTGGCTTAGTTCACGCAGCATGGTGTCCTCAAGGTTCATCCACGTGTGGCAGGTATCAGAATGTCCTTCCATGTTAAGGTTGAGTGGTATTTCATTGCATGACTAGAACGTATTTTGTTTATCTGTTTATCCATCAGTGGACACTGGGGTTGCTTCCAGCTTTTGACTATTGTGAATAATGCTGCTGAACACAGGTGTACAAATATCTGAGTTCCTGATTTCGGTATTGGTGGTATGTACTTGGATGTGGAATTGCTAGATCATATGGTAATTCTATGTTTGTGATTTTTGAAGAACTACCATACCGTTTTTCACAGCGGCTGCACCATTTCACGCTCCCACCAGCAGCGTACAAAGGTTCCAATTTCTCCACATCCTTCTCAACACTTATTTTCCATGTTTTTGATAATAGCCCTCCTAGAGGGTGTGAAGTAGTATCTCATTGTAGTTTGGACTTTTATTTCCCTCATGATTAGTGAGGTTGAATGTCTTTTCATGTGATGATTGGCCATTTGTATATCTTGTTTGGAGAAATGTCCATTCATGCTTTTTGGCTATTTTTAAAATTGGGTTTTTGGATTGAGGTTGTTGTTGTTGAGTTGTAGGAGTTCTTTACATATTCTGGATATCAAGCCCTTATCAAATATATGATTTGCAAATATTTTCTCCCATTCCCAGGGTTGCCTTTTCATTCTGTTGATAGTGTCCTTTAATGAATAAAAGTTTTAAATTTTGATGAAGTCCAAACTTATCTATTTTTTCTTTTGTTGCCTATGCTTGGTGTTGTATCCAAGAAATCATTGCCAAATCCAATTTCATGAAGTTCTTCCCTTATGTTTTCTCCTAAGAGTTTTATTATAGTTTTAGCTCTCACCTTTAGGTCTTTGATCCATTTTGAGTTCATTTCTGTATATGGTGTAAGGTATGAGTCCAACTTCACCTTTTGCATGTGGATATTCTGCTTTTGCATCATTCCTTGGAAAGACTTTCTTTCCCCATTGAATAGCCTTGGCAACCTTGCTGAAAATCATTTGACCATATTTGCTAGGGTTTATTTCTGGGCTCTCTGTTGTATTCCACTGAACTATATTTCTGTCTTGTGTCAGTACCACACTGTTTCAATTACTGTATTTTTGTAGTAAGTTTTGAAATCAGGAAGTGTGAGAGCTGCAACATTGTCCTCTTGCAAGATTGTTTTGGTGGTTCAAGGTCCCTTGCTCTTCATCTGCTTGTTCACTGTTATACCCCCAACACCTACAACAGTTGGCACCCAATTAATATTTGATGAATGAAAAGTAAACTATCTATGGCATCTGTGTCATGTGCTAGGTATTAGGGACCAAGACCAATCCGCTCTGGTCCCTGCCTTTAAGGAGTGACACCCTGGGAGGAGGTGGCTGGATAAACTGCTGGCTGAACAAAACAGCAGTGTGTTTGATGACAGAATGCACAAGTTCAGAGGGACACAGAGGTGGGCAGGTTGACTCTGATGGAGGGGTGGGTATGGGTGCGGAGGGAGATGAGGGCAGTTTCCCAGAGGGTGAAAACACTGCACTGGGCTTTGAAGAGTTTACTAGGTAGAAAATGGGGTAGGGGCACCTGCACAGAGGGATAGAGTGTGCAAAGGCATTGGGGAATGAAGGCGCAGGCTCTGGAAGGAAGCAACCAGCCTGGAGTCACCTTTGGGGGGATGGCAGGGAGTGGGGTGGTGAGGTTGAGGAGTGATGGGCAGGGAACCCAACCTGTGGGGCCCAGAGCCTCGTCTCTCTCCAGGGGTGGGGGGCAGAGGGGCAGCCCCAGAGGGCTTGACTTCTCCCATCTATTACAGAGGGTGTGCCGGGCACCCAGGTCAGCTGACCCAGTGGTTTTGGGGAAGAAAGAGAATAAAGGACAAAGAGTAAGATCTTGTTTCAACGGTGACCCCAGGGTTTGGCTTTGCCACTGGGGAGAGATTCACAGCCAGCGCTTGGTGAGGCATGGCGAGAACCCCCACCCAGCGAGGGCTCCTCACTTGCACTGAGAAAACAAGCCCTGCAAGCCTCACAGTGGCCTCACAGTAGTGAGGTAGGCGCTGTTCTCTCCCAGCTTACAGACGAACAAATGGAGCTACACGGAGGTGGAGGAATGTGCCCAGCGAACAGTAAGCGGCAGAGCTGGGATTGAACTGGGCACTCTGGCAACTGAGGCACCTATTTCTTTCCTGGGCCCCCATTTCCTCCTAAGTGAAAGGGGAGGGAGTGGCCTCTCAGGTGCCCCACCTCCTCCCTGTGAGTCCTCAGGAGAGGGATGATGCCCCCCGGCCCAGGCAGCATTGGGAACATTGGAGCATGCCCTATGCTGGACGGCCAGTCCTATCTGCAGAGCCTGTTGGAGCCCAGCCACCTCCTCACTCCTGGACCTTCCTGCTCTGGACCTAGAACTTGATTCCCATCCAGGTGTCTCATGGTTAGACTAGCGTAAGCTACAACCCTCAGGAAAATCACAGAGCTTAGAGCCTGGTCCTGAGCTCGCCAGCTACACAGCCCCAGAAACTTCTGAGGGGAGCCCTGGGGAGATGAGGATTTGGGGAAGCCTAGATGCTAGATCTGCTGACATTCTGAAAGTTTGTAGGAGCTTGACTCCTCCTCTTTGTGACAGGGTAGCTCCTCTTCCTTTTGTGTCAGCCTGCACCCCTCCTGGCCTGCTCTTGGGGGAACATGGCCCCTGAAGACTCCACCCTGGGATTCAGGCTGAATAATGCTCACATTGCAGAGGAGCTTCCCTCGGCCTCCAGGCCCTTGTCAGCTGCCTCCATTCCTTGTCACTTTCCCTGGGGATGCAGGGGAGGTGCCCAGCCTACCCTTGGCTCTAGTCTCTAAAAACTTTGTCCAGCCCCCTGGCTGGCCACATTTGGCCCAGTCTGCCAACTGCACCTGCCAGCTGGTCACAAGGCCTAACCCATAGCCTGGCTTCTCCCTGGCTGCCGTAGGCTCTTTTTGGCTCTCATGTGCAGCCCTGTCAGCTGTCACCACATTCTTGGGAGCCTGCCTGCCCAGTAAGCCTGTCCCACTCCATGCTGCCCCACTCCAAGACTGCTCTGTCTTCTGCTGGCTGCTGGGCCCCAGCACACACCTCCCTTGACTCTCTTGACAGCTGGGCCTGTCCATCTTGGGCCTGCCAGCCACTCATGTCAACAGATGACCCCATCCATAGCACAGATCCAAAATTCCGCTTGGAGCTTTGGCCCCGCTGCCTCCTTTGGTCCAAGGCCTTTCACCACCTCTCCTGGCCTCAGCAGACTCCACTTGTCCAGAAGTCTGCCTGGCTGGCTCCCAATGCCCTCTGTCTCTTTTAAAGTCTTCCCTCAATTCCTGGCTTCCCTGGTCCCCCTTCTTCTGAGTCGTGCTGTATTATCATTTAAGGTTTTTATTTAGAAACATCACAAACATACAGGAACATTTTTATCCTGAACCATCTGAGAGCAAGTTGCAACCCAACGTCCATTTCCCCTGAATTCATCAGTGTGTATTTCCTATAGCCGAGGCCACCCCAGGCCTCCCTGGCAGGACACTTTCCTCCTTTGCTCAGGATCTGTCTCCACGGAGGGATGCCCCTCTCAACCTGCTTGGAATCCTCTGGGGCTGAATATCCCTCTGCAAGGGAGCCGAAGGCACATTAGGTTTCCAACCTGATCCCACCACCACACCATCTCCTTGCCATCAAGACAGCCATGGAAGGATGGCACATGCTTTTGTGTACACTTATCACATGTTGCCTCCTACTTCCTTCCTCCTGTTGGCATATACTAAGCGGGGGTCAAGATGCTGGCTTCCATCATTAACATGCCATGTTAATGCCTCCCTGGGCTACAGTTTCCTTACTGGCAAATGAGGAATTACGATTAAGTGATTTCTGAGGATTCTTTTCTAATAATAACAGCTGAGTTTTATGAAGCACTTACTATGTGCCACGTACCGTGAGTACTTCATAGGTAGCATCTTGGTTAATTCTCATACCAACCCTCTAAGATATAATCACAGTACTGTTATCTCCATCTTACAGACTGGGAAACCAAGGCACAGAGCAGTTACATAACTTATGCTCAGGCAGCCACTCAGAGATTCTAGATTTTCATGCAGGTGGTCCAGTTCAGAGTTTATACTCTGCTGAAAAGTAATGGGGGCAGGGGGTGGCACTATCCGGAATTTATTATTTGCCTGAAGAGGCAATCAGAGAAGTAAATATTGATAATTCAGAAAAAGAGGTCAACTTTCTACATGCCAAGTACATTACACACAAATGCCATTTCACTTAATCTGCAACAACTTTGAGACACAGCACTATGATTATTCTCATTTTCTAGATGAGAAGACTGAGCCAGAGAGGTTAAACAACTTTTGTGTGAGGCGCAGGGCCAGGATTTGAACCCAGGTGTGCTGTTGTCACCTAGTGCTAAACTGGGACACATGCCGTGCTCAGAGGGCAGGTCTTCAAGGATGCAGGTCATTGGCTGTGACTGGCAACGGGGTTGGGGGCAGAGTACCAGGCCCTGGGCAACTGTTTCATGCATCTGATTTCATTTTATACTCCCAGCACTCCCGAGAAGCACCTCCACCCACAGAGCAGGGAAAGACACTCAGCCACACTAAGCAGGGAAGATGTGGCTGGAGCTTCATGCACCCTTGGGATGCGGCCAGGCTGGAAAACCTCTGGCACCGACTCACAGAGGACCTCATTGCCTCCCGGGGCCAGGACTTCACCCCGTGGACTGCAAGGAACTGCTGAAGCTGCTGGGTTGGGTCTCCTTTCTTCATACACCACAGCGGAGGCCCCTCCTCCAAGAGACTCCAGGCTGTGGGTAGAGAGGTGCTTTCTCTCTCATCCAGGCCTCTGAGGCCAGAGCACCCTCTGGAGACTTGGCATCTCCTTTGTGCTCCTCACCTCACCTGCAGGTGTTCCAGCAAGCTGATACCCAGCTCTGGGCTCTGGAAGGAAAGAATTCCCAGCAGATGCCTCACCTCAAACCAGGGTACACGGCCACGGTCCTGCCCAATAAGAAGCATCCTGCAGCAAGCTCAGATGAGGTCCTTTGACCTTCAAGGAAGATCAGCTTCCTCCTTATGGAGACAAGGCTTGAAGGAGCCTGCATAGCTCCCTCACCCAGGCCTTTTCGGTAGACTCTCTCTGAGCAGCAGCTCCCAGGATTTAGTGCCAAGCTCTGCTGTTTCCAGAGCTGGAAAGACCCTGCACATTCACATCTGGACAAGCCAGAGATAGTTCATCCAAACCACATGGCAATCATTCATTTCATGGAAGAGAAACTCACAAAGAGCAATTGCAGAGCTAGTAATGGCAGCTGGGACTCAAACCCCAGTCCTCCAGACTCTACAGCCCAAGCCTCATTCTTACATCTTCCAATTGCAAATGAGAAAACTGTGACCCAGAAAGGGTCACACAAAGTCTCCAGCTCCACGGCTCACACCACATGACCTCCCTCCCTGCAGAAGACCTCATTTCAAACAATGCCCGAAGATGGAAAAGGTAAAATGTTCTTGTGATTTGCAGCTAAGAAAATTCAGGTGGACCCACACTGAACCCCATTCTCAGACACTCCATCTGTCCAACAATCCATATGTCACTTTTTTTTTTTTTGAGACAGGGTATCACTGTCACCCAGGCTGGAGTGCAGTGATGTGATCATGGCTTACTGCAACCTTGACCTCCTGGGCTCAAGCAATTCTCCTGCCTCAGCCTCCTGAGTAGCTGGGACTATAGGCACACACTACCATGCCCAGCTAATTTTTTTTTTTTTTTTGTAGAGACAAGGCTTTACCACGTTGCCCAGGCTGGTCTCAAACTCCTGCCATGATCTCCCAAAGTGCTGGGATTACAGGTGTGAGGCACCATGCCTGACCCATATTCACTTTGCATTTTAGTTTTCATTGTTACTGTGCATGGGTCAATGCATTTACAGAGTTGGTGCAGACTTTTCTCTCTTCTATGATGTGCCGTCCACACATGGCCACCAAAGACACACAAAGACAGCATCTCTCTCCTCCTTGGGCAGAAAGACCACCTTAGCCTGAAGAAAATCAGAATCACGCTAGTGGAGGCAAGGAAGAAAGAAGAGGGAAGGAAGGAAAGAACTATGAAGGAGGAAGGAAGACTCCCTTTGCTGAACACTTGTATACTTTCTGTATGCTGGACCTGGGATAAACAAGCCCATGTTATCTTACTATTAGTTCTCAAAAGGACCCTGGAAACGGGTGTCATTATCTCTATTTAGATGAAGAAACTAAGGTTCAAAGAGCAAAGGAACTGGCCAGTAATTACTGGAAGTGAGGCTAGAATTTGACTCTGAATCAGTTCAAAGCCCAAAGACTTTCTACAACACTGTCAGGTTCCCACCTGTGCCTCCAAGTCCTAGAAGTTCAGGGAAGTGCCAATAGGCTCCTGGGGTCTGGGGGTGGGGCTGAGAGGGTGACCTTTCTTGAAGAGTTCTTTGGAAGAATGGGCTGCATGGCTAAAAAATATTTGAATACCACCTTACAGGCAGTCTTTAATTAAAGATAGTGGGAAAAACTTTCTTCCTTTTCTTTTCCCTTTCCTTCCCTTCCTTCCTTCCTCTCTTTCTCCTTCCTCCCTTCCCTTCCCTTCCTTCCTTCCTTCCTTCCTTCTTTCCTTCTTTCCTTCTTTTCCTTCCTTCCTTCCTTCCTTTCTTTCTCTCTCTCTCTCTCTCTCTCTCTCTCTCTCCCTCTCTCTCTCTTTCTTTCTTTCTTTCTTTTCTTTTGGGTATAATAAACCTACAAGGAAGAGGGGAATGGGATAGGAGACTAACAGTAAACTTTTGGAAGCTGGAAAGAGATGAATGACTGGAAGAGACAGAATCCCAAGCCTGCAGCAGGGAAATCTGGGAACCAATCTGATTTACATCCCAGGATCCCTCAAAGCCTCTGCAGGTTGGGGTGGAGGGAACCAAGGTAAGGACGATTGGTGGAAAGTCTTGTTAGAAGCTGTCAGACTCCCATCCCCGCCCCAACTCCAGCAGCTCAGGAGACTCTCCCCCCACCCACCCCAGAGAAAGCCTGGAGGTTTCTTCTCTGCACAAGTTGAAACTGAGCCCTTTTGAGGGGGGATGTCAGGCACAATGAGGGCATGGCAGGGGTGCCATAAAGAAATAGTGGGGGTCGGGCGCATGGCTTATGCTTGTAATCCCAGCACTTCGGGAGGCTGAAGTGAGCGGATCACTTGAAGTCAGGAGTTTAAGACCAGCCTGGCCAACATGGCGAAATCCCATCTCTACTAAAAATACAAAAATTAGCTGGGCATGGTGGCAGGCACCTGTAATCCCAGCTACTCAGGAGGCTGAGGCAGGAGAATTTCTTGAACCCAGGAGGCGGAGGTGGCAGTGAGCTGTGATCATGCCACTGCACTCCAGCCTGGGCGATAGAGAGACTCCATCTCAAAAAAAATAAATAGATAAAAATTAAAAAAAAAAATAGTGGGGAGGAAGTGAATGCAATGCATACAGACTGGCTGCAGAGACCCCTCCTTCTTCCCCTCCTCCCTGACTTTTTCCTGCGGCTTCCAGAACATGGGAAGCAGACCCTTTAACCAAGAGGGAGACTGAGTCTTCATAGGGATTGATTCTGCTCAAGAAGAAAGGCACCACTGTTGAAGACTCCCCGACGAAACAGCCCCGGCAGTCAGCTATGGGGAACTCGCCGTCAAAGAGCCTCACTCATCACTTCCAATCATCTTTGAGCCCCTCCACTCTTAAACATGAGAAGACACCAAAGGCTATCAGATGTCTGAGAAACGAGACCAAATAAACACACAATAAAGGGGCACTTGAGAGAAACAGAAACCACGCAGGAAAAAAACCTAAAAACAGAACAAGAACAAAGCCAAAAACACCAAGTAACATTAATAACAACTAACGTTAATAGCCTTAGAGAGATAAGATAGTAGAGTCTATCAAACAAGAACAGGATGCCATTAAAGGGACATTCAAGAAAAAAAAATTCTTGAAAACTGAAAATGTGACAGTAGAAATCAAAAACTCCACCTTGGGAGGCTGAAGAGGGCAGATCATGAGGTCTGGAGATCGAAACCAGCCTAGCTAACATGGTGAAACCCTGTCTCTACTCAAAATACAAAAAATTAGCAGGGCATGGTGGCGGGCTCCTGTAGTCCCAGCTACTCGGGAGGCTGAGGCAGGAGAATTGCTTGAATCTAGGAGGTGGAGGCTGCAGTGAGCCGAGATCGTGCCACTGCACTCCAGCTTGGCAACAGAGCAAGACTCCATCTCAAACAACAACAACAACAACAACAAGAAAAAACTCAATAGAATGGATGGAGACAAAAATGGAGGGACGTACTCAGAGAATCCAGCAAAAAGGCAAAGCAATGGAAAATGTGACAGAGGGTATGAAAATCAGAGAAAACAGATAGGAGGGCCAAGGCCTGAATAACAGCAGTTCCAGAGAGAGAGAAGAAACAGAGGAGAGGAGATAATCAAAGAACTCAAGACATTTTCTTAAAGCAGAAGTCCCAGGGTCACCAGACTGAAAGAGCCACTGAGTGAGAAAACTGACCCACACCAAGACCCATCACTGTGAGACGTCATGTTCTAGGGTTGTAGAGAAGATCCTAAGACAGGACCCTAAAGAAGGCAACAGGACTGAGAATGGACTTGGAGCTTTTAAGAGCAACCCAGGAAGTTAGATGGCAATGGAGCAATGTCTTGACAATACTGAAGGAAAATGATTTCCACCCCAGAATTCTATGATAGATTTCAATCTACTGCAAAATAGAATAAAGACATTTCCAGCATTTTCAGATATGTGAAGGATCAAAGTATTTCCCTCTCATGCATCTTCTCTGAAGAAGACCACACTGAAGGATGGTCTCTGTAAGATGAGGATGAAAACCAAGGAAAAGGAAGACCCAAGGTTCTGGAAAGAGAAGACCCAACACAGGAGGCAGAGAGGACCTCCGGGAGTGGGTGGAGGGAGCTCGCTGGATGAGAGTGCACCACCATGGAGAGGGGAGCCCCGGGGCAGTCAGGAGCCACCAGACAACTCAGCGGAGCCCCTGCCTCAGCAAGACAAGATGCACAGAGCGTCAGGTGCTGCTGAACATCTCCAATGTCTTGAGGGGAAATTTGGGTGAGGCGTGAATCTGGGGTTGAATTAGTAACAAATGTATAGAAAACAAAGTGCAGTTAAGCACACATACATACAATGATTATACACAGTGAAAACAGGAAAGGAAAGTAATCATGGTTTACTTTATGGCTTGGCTGTGAATTATTTATGATACAACACTAATGAGAGGATAGGGAGGTGGCCGGAGGTGGAATGCGAATGGCAAAGGCTTTGGAGCCTGCAGATAATGCTGAAGCTGAGAAGCCAAGTCATGGGCAACCCAAGCACATTATGTAGAGATATGGCAAACCAAGACAATCTGCCAAAAGAGATGAAAGGTACTGCTTCTGGGAGTGGTGACCGGTGGGTGGGTGGGGGTTGGGCAGAGAGAAAATGTGGGGCAAAGAGAAAGAGTACTGCTGTTTCCCACAACAAAATCTATGGAAATATTTGACTCTTTAAACTCCAGACATGTGTAACTTTGATAAAAACTGAAAGACACACACACACACACACACACACACACAGAGAGAGAGAGAGGGCAAGCGAGCACATATGCCTCTGTTCTCTAAGAAGCTGCTTTACCCACAGGAGAGAGACAGAGAGAAGCCAGCTTCCTCCTGGGAGCCCAGCCTGATTCCCCAGGACAGAAACAGAGGCCAGGATCCAGGCAGACAGTGTCCAGGACCAGAGGATGCTACATCCTCGTTGTAGCTCTCAGGGGACTACCAGGGGCTGCCCGAGACCCCCCTACCCAGGAACCTAAGGCTGTACCCGCTTGAAAAAAAGTCTCCTTTTAAATTTTAATACGAGGCAAAGAGATCTTCCCTGACAGGGCTCAGAGCTCTGGAAGGCTCTGGGTCCAGCATACTCAGACACTCAGTCTGCCCAATGATCAATATGTCTTTTTTCTTTCCACTTCGCTTTTCACATTTTTTTTTAACCATCCATGACTTGGGTTTCACAGCACATCATCAGTTGTCTCTGATGACCGGAGTGAGTGTTCCCTGGGAAGTCCTTTGAGTCCTCAGAGGAAATCCAGAAGGCCAGCACAGTCACCCTAACTAGACCAACACAGGAGATTTTTCTTGAAGGATCATCTTTATGGAGTAACAACTTTTCCAAGAGTCTAAGTGATTTTCTGGGTACAGAAATTTTCCACTCTGGTTTCAAAATAGTCATTCACAAATGCATGGTGGGTGAAGACCTCAAGCCCATAGGTGGCCTGGAATAGTGAAAAGAGGCCTGGAATGGGGCTGAGAGAATCCTCCCCACTGCCCACCCCCAAACCAGCATCCTCTCTTCCTCCTATCATGACCAGGGAAGTGTCTTCTTCTCATCAATGCCCCTGCAGGTCCCCAGGGCTTTGCTCCTGCCCCCTGCCCCTTCTCTCCTTGGCATCATCACCTGCCCCTTGCTAGAAGGCATTCCTTGCAGCAAACACACATGAGGACTTCTCAGTTCAAACACCTGTCTGCTCCAGCTCACACTCCCTCCAGGCACTGCTTCCCTGATTTGTGCTGCTTTCCTCCACAGCCAGTCTCTTAGGACAACGCTTACACAGGCACCTCCACTCCTCATTTTGGCCCATACCATCAGGGTTCCATCACTATGGAAACAGCGCCCATCAGTCACCAGTCACCTGCACAGGGCCCTGTTGAATGGGCACGTGCCACATGCCTGTCCTCACCGGGCTGAGCCTCCTTCCTCCTTGAACATTCTCTTCTCTTGGCATCCAGGATTCACACTTGGCTGGGTCTCTTCCTGCTTCTCTGGCGATTCCTCCTCAATCTCTTCTGCAGCAGTGTGTCTGTCTGCCCTAGAAATGCTGGTATCCTGGGATCAGTCCTGGATGCCTTTTTCTTTTCTTTCTTCTCCATCTCCCCCAAGATGGCCCATCTTGGCCCATAGCACTAAATTGCATCTATACACTGACAACTCTGAAGAGTGTATTCAGCCTCAGGCCTCTCCTCTGAGGGCCAGGCTCATCTATCCAATTGCCAAATGTCTCCCTGAACATCTCCACTTGGCCTGGCATCTCAAAAGTCACATGTCCAACAAGTTTTGATCTCCCTGTCCCCAGACCTATTTTTCACTTCCCTCCTCCATCCCTTCTCACCCCATAAAGGGCACCACCATCTACTCAGTGGTTACTACAAGAAATACGGTAGTCAGTCTCAAGTGGAGGCTTCTCTCTCAGCCTCCATAGTCATCAGAAGTCCTATAGCTCCTCTTTCCATCTTCACTGCCATGTTCCTGGTCTAAACCATTGATGTCTCACCTGGGCTTTCAGGATCCTGCTCTTCGTGCTGCCCTGACAACCACTACTCCTTCCCAAAGTCTGGGTTATATTCCCCAGGAGAGAGGGGGCAACAGGATTTGGAGGTATAAAGAAAAAGAGGAAATAGCCCAGTGTGGGCTCATGTGATGGGGGCTGGACACTTCACTCCCCAGCCCATTGGGCCATGCTCAGAGCTGCACATCTACATTTCTGGGGAGAAGCCTGAGAATTAAAGAGAGAGCAAGGTGCTGGGCCTCAGGGATAAGGCAGGGCCCTGATAGCCTAGACCCACCCCAGAAGAAGAGCAGCCCCTCACCCAGAGCTGAGAACGTAGGACCCATTTTCTCGGCTTCTAGAACACAAAGGGCTCTGCTCAGAGAAGGCCCTGGCCTGGGAGCTGGCCCACGAGCCATCCCTTTCTGGCATTATGTATTTCATTTTTACCTTGAACACCTGCAGAGCAGAATGGTCTGCAAGGAAGAGTCCTTGGCTCCCAACCCCAGAGCCTGCCCCATAACAGAGGCCATCTGACTTCACCTTCCCCAGACCAAGCCTGCCTTCAGGCTGATGGATGGGTTCTCACTGGCCTGGTTTCGCCTTCGTTGTGTCCTTGATCCTTCCTGAGACCCAGAGTCTCAATTCTGTTCCCAGATTCTAAGAGCTGCAGAGTTCAGGGACCTGCCCTCTCACCCAAGGTCTCAGTCAATCCTGAGCACATTGGAGGAAGATTCCTTCATTTAATAGATATTCCCCAGCACTGCCTATGTGCCAGGCACTATTCTCAGCACTGGGGACACAGCAATGAACAAAACATAGTTCCTGCCCTCTCACAGAGCTTACAGTCTGGTGGAGGAAACAGAAGCACACTAGTAAATACCTGGAGAAAAATAAAGCAGGAAAGGAAGAGGATAAGAAGTGCCATGGAGTGTGCAAATTCATCGTGGGTAGTGTGGGAAGGCTTCACTGAAGGGTGATGGAGAGAAGTGAGGGGGCCATGAGAGTCTCTGGAAAAAGAGCTCCAGGCAGAGAGCACAGCAAGTGCAAAGGCCCTGGGGCAGAAGCTTGTCTTACAAAGAGCAGAGCTTGGCCAAAGCCCAGGGAGCAGGGCGAGAGCCATAGGCAGAGGTCAGGGAGGAGCTGGAGCCGGCACATGCAGGCCCGTGAGGGCTTCGGGGGACACGGCGTAGGAGCGGCAGGGTGTGTGGACCTTAACAGGATCACTCTTGTTGGGCTGAGAACGGACCACAGTGGGGAAGGTGGGAGCAGGTGACTGTAGGACACTGTGATCACCCAGGTGTGAGCTACCAGTGGCCTGACCCAGAGGTTGGGAAAAATGGGCAGATTCTAGATACGGTTTCAGGGCCAAGCTGCCAGGATTTGCTAATGATGTAAGACAGAGTGGCTTTCGGTCCAAGCATCTAGAAAAATGAAACTGCCTATGCAGAATGTCCATCTTGCTTAACTGAATGAGTGACTTTGCCGCTCTCCTTCAGAAGATGCCTTTCCCCACTGATATGGTTTGGATCTGTGTCCCTGCCCAAATCTCATGTCAAATTGTAATCCCCAGTAATGGAGATGGGGCCTGGTGGGAGGTGACTGGATCATGGGGGCAGTGTCTTATGGTTTAACACCATCCCCTCTTCATACTGTCGTCACTATAGTGAGTTCTGAGATCTGGTTGTTTAAAACTTGTGTGACACATCCCTCCCGCTCTTGCTCCTGCTCCAGCCATGTAAGAAGCACCTGCTTCCCCTTCACCTCCTGCCATGATTGAAAGTTTCCTGAGGCCTCCCCAGAAGCCGAGCAGATGCCAGGAGCATGCTTCCTGTATAGCCTGCAGAACCATGAGCCAATTAAACCTCTTTTCTTTATAAATTTCCCAGTCTTCAGTATTTCTTTATAGCAATGCAAGAACTGACTACTATACCCATCTTTGACCACTTAAAAGACTTTAAAGAGATATAAAGCAAGTGTGGGTAATGGGCACAGTTTGTCTACCTATGTTATACATTTCCCAACCTCCACGCCACCAACCCTCCTGTGGTATGTGGTTTTGCTACTGTTTAGGTTCTTAGAGTGGCTTACTGACTTTATTTTTTACACACCTATCCAAAAGGCTCCAACTTATTACCACTTATTTAATTCATAGTTTAATCAATTTGTTCCCCAATAAATACACAGAGGTAACACATATTCCCAAAGACATAATTCTAAATCTGGAGTTCACAGCAAAATGGGACTAGGCACAGCAGATGATTAGGCTGAAAATCATGCTACACTTCTGGGTTTCAAAGTCCAAGAAGAAATGGATTTGTAAAAAAACTATTAGAAAAGAAAATAATCTTTAGATTTTTTAAAACTAACACTATTCTCTCCAAGCTACTATTTCATGAAACACACAGGTATGTGTGCACATACACAGGCACACACACACACACTTCAAAATGTACAAATGCACTGTCACAAAAACGTGCTGCGTACACTGCATGAACTCTTAAGACTTGGATAAAAATTAATTCAGCTATAGAAATAGATGAGATAGAAAAGTACACTCGTTAAAAATGTAACCCCTTCAACTGGAACAGTAATGAATTAAATAAACTTTTAAAATAATTTCTTTAAGGAATGTCAAAGAGGCCTGAGACACAGTTCTGCAGTATGCGCTGTGCTGTGGACAAAGGGTGGGTTCACTGATGTGCAGGTGGACCGCCTCCCAGATACGAAGTTGGATGCATGACCCGGAGTTCAGAGGAGAAGTCCTTGGAGATAGGGATCTGAGTGTCATCAACCTGTAGATGGTGTATAGATCACGTTGGGACTGAGTTTAGAGGAAGAGCACGGAGCCTGGGGCTGGGCCATGTGGAGCCCTAATGTTCAGAGATCAGGCGATGATGGGACTCACTGAAGATGGTGAGAAAGTGTAACCAGTCAAGGAAGAGGAGGATCAAGAAAGAAGGTGATAGGGTTTGTCTGTGTCCCCACCCAAAATCTCATTTGAATTGTAATCCCTATAATCCCCATGTGTCAAGGGAGAGACCAGGTGGAGGAATTGAATCATGGGGGCAGTTTCCCCTATACCATTCTGGTGACAGTGCATGAGTTCTCATGAAACCTGATGGTTTCATAAGCGTTTGGTAGTTCCTCCTGCATGCATTTTTCCTTCCTGCCACCTTGCGAAGAAGGTGCCTTGCTTCCCCTTCACCTTCCACCATGATTGTAAGTTTCCTGAGGTCTCCCCAGCCATGTGAATGAGTCAATTAAACCTCTTTTCTTTATAAATTACCCAGTCTTGGGCAGTTCTTTATAGCAGTGTGAAAACAGACTAATACAGGCAGTGTCCAGGAAACCAAGAGGACAAAGTCCTGCATGGACGAGCGAAGGATTGACTGTGTCAAATGCTGCCGATGGCTCAGGAAAGAATAGAAGTGAGAACTGACTACTGACTTCTGCAAGGTGAGGGTCATCATTGACTTGGATAAGAGCAGCTTCTGAGGTGTGAGGAGCCCAAAGGCCCACCTTGAATAGGTCTGAGAGAAGCCAGGAGGAAAGATACGGAGGTGAGCAACACAGTCACCTTCTTCTGGAGTTTTTCTTTAAAGGAAACAGAGAAATCTGGCAATATGGCCCTTCAGCCAAAGTATTTTTAAGGTGGAAACCTTAAGTCTGGGTATGCTTAAGGAGCACTCTCCTGGCCCAGGAGAGTGGCAATGGCTGGAGTGAGGTACTGGGGTAGGTGAGGTGGGATGGGAGCCAATGCCCTCCCATAGGAGGTGCAGCAGCTGAGTCCTGCAGCACGCAGGGTCTGGCATGGACTCCTGGGATCTCACCATCTGAACTTATCATTCCCTTCGGACATAAGCCCCAATAACACACCACCCAACTGGGCTTGGTCAGCCAGGTGGTTCCTATCAATTCCAGTCTCTTCCTCTTCCGTGTAAGCCCACTGGGCTGAATTCCCAGCTTTCCTTGCAATAAGTGAACTTGAGTTAAGACAATATAGTCATTACTCTCAAGGAACAACATAACTTTGTGTGTGTGAAAACAACACTGCTTAACAAAAAGCCATTCTAAACAACCAAGGCAAATGCACAGGTGCTGGGTGAGAGAGCCATCACATCCCTGATGGGCACTCCCAGGGGCTGCCTGGAAAATGCGGGCTTTGTTCAGGTGTGGAAGTGATGGGGAATGCAGAGGGGGCCATGTGCCAGGAAACTAGTGCAATAAACAGAGACTGATGCATTGTGTGTGCAAAGCATTACCCCAGGACCCAAGTCAAGAAGGGACTTGGGAGGAGACAGAAATGGATCTTAGCACCAGTGTTATGACAGAAGTAACACAAAGAACTACAGAGTGTGGAGGGATTTGGGAGGCTCGTTAGAGGAGCAGGGCTGAGTATTGGCTTTTGAAGGCTGGGTAGGATTTGGCAATGGCAGGGCCCAGCAGGCAGCAAAAGGTGAAGGGCGACAGGAACAGGTCAGATTCTGAGGCCAGCACTCACAGGCTGAGTTTAAACTGGATCCTGTAGGTGAGGCAGCCACAGACGGCTCTGGAGAAAAGCATGACACAGGCAGAATCATGTTTAGTGATGCTCAGTGGCACCAACTTTGGAGTTCTAGAGATAGGGTGGCCAGAGCAGTGGCAGAGGGAGTAAAGAGACCACACTGAGTCACTGACTACTTCATGCAGACACCAGGATTGGGGTCTAACTGGAAAGGGGGAGAAGGCGTCCAAGACAATGTTAAGGTTCTGAGTGTGAAGGGCTGGGTGTGTCATCTGAGATCTGGATGTGGAAGGAGATGCTGTTGGTGGGAAGTGGAAGGCTTGGTTTGCACATGCTAAGTGTGAGGTGTGAATTTCCCAGGCAAAAATGCTCAGGAGGCATCAAAACCAGTGTCTGCAGTTCAGGGGTGAGGTCCTGGCTGGAGACCCAGATGTAGCAATGTCGGCACAGAGATGAGGCCTGGGGCTAAGGAGATGGGTGACACTACCAAGGGAGAATGCTCAAGGCAAGAGGAAGTGAGTCTCACTGATCAGGTATGGGAGCTGCCATCACACCTGTAGCAGGTAGACTGCTGGGCAGCGTACCCTTCCTCTCCACTTGTCTGGGTCTCGCCCACCCTCTGGGCCCGGCCCCACCCACTCCGGGAAGCCCTCTCTAGCTATTCCATCCCCCAGGCATCCTTCCTTTGCTGTGAGCTTCTCAGCTCTGGCCATCCCCACCTTAGCAGTGGGTCTTGTGTTGCCACCTTGGTGTAGTCCCCAAGCACCTTGAGGGCAGGATGACAGTTAACCCCCATGGGACACTGCATTTTCTGACACAGAGCACCCAAAAGGCACTGATTAAGTAGATCCTCCTCCCTGATGAATTAATAAATTGATCAGTCACTGAAATGGAGGTCAAGAAAGAAATTAAGGCAAGTTTAATTAGAGATTAAAAGACTCATATAGCATCTACTCTTTTGTGTCTGGCTTACTGATTCATGATGAACTAGGTCTACATGTATCAACATGGATGCACGTCAAAAACACTGTTGAGTAAACATAACAAGTTACAGATGTATGTTAAACCAATTTGAATAGTCATGAGCACTATATCTACCAAATATTTCAGGTTCTCCCAAGCACACGGTAGGAATGCACTTCTCTACTCCCATGGAGCTAGGTGAGGCCATGTGACTTGCTTTGGCCATTTAAATGTGAGCAGAAGCTTCTGGGTGGAACCATTGTTTTCTTCTTCCTCTCTCAGCCTCTACTGGCCTGGATCTAAGGAACAGAGCTCCATAGCAGATCCTTCTCAAATGTGTACAGGAGTGAAATACATATGTTTGTTGTATTAAAAAAGAAAGAAAAAAAAGGAAGAACTGAGTCTAAGGCAAAACTGTGGGATTGCAGAGGAGTGTGCCCAGTGATTCTGGGTGTGGGCACTCTTGGCAATTTGGGGGAACAAGAGGTTGTAAGGCTGGTGGAATGGAAGGTCAGCATCTCTGGCCTCGTCCCTGAAATGCCAGTTATGTGGCAACCAAAATGCCCTCCCCCTCCTTCACCATTTCCAAACACTCTGCGGGGTGATGCCAGCCCCAAGAGAACCATGAATGTAGAAGAATCACCAGAAGTGAGAGTGGGAGGCATGGTCCCAGCTTGAGATAGCCAGGCTGGGGGAGGAAAGGATCTGACACTATAATCAGTTCCATACGTGCTCAAATTGCATGTGACAAGTTGAAAGGGAGAGGATACCTTCCATATCTGACAGAACAGATGGGACTGTCCCAGACAGAGATTGACAAAATGGATATACTAGTAGTAAAATGCACCAATGTCCATTTTTTGAGCAGCTATGAATTATAGCCTTCATATGGGGTCTCACAAGGTCCTCTGAAAATCCCACATGTTATTTTCCCCCTTTTACAAATGTTATTCTCCCCCTTTTACAGATAAAGAAACTGAGGGCGGGAGAGCTGGGGGGCTAGTCTCAGGCAGAACAGAGGTAAGTGGGGCAGAGATGACAGAACTCAACCGAGAGGATTCTGAAGCAGAGCAGGTGGGACTAAGTGAAGACCTGGAAGGAGGTGGAGAGGGAGTAGGACCCATACCAGCTGGAGGAAGAGAAGAGGACTTGTGGGTGATGTTCCCCCTCCTTCAGCCATTGCAGACCGTGTAGGTAGAGACATCCAGCAGGGAGCTGGGCACGGAGTGGCTCCTGCCAGCTGCCTTTCTGGAGGCTCAGGCTTCCTGAGGTCTCAGAGCACCTGCCTCTCAGGGAAGATGCGAACCTCCCCGGGCACACACAGACTGCTGCTGGGGCAAGCTCCTGGGACACCAGGAAACACTCAGCAGCCCTCAGAGACCACAGAGAACCTCTGAAGCAAGAAGGAAGAGGGCCAGTCGCTGTGAGCAGGCGCTTCATCAATCCTGCCTCTGTGTGGCCTCTAAGGGATCCAGTGGCATGAGAACACAGAGACACACGAGGGCGCTCTAACCAAACAGCAGGAGGACCCGCGTCCCTCCCCACACGGAAAGAGGGTTGGCATTTTCAAAGACCTTTGGTTCAGTGTTTTTTCAACGCAGCTGCTATTGGTATTTTAGGCAGTAGGTTTCAGGGGCATTTGCTACCCCTGGCCCCCTTCCCATCATTGACTACCCTGCTGCCCACATTTCCAAGCACCCTCTCTCCTGAGAGCCCCTGCTGGTCAGTGCCACCAGAAGATGCCAACTGGTGGCCCTGGGGAGGGTGGCAGTCTCTGTTGTCCCCCAACCTTATGGAGGACTCCCGTGCCTCCCACGCTGACCCTGTGAGTTAGGCGCTTGCAGGTGCTAGAGGATCAGAGGCCCCCAGTGACAGCCATGTTGGCCCCAGCTCATGGGGACTGTCCTGCACAGGAAGCGCATTTTCCTCTACGTTGTTGTCCTTCAGGGCTGTGCAGGACCAGGCCACCCTGATCACACCAGGGACACAGACACAGGACCCTGAGACAGAACGCCATGGGACCTGCTCACAGACACCCAAATCCCAGGAAGCAAACATGTGGCCACACAAAACACAGCTGGCACAAAACTTCCACAAAGCACGTCTGAAACACGGCACCCTTCCAGAGCCCAGACAGTCCCTGAAGCTGTGAGCTCTGAAACGTTTAGACCATTCGTTTCCCAAAGTCAAGCATCAAAGGTGAATAACTATGAATGAGATTCAAAATATTCACCAACCATTGAGCCCTGGGCCCCAGCCAGTCAGGATAGGGACCAGTGGAAACACCTGGTGCATACAGTGTGCAGTCAGCCCTGCAAACAGCCTAGTCGGCTGAGCCCAAGTGCCCCATGGGAAACCAGACATGCCAAGATGGCCATTGGGCAGTACAGAGATGACTTTTGGAGAATACATGTCAAGAGAGACAGAAGTCTGGACATTTGCTGGGATACTGGGATGGCAACTCCAATGCAGGAACTAGAAACCTGGCCAGGATCTGAGAAAATGAGGGGCTGGAGAAAGACCCAGACCTCTCCAGATCCTCAACAAATACCCAGCATCACCCATCCCCACCAAGAAGCCCCACGGCATTCTTAAACAGAGGGGCCTGAGAGTCCCAGGAAGGTGATGTCTGCTGAAAGGCATCGCTGGGACCACAGGGCACCTGTGGGCAGAGCCCTTGCCAACTGAGCCACTGCTGCCCGTGAACACCAATGGGCACCAGCTCTTATTCCACGGAAGCAGACGATGGAAACCAAACATGAGTCTTACCCTCCTTCGAAGATTTTGATCCTCGCCGGCTCCCCTCTCTGGGAGGCAGGAGCATCCTCCTCCGGCTCCCCTCTCCTCTCTTCTTCCTTCTCCACTCTAGCTAGATCTTTCTGGCCTTCCGGGGAAACCAGTGAAGGGAGGTGAACCTGGCCCACCGCAGGAATGACAAAATCATTGCTGGTTAAAAGTGCATCCTCAGTCACGAATGCAATGCTAATAATCATGCCTTACACAGTACTGCACAAGTACACATATGCAATCTTCACACTCCCCCATGAAGAGGTGCTATTAGCTCCACTTTACAGAATTAAGGAAACTGATCCCCAGAGAGAATTCCCTTATCCAAGGCCATGCCATTAGTTGGTGTTACAGCTGGAACCCTGTCTCTTTCATGTTAACCTCCCATAAGACCTGTGTTTGTTCTCTGTCTTTTACACTAGTCTGGGAACTCCTGGGGACAGGTCCTCATCTTGGTCTCCTTGGGCACCCCAGAACCCCATACAGGGCCTGTCTCAGAGAAGAGGCTTAAATAATGTTGAACACATGAACAAGGCTCCACTCTGCCTTTGGAGATGAACTGGTCCAGTTCTTGTTTATAGATCAGAAAGCTAAGGTCACCCAGCGAGTTAAGGGCAGAGCTGGGAGCAGAGCACAGGTCTCTTGCTTCCAGGATCTTGGCCCTCCTGAGCTAGTACCAAAGGCCAGGAGCTGGGCTGAGGACCCTGACCAGCAGGACGTCCCCAATTCCACCATAGAGACAGGCACAGAGAGGCTGTGCAGGCTCTGGGCTGTTAGTCCTGCAGGACCCACGCTCTTTACAGAGCCACACCTCAGTGATGAGAGCTAGCTTAAGGGGAGAGCTGGCATTGGCTTTGTGCTTCCTGGACATCTTCCACTATCCCAAGAACACGTCCTGTAAACACTGCAGTGTTGTCAGGGGTGGGTGCACTTTTGCCTAGGGAGCAGAAATGCTGTGCTTAGGGGCTGGGAGTGAGAATTTCCTCCTACTTCATGCCACTGTCATTAAGGTCATGAAAAACCATGCTGTTTCCATCCAGTGAATGAAGCAACCACATTTCCTGATGCTGGGGCAATCTAAGAACGGCAGTCCCCTTTGCCAGCCACCACACCTGCCCCCACAAGGACAGCATGGGGCTAGGTAGAAAGGTGACTGGCTGGGAATCAGGGAGTCTGAGTTCCAGCACCAGATAGGCCATGGCACACTGGGCTGCCGTTTGGTGGATGACTTCACCTCTCTGGGCCTCAGAGTCTGAGGGGATTTAGACCATCTTGAAGATCAATTCCAGGGCAACTTCTGTGACTCAGTGACCACCAAATAATCTCTTCAGATTTGGAGGAGGGGAGTGGAAACCGAGCAAGAATCTGGACTGCTGCTTTGGCAGAAGGCAGCTAGTTTTCTGCAATACCCTTGGGTTTCCAGAGCCTACCATTTCCACTGCACCCCGGCCTGAGATCTAGACTGTCCATGTAATGACCAAGGTGCCTCCCACAGGCAAACAGACTACTTCTCCCTCACAGCCTGCCGTGATATCTGGGCCACACTGGAGGAGGCTGGTTTGGGTGGCAGTGTACCACTTTCCCAGGAAACACAGTGTTGGAACTGAGCAGGGACCAGGGATCCATTTTAGCTTTTGATGACAACAATATGAATAAGTATAGTTAAAAATACTTACTGAGTGCCAGTGTGGCATACACTGTTCTAAGCACACTCCGCATGTCTTAACTCATTTAATTATCTCCACAGTCCTATGCGCTAAGTGTTATTATTATCCCTATTTTACAGAGGATGAAACTAAGGCTCAGAGAGGTGAAGTTATTGGCCCAAGGTCACATAGCCAGTAGGTAAGGTAGTGGGATTCAAACCTGGGCAACTTGGTACCTGAGTCCTTGTTCTTAATCACTTTGTGACAGTGCTGTGTTGTTGTCAAAATGATTCCCAAGGAGGAAAAAGGAAAGAATGTGGCTACAAAGTGGACTCTGAACAAGCTGGGGTTTCTCCAGGGTTTATACGTGGAAGAAAAGATCTATGACCAAACAAAAACATCATGGGGTGTCCTAGACCTGCATGAAGATGGTTTGGAAGAGCTTCAAAATGCTAAGATAGACCTAAGGACTTTTTCAGAACTACTAACAGAGAATGGAAGCCGCAAGCTGACAAATGTCAGCTCAGTACAGTAAAGAACCTTCTTAGAGCACTGTCCAAAGATGAATTGGACTGCATCATGAGATGGTGAGTTCCTCTTGCTGGAAGTATGCAAGCAGAGACCAGAGAGAGGTGTAGTTGTATAAAAGGCCTTAAGCCATAGACCATGTGGTTATACTAATGTACCAGATTGGTGCAATTCTGGAAGGAAACATGCCAGTGAACCAAACAGAATATTCCAAGAAAAAGTTCGCAGGTTTTAGGAGCACTATAAATAAATAATTGCCGAATCCAAATTAACACTTCCTTTCTCTTAAATGGCCTGTAACATTTTCAGTCATTAGAAACTAGAGGCAGCTTAGATAATTCAAAAGGGCATTGGAGTAAAATCTAGTTTTGATCTAGGCTCTGCCATTTACTGTGTGGCCTTGTGAAAGTTACTTAACCTCTCTTGTGTTTTGGTCTCCTCATCTATGAAATGGTGATATTGCACCCTAACTTTCAAGTTGGTTGTGAGGAGAAAAGTAACATTTAGCATAGTACTTGGTACATAATAGGTATCCAAAAAGTTAGCAGTATGAATAATTATAACAGCATCTTGGGAGTGGCCACAGCTAGTAAGAGACGCTGAAGAGGAAATTAGCAGGACATTAACACAAAAGTGGAAATCTTGGTCAGGGATGTCTGTAGACTGACAAAGACATCTAGGGAATAAATTTGGAAAACAGTTCTGTGAAGAACATCCAGTCAAGCTAAGGACAAATTCAATGCACAAAGTTCACTGAATGACAAAAGGGGAAGATATGAGAGCACAGGAAATTATAGAACACAGTTGTGCTCACTTATCTACAATATGAATTTGGTTTAGGGAATTTAGACCTAATTTGGTCAGAGCTTCTGGTCTGAAGACACACTAATAAACATTTTTTAATTTGCAGTCAACTTTTAAGATTTTCTCTCCTCAAATAATTAAAAGAAGAAAAATAGACTCTTTGGAGTCAGATAGGTCTGGGTTCAAATTCTGGGTTTGTTCAACATTTGCCAGATTATCTTGACCTTTCTCAGACTCTGACCCTCAGTTCCCTAAGCTATAGAAGGGAGATGGTTATGTTACTTCAGAGGTGGAGGTGAGCAGTGACCAGATTCAAGGGCCCAGCACAGTGTCTGGCACCATGAGGCTGCTCAGTAAACAAGACCAGCTGTTATTCCACAAATGCCAAGTCAGCACAATCCAAATCCCTAGGCTGGCCTTGTCAGGGTATGGTGGTGGCTTTTGTCTGACATTTGAAATTATTGAATTTCAAACTTGCTGAGCTTTCAGGGGACGAGTTCATTTTATAGCTCCTGATGTAGCCTCAGATCAAAGGCAATGAAAGCGTAAACATTAGCGTTTCTTGACCACGTAGCACAAATAGGTCAAACTGTGAGTGGCATTGCCATCCACTGGTAAGGAGGGATACTGCAGCTCAGCTCCATTTGCTGTCTTACTCCCAGAAAAGGAAGAAGGAATATTTCAGGAGTTGTTTGTGCCAAATTCTAGAATCTTGGAAATGGGAAGATTTAAAGTGGTACTAGAGAATGGAAACAGCAGATGTAAGAATTAAGAAAAGCAGGAAAAGACTAACAAGACAAGGGATATCCATATAATGAAGGAGAGGTAAAAAGTTCTAAAATTGCTACAGGCATTCCTGTTAGCCAAGTTTTCCAACTCAGTCTTTTGGAAAATTTCTTTTTTTTCTTACTGAGACTGTATCTTTGATTTCACAACAGAAATTCATGGCAGAGCAGGATCACTTTATGGCTAACTTTATTGAAGTGTATCTATTCCAATGATATGAGGGATACAGTGACAAAGAAACTCAATAAACATGTTTCCTTGTAAGGTGACCAGTCTCAGCTTTCAGAGAGGAAATCTGACTACTAGTCTGGCTCTAGTTCTGCAACTGGAACCTGAGGATACTGTGGCTTTAAAAGCTCGCCAAGTGCTTTTGCAAATCAGTGATGAGAAGAAAAACAAGGCTGAACTTACCTCTGTCATGCGGGGCTTGCGGGAGCTGGATGGCACAAGCCTTCCTGCCTCAGGATGCGGAGCTGTGGCCATGGTGTATGTCTCTTTGCTCACTTTCTGCTTAGACCTCAGGAGGGACAAAGCAGCTTTAGTGGAAACCCCCGGAAGGTTGGGGTTGTACAAACTTATGCACCAACCAGCGTAAACAGAGGACCTCCTATCTGCATGCTGGATGTGATTTGGCTTAATGTAGTTTAAATAGCACCAACTGACATTAGTGGTTGTGTGGAGGCTGGGGAACTGCAGTACCTTCTTTGAGTCCGTACCTTCTTGTGACTTGGCTGGTCTGGAGGACGTTTCTGACAGAGGCAGAGAGCTCGGAGGTGCCAAGGAGGGGAGATCAGGTTGTTCCTTGGAATCTTCTTTCTTCACGCTCAGTGGGGTCAACCCTCTTCGGTGAGGTTTGCCAGATGGCTGGGGATATTCCTTCAAAGCTTCTGAGCCTGGGGCTGTCCCATGGGACAATGCAGGGTGAGGGAGGGGAGGAATTTCCTTTGTGTCAGATGGATCTGAGGACAGGCTGGACAGCATTTCTAGCTCCCTCCTGCCTTGGCCCTGGTTGCCTAAGTGGGATTTCTCTGGCCTCTTCCCATCCTCGGTGCTGGTAAGGACCACACTGCATGGTTTTACCAGCTCAAGTTTTTCATCTGCCTTGGAAGCCTCCTCCTCCTTCACTCTTTTTTGCTGCTGGGTTTCCATGGTAAGTTCAAGGCTGCCAGCTGGTGAAAGGACACGTTTGCTTCCCCCTGCTGTTGATGAACTCCCCTCCAGGCTCAAGATACTCTCTGATGACAGGGAAGTGCCTTTTCTTTCAGGTAATGTCACAGGCACTCTCAGGTATGGAGTTGGGAAAGCTCTGCTTTGCTCTTCACTTAACCCAGAAGGGCCGGGCCCAACCTCATGCACATCTGCACCACATACAGTCGTCCCCTTTGATGGGGGTTCCTCAAACTTGGGAAGTGCCACAGTTGCTGAGCTGCCTTGGGACTGGGTGACCAAGATCTGGGAAAGGGTGGTGTACATTGCGCTCCCATAGGACGGCATATTGGTCTGAACACGGACAGGCACAACCAGGGACACCATGGTGTCTGGACAGGCAGGCAGGGCCAGTGGAGGAGCTGATGTAGGTGCTGAGGAGCTGGCTGGGGGAGCCACAGGGGGTAGCCGGATGTCACTGCTGTACTCTGTGCTGGGGGAGAGGCCAGCACTTCCTGTTGCCAGTGGGGCCAGGCTGGTTTTGATCTGGGGCAGATGGCTTTCCACATCACCAGGGAGCTGAAGTGCAAACTGGGATTGCAGAGGCAGGAAAAACCCAGAAGACAGTGCTGAGGAGGTCGGGTATGGCATGGGGAGGAAGGAAGGGGGCTGCCTGAAGGGGATGTTGGCTGGGTGAGGCATGAGCTGGGGGAGATGGAGTTGGCCTGGGTGCAGAACAGTAGGCTGGAGAGGAAGCGGTGGGGCTTGAAATAAGGAGGGAGGAAGTGGGGGCATGGAGTATGGTGAGGACAGGAGGCTGGACATGGCCTGGGTGGAGAAGAATTCTGGAGACTGTCCTGGCTCATGCTGCACGAGATGCTGGAAGGAGAAAAGGGAGACTGGTGGGGGCAGGTATGGCTTCTCATGCAGGGGTGTCTGGGCAACGGGGTGGTGGAACACTTGCAGTGCTTCTGTGTAGGGCACAGTGGGCCCCAATGGGGGCCTGTCCTGCCCTGGGCCCTTGCCTCCCGGGGGTCCACCATGTGAGGTGGCCGCAGAGGAAATCTGGGACAATGAGCTTTTGGCAGAGGGTTTACTGGATGAGGGCTGTGGTTCTTCGCTCTCCTGTCTTCCCTTGGGGGCAACCTCCAACTCAGATTCTGGAGGCCTGCTCAGAGAGGCCTGTCTCACCAAGAAGCATTTTCTTCTCTCTGGCGGGGCCACCCGCGCTGGTGGAGCCACTGGGGCTGGAGCAGAAGGGCCTGTCAAGGACAAGCTGCCATAGTCAAAGGATTTGCTGCGTGTCTCGGTCATGTGGGCAGAATGGGAAACGTTGGGGCTCTGCTCTGAGGCTGACCTCCGCATCTCTCGGGCATGTGGGTGGTGGCTGGGGACAGTCAACATGTGGGTGCCCAGGGGTTTGGGGCGCATGTCAGATGAGGGACTGGGGGCCTCGGCTTTCCCATGGTCATCCCTCTCAAACGAGGCTGAGCGGCTGGACCCACTCAAAGAGACATTGCTTTCCTGGCTCGGGCTGCGAGACAGAGGCACAGAGGACTCGAAGCTGGACTCCCCTGATGATTGGGCCATCTCTGCCAGGCGCAACCTCTTCTTTTTGGGTGGCAGCTTCTCAGCTGGGAGCTGGGCAAGTGTCTGGCTGCGCTGGGGCCATTGGAACTCCTCAGTCTTCTCAGGTTCCTTAGGGGGCGGCTCTGGCTCTGTGTCCGGCCGGTCAGGCTCCTCAGTTACTAGGATCTCAGGAACCTGAATGTTGGGCTGGCGGACCAACTTAGGCTGCAGGGAGTGAGCAGAGCGTCCGTGTGGGGCAGGTGGGGGTGATGGGAACTGGGCCAGAGGTTTGTCTTCCCCTTCCAAGCCACTCGGCTGCTCGAGAGAATCAGATTTCTCAAAGGAGCTGGTGTGCTGGATGACAGAAATTTCTTTGGACGTTGTTCTCCTCTCCTTCCCTGATTCTGAACCGGACCCTGGCTTGGGAGTCCTTGGCTGGAAGCCCGTGGGTCCCTCCAAGGAGGGCACTGATTTACTTGGTTCTGCTGGTGACTTGGTGGACTCCAGGGGAAGGTTCCGAGCAGCATCAGATGGCCCGGGGCTGCCAAACTGACTTTTTGTGGACTCAAAGGCAGGTGGCTCTTCCTCGTCCCCAAGGCTCTTCTCTTTCCTCCTCTTCCTCAGTGGAGTGAGTTCCAGGGTGGTTCCCAGTTTGTAATGCATCATTTGGGACCACGGCTCATGCTCAATCTGACTCTTTTCAGCTTCTGGAGATGTGTGGGTGCCTGCAGAGATGGGCTTTGCGATCTGAAGCTCTGAGCAGTAGTATTTTTTGTGGGCTTCGTAGTTATCCCTTTTCTTGTACCGAGCACCACATATGTTACATTCGTAGATCACCCCTTTTGTTTTCAAACCCTTCTTGGTCTTTTTGGTAAGCTCGCTTTCCTTGGGTTCCACTTCGTCCGAGGGCTTGGAGGCTGTGTCTTTGCTGCTTGGGCCAGGCTCCTCAGAACTGTATTCCCCTCCCAAAGGTAATTCGATTGCCGGCTGGCGCTTCAGCATCCGGGGGTGGGAGGTAAACACGTGACTGCTGTGGCTCAGGGCTTCGGAGTCGGTGATATGGTCATCGAAGGAGTAGCTACCTCGGAAGGGGTGGTGGGGGGTGCTGATAGTGCAGGCGGCAGAAGGCATTGAGTGGCTTCTCAGGAGAGGCACAGGGGGGGCGGTACTGGGCGGGTGCTGGAGGCTCAGCAGTGATTGTTCAGGCTTGGTTTTCTCACTGTGGGATGACAGGGGCTCCCGGTAGAGGCTGGATTTTGGGGACTCCATGCTGCTGCGCCTGGACAGTGAGCTCCGCCTTGGCTTCACGCTGTCGATCTCGCTGGTGTCCACCACGGCCTCGTTGATGGTGATGAGCTTCGTGATGTGCTCGATCACCTGCGTCCGGGGTACAGACAAAGGCACCAGGCTGGGCTTGTCTTCGGTGGACAGGGGCAGGAGGGGCTGGGTGGAGGTGGCTGTCAGCATGGCGGTCCGCTGTCCTATTCGCCCACACTTGCCAAAGATGATCTCAGCGTAGGACTTGGCGTTGGTGTTTGGGGGGCTGACCTGCTGCTCTGCACTCTCGGAGCGAGAGAAATACCCAGACTCAGTACTCCCTTTGCTGCCTGGGCTCAGAAACGCCTGCTCATCGATCACCTTCTTCCTCTCGCTTAAGCGGAGGGCCAGCTTCTGCTTAATCGTGTGGGTGTCTTCAGGTTTATGGCTCAGGGGGTGCTCAGATGAGGGTTCCACAAATGGAGGGGGGTCTTCGAGTGACTGGGCTGTGCTGGACTGGGACAGGGAACAGCGTTCGTGGCTGGAACTGTGGCTCCCAGAGCTGTATAGCCCGCTGGAGAGAAGGGGCTGCTTGGGTCTTGGGGAGAGCTCTGCAGGGTGACCAGAGGTGGCACTAGTCTCCTCTTCAGAATCTGTGCTTTCTCCCTCAGTGGGCTCCTCAAACTCTTCCCCAGGGATCCGCTCCATCTCCAGCCCATGTGGGTACATCTCGCCACCCATGCCTGAGGCCAGGCCTGCTTTGATGCGGTGGGCATGGGACTTCCTGTGCTTGTAGAGATTACTCTTGGTCTTGAAGGAGAAGCCACAGGGGCCGCAGGGGTAGGGCCTCTCACCTGTGTGTGAGCGAATGTGCTTCTGGAGCACGCTGGGCTTGGCACAGGGCCGGCTGCAGTACTGGCAGATGTACTTGCCTGGCTTCTGGGGCTTCCTCTCCTTCTTGTGTGCCTCTTCTGTGGGCTTCAAGGAGACCTGGGAAGGACGAGGCACGAAGACTTTGGGGACTCCAGGAAGGTCCTCGGGGGGAATGATGGAAGCGTGGGAAGGAAGGAGCTGGCTCTGAGGATGGAGCCCAGGGGCCACGAAGGAGCCAGAGGGTCCAGGTCTCATGGGGTCAACCAGTTGCCATGTGGACCCCTCCAGGAGATGCTCAGGTTTGCCAGGCGACATGAATGCTGGTGTCAGAGGGTGCTGCGGAAGCTGTGAGATGTGGACGGATGCTTCGATGGGGGGCCTTTTGGGGGGCTTCTGCTGCTGGCCCGTTTTCTCCTGAGAGCCTTCCCTAAGAACTGATGAGGGGCCCGGGAAGGGCTGCGGGGCTAAGAGCTCTTGGGCGGGGCTCTCTTGGGTGGCAGCTGTGCCGCTGCCTGGGTATGGGACGCTGGAAGAAACACTGGTCTGAATGGCCTCTCCTTTGGTCAGCCGCTTCCGGGGACTTCCCTCAGCCTTCTTGGTGCCCTTGACACTTTGTTCAGGATCCATGACCTTCACAAAGACTTCAGATGCTATTCAGGGAGAGTCAGGGCGGGCTGCATTTATGAATAATCCCAGTGTCCCAAGGAGGTGTCCAGCTTTGGCCACATTGGTCAAGAGCTGTGGGAGCCAAACCCAAGACGGCTTTGGGAGTTTTTTGCAAGTGTCACTGGCTGTGAGTGGACTCGGAGCAGGTCATCAGGGCCCACGCTATTCTATTGGTGAGGCATGGCCCTCTACTTTGCAGACAGAAAACGCACCAGCACTTTCTGCCTGAATGTCTGTCGGGAAAACGTCATGAAGGATGTCAGTATTGCCATTGTATTGTTTCAGCTGGCAGTGGCAGGTGGCCCCCACGAGTCCCCCGTGTGCTATGCAAACGGTTGAAGGTTGGAGACATCTGTGTCCATGGCCCAGTCATCCCTGGTCCTGGCACAAGAGATGCCACGCTGGATGCTGGGGGTGGCTCTTCTCCCCTTTAGTTCTGGGTTGGAGATCAACGGCCTTGGAGGAGAAATCACGCTCTTCTTCTGTGTGATAGATGTACACACACACAGAAATACACACACACAAAAGAGAAGACAGAGTTACTGGGACTCATGCACAGCCTGGGCAGCCCAGACTCGGTGCCACACCTGGCTGAGACCCCTCAAAAGTTAACCAGGGAAACTCAAGCAGAACCACAGGCTCCGGCTCCACATGTCCAAGCCCTGCAATTCTTTCCTCCCCCGCTCCCATGTCAGTGTTGGGTGACCTGAATGCCAGTGTGTTTCTGAGGACTGTGGCCATGTGGGATGCTGAGAACAGAAGGCAAAGTGGGCTCTGGGAACTGCAGGGTGGTTAGGGACAGAGGCCTGGGCTCTCATCTCTGTTTTGTGATCCACTCTGAGTGGGTCTAAGCTCTCTAAGCCTCAGTTGCCTAATCGGTAAAACAGATAACAAATCCTGCCTCGACTGTGCCTCGGAGCTGCAGTGGGCCCAATGACATTGGAGATGCAGATGCTGCTGGGTGAACTCTGGATGGGGCCATGGCTGGTGCAGGAGGGAAGTGCCTGTGGTTTATTCAGGGGTGAGTTTTCCAAGGGGTAGATTATTCTCAGGTTAGTATTTCTCTCTGGCCCTGGGTTCTGAAAGTGTCCACAAGGGACATCATTCACTGCTTTTTACCCCATTGCTAACCCGCACCCCAGCCCATGTTTGAAGACAAAACTGCAAACTACTGCCACAGCCTGTGAGAACTTACAATCTGACACAGCTGTGACCATTTGCTTGATCCAAGCAATTGCCAGGAGGATCATTCTGGAAGGTTCCTCTGGCTTTGCAGCCTTTCCTTGTCCAGTCAGTGCCCTGGGGATGCCATGGAAATATGGGGATCATTGCCCTCAAGTGGAGGAGCAAAGTTGGTCTGCATATAGCCCCAAGTGTGTGCCTCCTCCTAGGGCCAGCTGCAAGCAGGGCAGTCTCAGCTTCCTGGGCTCAGGTGCATCCTCAGGGCCCTCCTCCCCAGGAACAGGGTCGGAATCCCAAGGCTGGAGTCACCATGGACTCCATCTCACCCAACCACCTGACTTTGGACATCATGAAGATGGCTTACTGAAGGTCCCGTGTTGCTAACAGGCAGTGTTGCCACCTGGACCCAGGCCTCCCATGGCCAGAGTTTGTTCCCCAGCCCCTTCTCAGGTGTCCATCCCCTGGCATCCCTTGGCGAGGCCCTGGGTGAGTGATGAGCATCTCTGTGCTTGCTTTTTCTCCTGTGAGCATGCCCTACCCCCGGCATCCTGCCCTCAGGCTCCCCTCATGCTCACACTCTTCGTTTCACTAGGTGTGTGATGATACAGACTTGAAAATGCCACTTACTACATTTTTGCAGGTGCTCAGAAGACGAACAAGTCTTTAAGACTCAAATAATTGTCTCTTAAAGGGCAGGGCCCTCGGACACTGTGATATGCTTTGGAGGAGCAGGTGATTTGATCTTTTAGCTAAAAAGCATATCCTCTAAGTTCACTCCTTTTGTGTGCCTTTTCTACTTGGTGCTACAAAGAATTCAAAGTAACTATAACAAAACCATATTTATAGAAGAATGACAAACTATAAATATGAGAAAATCATAAATAAGAATAACAAATCAGAACAAAGAAAATGGAAATAAGGCAAAAAGTCAGGATTGGTGGGATAAAAAGAGTACTGCTATACCAATAATAAGGACTTATGGTGTTTCTATAATTCAGCTATATATTTATATATGAGCTTCCTGGCAGCCAAGGAGAAAAGGGAGATTTGGTCCATTATGGAGTCTTATAGCCAGACAGGATGGAACATCTAAGTTTCTTGCAAAACTTTTTCATGTAGCACTTCAGTCAGGAGCAGTGAATGATGCAGGAGATCATTTATGTCTTCAATGACACCCCTCTGGTCATTGAATACAGTGACGGATTCAATGACATCCCTCTAGTCATTGGATATGGTGCAAATACAGTGATTGATATTTGTCAATGAAAGACTGTGTATCAGCAGAGATTCTCCTATGAGCAGTCAAAGGCCTCCTGTGACTTGTACCAAAGCAGGCTGAGTGTGGGGAAGACAGACAAATCTCATTTCATTAGATTACATCTCAGTCAACAGGGTGGCCATATAAGATACCATCCAAACTGGGACACTTGGAGAATGAAATGGGAACTACTAACAGTCATCGAGGAACAACAGGAATAAACAAAGACAGTCCCAGGCAAACCAGGACAAAATGGTTACCCTTACAATTAATATTTGCCTTACGGCCAAAACTAGGCATAAGTGCCAACTGTCTCTGGGTGTCTCATACATACTTTTGATCTCTTCTATGGAGACTAAAGTTACACCGTGATCTTCTGATAGATTCTTAGAGACTGACTGTCTAGTCCATTCCTCTCACTTGACAGAAGAGACTGAAGGCTAGAAAGGTGATATGATTTTCCCTGAAAATCACACGGGAATGGTGGCAGGACTGGACCATCCTGTGCCTCTTGACCCCCCAGCCAGGACTGTCTCCCACCTCAATTAATAGAAGTTCTCTGTGGCTTCTGTGGCATGATGCGCACTGCAGTCTATGGCCCCTAGTCCTATGGAAGCACCGGCATGGCCCCAGGGGACATCGCTGTATCCACGGCAAGAGGGAGTAAGGAATTGTCTAGCATCTGAACAATAGAGTTGCCCTTTCAACCTATGTCCTAACCACACTGCAGCTGCTGGACAGAAGAAAGGGGAGCCCAGCAAAGGTCGGGGAACTCGTCCTGGCAGCCTTACCCCAGGTCTTGCTTACCTAAGCTAAGGCGGGCAGAAGTGCTGAGCCTTCTAAAAATCAGACATGGTAGACATGGTTTGCAGCACAGAGAGAACTGCTCTTTGGGCTGGGCTGGGCCTCCTCAGCCTGGCTGCACTGTGATGGAGAGGCCTTTGGGTGCTATGTGTGGATAATCAAGGGTTGGCTATACTTACTATTCTTATTGATCCTTTCATGCAAGGATCTGAGAGCAGCCCCAAAACACCAGCTAGTGGTAAGCTTTGCTTCTTCCGATGGATGGATGGGACCCTGCAGCATGACTGGGTGGTGAAATGATCAATCTGAGTGGGGGTCAGCTGGCCAGGCAGGACTCTACATTGCTTAGTCCTGCCTTCTCCCCTCACTGAGCCACAAGGCTCTCCTTGGCAGGTGGTGGAGCGCCCAGCAGCTGGGGTTTGGTGCAATTCCCAGGGCCAGGTGGGAGGGGCAGGGTAGATGAAGGAGACAGTCAGATGACTGCTGCATCATCAGATGACTACAGGGCCAGCACTGCCTGCCCAGGGTCAGTGTCCAGCCTGCACCTGTGGGCTGGACATGGTGTTTCTCCAAGCAGAGGCCTCCTACCCACACTTCTGAGTGGGGAGCAAAAAGGCCACAGGAGCACCGTTGGCTGCCAGGGCGCAGAGTGAGCGAGGCCTGTGAGCTGGAGGGGCCACCCTGTCATTCTGCACAACAGGCATCTGAGCCATGGTGGAGGGTGGCTAGCCCAAGCCACACTGGGGCTTGGACTTCTGGACTAGTGCTCTCTGCCAGCCTGCTCTACCACACCATGACAGGTCTGAAGTGCTTAAGAGGAGGGGCAGGGGGAGAAGGGCAGCCAGGACCACAGGTGCAGATGTAGGGGAACCTGCAGGACCTAAGGAGACTTCTGTCTTGGAATGGATTCCAAATGTGGTGCGGCATAAACCGAAGGACCGTTCTAATGACTGTGACCAACAGACACTAAGAAAATGGTTCTTTTCTACCTTCTGTGGTTCTGAGGGTATGTGTGAAATTTTAACACAAACTTGAAGTGATAAAGAAAAGAGCCACTTTTCCAGGGAATTGGTGAGAGCACCTGTAAAAGTCACCAGAGAAATGGGCCCAGGAGCTGGGCCAACAGAGGCCTGAACCCCAGACCAGAAGAGGATGGACAGCCTCTACTGATGGTCACAGAATGGGCCATGAGGCCAGTGAGAGCTCTCGCTCAGAGACCAGCTTATAACCCTGAGGGGAACCTGAGCTTCAGCAGCCAACTGGTTAGCTCCCACTTCAAGAAGCTTCCTTTGGTCTAGCTGTGGGAGCAGCCCAATAGGAAGGAGATCGGGACTTGCTGGGGTTGGAGCCACAAAAGCCTCAGGGGAGTGGGAAGTAATGGAGGAGCCCGGGGCCAAGGCAGGGAGGCCTGAAGCTCTGGAACCAAACTGGAAAGCACCTTCTGTATCGAAGGCGTCAGGACAACATGACCATGGCCCAGGGTGGACACCCCAGAGGACATTTCCAGAGGGCAGGTGGGAGATGGGCTCTCTCAGGTAGACAATTCCACCAGTCCTGGCAGGAGGCCAGCTTGAATCTGCCTTGGGCTCTAGACTGAGGAGCTGGGGTCCCCGGTCAAAGTTAGATAAGGCTGGGGCAAGATAGGGGCAGGGGCCTGATGTCCAAGGAGCTGTTAGGCTAAGCTGGCCCCAGGCTGGTGGGGCTTAATACAGCTCTTTGCTTGTAATTTACTTACACACACACACCCCCACATATCCCAACATGCCAAAATCTGGTCAAAAATTTTACTGGCAGTAATAAAACATACTGATGTCAAAAATATAAGAAAACTTTCCTATTAACTTTAATACCTGGGAACCCAGGGCACAAGGCCACAGGCTGAAGAGGAGGCACTCAGTAAATATTCTTATTTAATGACCTAGCAACAAAGCCAGTGCCCCTTCTAAAAATCTCTGTGTACAACACTCTGTGTGTGTGCATGTATGCATGTGTGTGTTTAAGCTGGAGCAGAATTCTTCACTTGCAAAAAAATACTAAAAGTGGCTGTGGGCTCAGGTGGTGGCAAAACAAGCCAGATATAAGCATATGGGTCTGGAGACTAACAGGGATTGGTAGTCAAAGAGTCACAGAAGGATGTCTGGGCAAAGAGAGAGGCCAAGGTCAAGGCGGAGCTCTGGCTGGGAACAGGGATTGTGGCAGAGACTGAATATTTCTTCCATTAGCCAGTTCTCTTTCTTGTAGTAATCAAAGGCCCCCAAGCTGGGTCTATGGCCACCAGCTAGAGGCTGCCTTTCCCAGCCTCTCTTGCAGCTAGTTCTGGCCAATGATGTATGCAACTTCTAGGCCACAGCCAGAAGGAAAAGTGCTTGCCCTCCACCTCTCCATTTTGTCAGGAAGGAACATGGATGTGGTGGGGGTGAGCCAACTGTGACCACATGGACAAGAACATCACCCCAAGGAACAGTGGGACAAGAAGACAAGAAGACAGTGTGAAGCAAAGCCACCTGCCCCTGAGAGAGACATACATCTTTGAGCTTGTTACTTGGTCCCTTTTGGAGCAGTTGAACAAATACACTAACTCATCCAGGGGATTGGAGTGTGATGTTGGTGTCTGGGAGGCTGAAAAGGGTTTGCCAGAACCCAGGTCTAGGTAAGTGGGGACACAGGGAGAGGTAGCAACACAGATCAGGGTTTAGTTCTAAAGCACAAGACAGGCACCTGTAGCAAGGTAAGCATCCAGCCACTAAACCCATGCATGCGGCAACACAGCACAGCGACTCCCAAGGTAGCTTTGAGACTCAGGCAGCCTGCAGCTGAACCCTGGCTCCTCCACCTCCTAACTGATGGTCCCCTAATCTGGACACCCCTCTAAGCCTTAGTCTCCCCATCTGTAAAAAGGGACAGTAAAACTGTCATGTGTGGTTTAAATTGAGTTGACTCATATAAATCTCTTGGCATGGCACCTGACATATAGTAAGCATTCAATAAATAATAATCATCATTGCTATTGGAGAAAGCATTTCTGTGGAGGGGCTGTCATGGCTGTGTGGAAAGATCTCTAGACTAGATTCCAGTCCTGGCTCTGCTGCTTTTAGGCTGACAGGCTGTCATAAGACTGACTGGGGTTACCATGTATGTAAAGTCCCGGGCACACAGCTGGTGCTCAAGAAATGAGAACCAAGGTTGAATTCGGAGGTCAAAGCAGGGCCCCCACAGAAACCAGTGTCACACTGACCCACCAGGATATTGGGAGAGACCTGAGTTCCCCTAAACAGGGGAAGCATTGGTTCTTGAGTTGGGCAGAGCCTTGGCCTGCATGCTGGAGCCAAGTGGTCCTAGCAGTGGGGATAAGAACACAGGCAGGCGATCAGGTGGTGAAAGGTCTGATGGATCTGACTTTATGGGATACTTTTCAGATTGAAGGCTTCATACCAACCCAGGGCACAAGCTAGAACTGATAATCATGGATGAAAATCATCACGATCCTGGCACACAGCTTTCCAGGCCACCAGATCCATCTTCCTGACTCCATGGAAGCCACACTAGATGGTTCTCCTACTGAGATTGAGACTTTGCAGCCTCCAATGTACTTCTTGGTCACTGGATTTTCATGAGATAATGACCATTCAGTGAGGACCATGGCAGAGCGGCTCTGTCTTGTCAGTGTCCTGAATTCTAGCCTCGATTACTGCCAAATAGAAGAGTCACATGAGCACATTCCTGTCCTCAAACTCACAACACTTGCATCCCTCTTATTGCCATTTGATTCTGGGAGACACTGACTCCCAGAGAAGAGGCATGACCGACCCAACGAGAGCGGGCTGGGAAGTCTTCAAGCCAAACTAAAGACATTTCTGAGTCCTCCGATCTGCTGTTTGAGGTCAATTCCTCCTGAAGAGCAGGTGCTGCCTGACGCTGACTTGACCTGCTTGGGAGCTCTACAGGGGCAGAGAGGTCTGGGCTGCAGGTGGGACAGTGAGTAGCACACCTGGTGAGAGCCAGGGGGCTGAGCACCTGGGTCTCCTCACCACAGGCAGCCGGCTGCCTCCCTGGCTTGCTTTCTTCAACTTTCTCTGGGGGTTGGTCTGTGGGTTTCTTCCAGCAAGGGCAGATCAGGAGGCCTGGAGTCACCTTGGCTGCCATGGGTCCGGTAACCTGTGGCAGGAAGCCCTGGAACACACAGGTCTACTGTGTGACCCTAGGTAAGGCACTTTCCTCTCTGGGCCTCAGTTTTCCCTTCTGCAACATGAAATTGGGCTGAATGATCTCAAGATCACTTCCTTTCTGACAATTTTGGATTTTGAAATCTAAGACCAGGTGACAGTGTGGCCAACTGAAAAATACTGGCCACATTTCCTAGTTTGCTCAGGCTGGCTGCAATATTGACCTTAAGCTGAGGAGAATTCCACATGGTAACTTATGCCTCAAATTCCTGTTAGACCTTGGTCAAAGTGAGCATCCATCTAGTGATACCTGCTAATCTTTGTAAAAGGCAACCCTCCCCGTGGGACTGACTGAGAGGTGGACTGGCAAGGTCAGGCCCACCTACTGGCCCACCATCCTCTTGGCTTCTCTGGGGGAAGGGCTGGGGAAGGATCCTGTGCTGGCCTGAGCTATAGTTGCTGACACCAGGCAACCTGCAATTGTTGGTGGAAGCCCTGCCTTTTCTGCAGATGCTTGGCTCACCTATAACATTCTAACCTCACTCAGGTCAGGGTATCCCACAGCATTGACCTACCAGCAATCAGGGGGTTCTGTGCAGAGAAAACTACCCCTGCCCAGGGATCCGCATGTATCCCAGCAAGCAGCCCAGGCCTCCTGGACACCGGCTTCTGCCAGTCTAGGCCCTGGCCAGGTCCTGACCTGCTGACCCTCTCTTGGGCTGTCACCACCTCCACCCCTGTCCCCAGCCATGTCATCAATCCCCAAATCTGGTTGTTTCTGTCCCCTGCCTCTCCTTTGGGCTTGGGTTCCTACCCCTAGTTTTGTCGAGACCAGAAGTTCCAAAGACCAACGACAGAACAGAAATGCTGGGGAACTTTCTCCTTCTTTTAAACGAAAATTCTTAAATGAAAAATTACTTGAAAAATTTTAAACCACTGCAGAATTGTACCATCCTTGGCTCTTTCCCCTGAATCTCCCTGTCCCCACATGCCCCTCCCCAGAGAAGCTACAGTTAATTTAATATATGTTCTTCCCGACGTCCTAATGTATTTATATTGATCTGCGACTTGTTTTTTTTCTTTTTTTAAATCTATGTATGGATATCTAGGTTTACCTCTTTCTTTTTGCGGGCAGCAGCACTGTATTCCATTTTTGGCTGTACTCAAACTCAGCCAGTCCCTTACTGATAGATATGAAGGTTGTTTCCAGCTGTTTCTATTCCAAGAAATGCTACATAGAATATCTTCTGCATACTTGTATGAGTATATCACAGGCTAACCTCCTAGAAGGGAGAATACTTGATTAAAGGGGATACACCTTGAAGCTTTTCATGGGGACTGGCAAATAGCTCTTCAAAAAGCAGAAATTTACACTTCCGCCAATGGCGGGTGAGCACTATTTCCCTAACCTCCTGCCTATCTGGAATATAAACTGTCTCTTTAACATTAGCTAATAAGAAAGGCAAAATGGTTGTATTTGGTTCCCATTGCTGCTGTAAGAAATTACCACAAATTTAGTGGCTTAATGCAAAATTTACTATCTTATAGTTCGAGTGGTCAGACGTCTGAAATAGGTCTCACTCGGCTAAAAGCAAGGTGTCAGCAGGGCCACTTTTCTTTCTGGGGGCCCTAGAGGAGAATCCCTTTCCTTGCCTTTCCCAACTTCTAGAGGGTACCTGAATTCCTTGGCTCATGGAAGGCTCCCCTTCCACCTGCAAAGCTGGTAACAGCCAGCCGCATCTTTCTCATAACAAATCATTCTAATATTGACTCCTCTCTCCCTCTCCTAAGGACTCTTGTGATTACATTGAGTCCACCTGGATAATCTCTCCACCTCAAGATCCTTAATTAAATCACATCTACAAATTATCTTTTGCCATAATGGGCAACATATTCAGTTTCCAGGGTTTAGAATGTGGATAGTTTGGGGGTCCATTATTTTGCCTACCACAAAGATATCTTACGTTTCAGTTATAATTATTTTATTATTATTTTTTGAAATGGAGTCTCGCTCTGTTGCCCAGGATGGAGTGCAGTGACTTGATCTCAGCTCATTCCAACCTCTGCCTCCTGGGTTCATGCAATTCTCCTGCCTCAGCCTCCTGAGTAGCTGGGATTACAGGCGTGCACCACCACACCCAGATAATTTTCGTATTTTTAGTAGAGATGGGGTTTCACCATGGCGGCCAGACTGGTCTTGAACTCCTGACCTCAAGTGATCCCCTGCCTCAGCCTCCCGAAGTGCTGGGATTACAGGTGTGAGCCACCCCGCCTGGCCGATATCTTATGTTTTAAAACCTGTTTCTTGATCTCTAGAGAGGCTTAGCATTTTTGCATAAACATATTCAGTTATTTCATTTGGGAGACTATTTTTCTGGTTTACATAAACTCTTTTGATATTGAAGCTATTGATCCTTTACATATAGGTTGCAGATATCTTCTCTTTATCATTAGTCTTAGCTGTACAGAATTTTTTTTTGTTTCCATGTGGTTAAATGTACCATTAATTTTTCCCTTTATGACTTTTAGGTTTCACATCCAATATTACTTTTTAGAATGTCACCCAAATTTTCTTCTAGTTCCATTATGATTTATTTTTTCCCTCCTTTCCTCTCTTCTTTCCTTTCCATTGTCACCTTGGCTCCATCTGGCACTTATTTGTGTGTAAGGAGTGAGGTAAAGATAAAGCTTAAGTTTTTTTACTCCCTAGCTAGCCAGTTGTCCCAACAGCATTATTGAATAGTCCACCTCCCCACCTCTGAAATGTCTGTGGTGTCTGATAAAAGCACAGGTTCTAGCCCTATTCCAAATCCACTGAAATAGAATTTGTGGGAAAGGGACCCAGAATCTATATTTTTGCTAATTCCCCATGTGAATATTGTAAATCTGGCATATACTTTTCTACTGGCATTTGGGGAAGCTGATGAAATTCCTCCAACTGCCTCCTAATCACCTTGCTTCCAGGTTTCTAGCCTTCTCCCAGTCCACCCCACTCCACTATTCATTGTGGAAAGAGAAATCTCTTCAGTTGCCAAGCTCACCAGACCTCTCCCCTTGTCAGTAATTCTCAGTAGCTCCCCAATGCAGAGAGATTCAGCCATTGGCGTTTCAGTCCTGTCAAAATAGGGCCCACCCAGTCTTCCTGGCCTCCTCTCTCTCCATCCTGCTCTTACACTTTGAACTCTCTGCCTTTACACATTGTTGTTCCTGGTGGGACATGCCGAGAAAGGAGTCTGGAGACTAATTCCACAGAGGAGTCAGCATACCCTTGTTTGAGCTGGGTTTTGAACTATGGGAAGATGTTGATGGTGAGATTTGCAAGAAAGAGACTCTAGGTGGGAGGCTTGTGATGATTAATATCGAATGTCAACTTGATTGGATTGAAGGATGAAGAGGGTGTTGCCAAAGGAGATTAACATTTGAGTCAGTGGACTGGGAAAGGCAGACCCACCCTCAATCTGGGTGGGCACCATCTAATCAGCTGCCAGTGTGTCCAGGATAAAAGCAGGTAGAAGAACATGAAAAGACTAGACTGGCTTAGCCTCCTGGCCTACATCTTTCTCCTGCACTGGATGCTTCCTGCCCTCAAACATTGGACGCCAAGTTCTTCAGCTTTGGGACTCAGACTGGCTTCCTTGCTTGCAGACGGCCTATTGTGGGACCTCACCTTGTGATTGTGTGAGTCAATACTCCTCAATAAACTCCCCTTTATGTATACATCTATCCTAGTAGTTCTGTCCCTCTAGAGAACCCTGACTAATACAAGGTTCAATGTACGCAAAGCACAGGGGGCTGGAATGTGGCCACAGGAAATGTTTCAGGGCTCCAGGCAGGAGCCCCACGATGTGCTGGGATGGCTTCTGGACACTGGGAGGTGTTTCCACACGTCCCCTCCTAGGCCCCAGAATGACGAGATAAAGTCCCAAACTGTGAAGCCTCATTATGTCAAGCAGATCTTCTAACAGAGCTGTGGTCAGTGACTGCCCTCTGAAAGCAGGTGGAAGGCACAACTGGGTCCCCATGGGGTGGGCAAGGGCGCACTGCTGCTGCTGGGCTGGGCCATGCTTCCAGGGTGACCAGCCCCTCATACCCTCTGACCTGGATTCATTCATGGAAAACAGGCACAACCTAGAGTCCATAGATAGCCTGTGTTGGAAGGAAGAGGTTTTTTGCTAATCCAATGGGTCAAACAGTGCTGTTCCCCCAAGAAGCCTGGGATGTCTGCCTTGAGCCAGGCCTGTGGCTTAACCAGTTCATCAGTGTCTTCCAGGTGAACCTGCCTCCCCCTGGCCTGGGCAGGAACTAGGCTCCATTCAGATTTGCATTTCCAGTGCCTGATACAGAACTCCACACTCAGTAAAATATTAAAAATATTTAAAAACACTTAACTGACCACCTACCATGCCCAAACAAAACAAACATATTGATTCTTACACATCCCCTTTTTATAGATGGGGGCAGGGCTGAGGCTAATTGCTTCAGATCAGACACAAAAAGGCAAAGGCAGGATTTGAACCCTGAGTGCTGGCCAACATCCAGGAAACCCCCAAGGGCCCTGATCTTGGTCAGAATGACCGAGTGGATCCTACCTTCCTTCCCTGTATCTGAGATCCTCCAGGAAGTCTTCCCTGGTTAACTGCAGCCACCTACATACACTTGCATCAAAGTCCTCCCTGCATGCAAGTCACTCTGCATGACCATGTTAACCTTAGGGCTGAGTTTCTTGTTAACTGCTTTTTCCCTCAATAATGAATGGTGGATTTTTCACTGTCTGGGAGGCTCTTAAATCATTTCCCTTGGATGACTGGTCTCTGTGTTCCTACTTTTCCTTCTCCTCCTCCCTCCCAACTCCAAGACCTAAACAGGGCTTGGAATTTCTGCACACTGGTCAAAAAGCAAATTCTATCGAAAGCAAACAGAAGCCTAGGCAATCCTAGACGAGTTAGACCCGGCTGGTATTTGTCTTCCTGTTAGAGAGCTCAGGGATCCAGGTGAAACTGATATCACCAAGGAGAATGAAGTCTCCTGTGACATCCCCATAGAAAGCAAAAACACATTTCACAGTCAAGATCAAGCAATGATGTAGCAAAAACTCTACTCTGCCAGACTTGCAGAGGCCCAGATTTCCCCTGATTGTCTGTGGGCATAATAATTCAGAGGAAGATCATCTAAACCAATGTCCTGTGCCTAGACGGAGCAAATGAACTCTGACTATGTGCCAGGGCTGTTCTTAGTATGTTACGCAAATTCACTCATTTATTCCTCACAATGACCCTTCAGGCGGGTACTATTATCATTCCCATTTTACAGGTGAGGAAACTGAGGCCCAAAATCACAAAACTGATAAGTAGCAGAGACAGAACCTGAACTTGGACCATCAGGTGACTCCTGCAGTGGTGACCCTCAAGGCAGCCAGGCCACACCAGCCTCACAGAGAGGACACAGATTTGAATCACAGTCCTGACACTGCAGGTAACCAAACACTGTTTTTAGCAGCCTTCCTTTCCTTCATAAGGGCTAAGCTTGTTAACCTTTTTTTACCTTTCTCCTGGAAAAGTATCGACAGTGTTTAAGCCTTGCTTCCATTGAGACCAAAAATGAACTGACATTAGCTGCTACAGCCTTACCTCACCTACACACATCTACAAACAAGGCCCAGATGCTTGTAGCTAATTCACCTACTAAGTTATCTAATGTAATGTACATAGCTAGCTATCCACCTACCTATCTCATTGTTTATTTATATCCGATTTTTCCCATGAGGATTAAAAGAGGCATCTGGACACCCATGAGAACTCAGTGGGCATCTATGAACTTAACTCAACCTGTTTATCTTAAATGGTCCAGGAAGTGCTTGTGGGTGAAAGAGCTTAGGGAAGAACAAAGCCTGAAATGAGAGTTGCGCAGGCCCAGCAGGCTTGTCTTCTGGCCATTTGTGTCCAGCCAGTCTCTCATCAACACCGCCTAAGAGAGACCCAAATTCCACATTTGCTGCAGTGGCCTGATCTCTTGTCAGTTTCTGGCAGGTCTCTAGTGGTTCCTTTGATGGCATTTTGTTTCTATACACGTGACTGTGGCACAAAAGGCACACCTACCTACAAGCTTCCTAGGTAGTTAAGGTTCTTGTGTCTACTATGGAGAGCAATACATAGAATACACAATAATATATACACACACACACTATAAGATGAACCACAGAAGAAAAAATGACTGGGAGACTGGGTGACATACAGAGTGTAGTCCAACAGAAGAGGTGGCGACTGCCTGTGGCTTCTGTCATTCTTGCCCACATGGCAGGATAGATATAACTGTATAGTAATGATAAAGCAGTTATAACGATCACTCTACTGCAACTCATTTCTTCATTTCTCCACTCAGTCTGCAAGTACTACGTGGGCCTTCTCAATGCCAGGCCAGTAAGATGAAAACAGACATAAATCATAGGCCTTACTATAAGCTACAGTAATCAAGACAGTATAGTATCGATACAAAGAGACACAAGAAGATCAATGGAAACAGAGTAGGGTAAGGAAACATACTCCCACACATACAGTCACATGATGTTATTTATTTATTTATTTATTTATTTAGGGACAGGATCTCATTCTGTTGCCCAAACTGGAGTGTAATGGCACAATTTCAGCTCACTGCAACCTCCACCTCCTGGGCTCAGGTGATTCTCCCACCTCAGCCTCCCAAGCAGCTGGGACTACAGACACGTGCCACCATGCTCGGCTAATTTTTATATCTTTTTTTAGAGATGGGGTTTCACCATGTTGGCCAAGCTGGTCTTGAACTCCTGGGCTCAAGTGATCCACCCACCTTGGCCTCCCAAAGTGTTAGAATTACAAGTGTGAGCCACCACACCCAGTCTCAGTCACCTGATTTACAAGAAAAATGCATCTGATAGAGAAAGTAATGGTCTTTTCAATAAATGGCGCTAAAGCTATTGGATATCCATATTAAAAAATGAACCTTGACCCCCGATATCATACCATACACAGAAAACGAATGTGAAATGAATAAATGATAGGCCTGAATACAAAAGATTAAACAATAAAGCTTGTAGAAGAAAACAAGAAAATATCTTCACGGAACTTGGGGTAGGCAAAGATTTCTTACTCGATTGACAAACGCGTAATCACATAATCATAAAGGAGAGAAGCTAAATTGTGCTTCATTAAAATTTAAAACTTCTGTTCAACAAAGACTCTAATAATAGAGTAGAAAGACAAACCATGGGTTGGGAGAGGATATTTGCAACACATGTTTGAAAACAAATTCCTAAAAATGAGTAAGAAAAAGGCAGTCAACGCACCTGAAAATGGCAAAAGTTAACTCAAAATGAATCAAAGACCTAAACTCAGAGATAAAACTATAGAACTCTTAGAAAACATAAGGAAGAAGCTTCATCACATTGGATTTGGCAGTAACTTCTTAGATGTGGCACCAAAAGCATACACAACAAAAGTACAAATAGATAAATTGCCTACATCAAAATTTAAAATCTTCTATGCGTGAAAGGACAACATCAACAGAGTAAAAAGACAAGAATGAGAGAAAACGCTTGCAAATCATATATCTGATAAGGGATTAACATGCAGAACTCCAAAACTCAACAACAAAAAGCCAAGCAAAACGATTTTTAAAAAAATGAGCAAAGGACTTGAAGAGACGTTTCTCCAAAGAAGATCTACAAATGGCCAAGAAGCACGTGAAAAGATGCTCACCATTACCAATTACTAGGGAAATGAAAAATCAAAACCACGAAGATACCACCTCACACACATTAAAATGGCTACAACAAAAAAAAGAAAAAGAAGTATTTGCAAGGATGTAGAGAAAGTGAGTGGAACTGTTGCACTCTGCTGGTAGGAATGTAAAACGGTGCAGCCTCTATGGAAAACACTGTGGTAGTTCCTCAAAAAATAAAAAATAGAATTACCATCTAATCCAGCAATTCCCCTTCTGGGTATATACTCAAAAGAATTGAAATCAGAGTCTCAAAGAGATATGTGTACATCTATGTTCATAGCGGCATGATTTACAACAGCCAAAGGTGGAAGCAATCCAAATGTCCATTGATGAATGAATGGATAAAAAATTCATTCATGTTGTAGCATGTGTCAGAATTTCCTTCTTTAAGACGGAATAATATTCCATTGTGTGTATGAAACTTGATGACATTATGCTAAGTAAGATAAGCCAGCCACAAATGAACAAATACTGCATAATTTCACTTATATGAAGTACTTAGAGTAATCAAATTCATAGAGACAGAAAGTCAACTGGTGGTTGCCAGAGGCTGTGGGAATGGGGGGCTGTTGTTTTATGGGTATACAGTTTCAGCTTTTCAGAATGAAAAGTAATCTAGAGATTGGTTGCGCAGCAATGTGACTGCTTAACACTACTGAATTTAAAATAGTAAAGTTGGTCAATGTTATGTCTATTTTACCACAATTTTTAAAATAGCAAAAGATTTTAACAGGCACTACAAGCAAGAGGTTATCTAAATGGTCAATAAGAATATGTCATGAAGTTTTCCCCTATGTTTTCTTCTAGAAGTTTTATGTCATAAAGTTTTCTCCTATGTTTTCTTCTAGGAGTTTTACAGTCTTAGGTTTTACATCCAAGTCTTTAATCCATTTTGAGTTGATCTTTATGTACGGTGATTTTTATGTATGGTTAATTTTTATGTAAGATAAGAATCCAATTTCATTCTTTTGCATATGAATATCCAGTTTTCCCAGCACCATTTATTGAAGAGACTACCCTTCCTCCATTGTGTTTTCTTGGCACCCGTGTTGAAGATCAGTCAGCATATATACTGGATTTATTTCGGGTTCTCTGTTCTGTTTCATTGGTCTACATGTCTGTCTTTATGTCAGTACCATACTGTTTTGATTAGTGTAATTTTTTATGCTTTGAAATTAGGAAATGTGAGGCTTCCAGCTTTGTTCTTGTGTCAGAGGATTGATTTGGCTATTTGTGTTTTTTGTGGTTCCATATAAATCACAGAATTGTTTTTTCTATTTAGGCAAAGTAATGTAATTGAGATTTTTATGGGGGTTTCATTGACTCTGTAGATTGTTTTGGGTAGTATGGACATGTTAACAATATTAATTCTTCCAATCCATGAACACAGGATGTCTTTCTCTTTGTTTGTGTCTTCTTTAATTTCTTTATTAAATGTTTTGTAGTTTCCAGTACACAAGTCTTTCATTTCCTTAGCTAAGTTCATTCCTAAGTATTGTTTTAGGTGTTATTATAAGTGACATTATTTTTCTAATTTTCTTTTCAGCTAGTTTGTTGTTAGTGTATAGAAATGCCACTGATTTTTGTAAATGATTTTGTATCCTGCAACTTTACTAAATTTGTTAATTAGTTCTAATACTTTTTAATGGCATCTTTAGGATTTTATATTATTTTGTCTGCAAACAGGAACAATTTTACTTCTTCCTTTCTGATTTAAATGTCTTTAATTTTTTTTCTTGCCTAATTGCTCTGGCTAGGACTTCCAGTACTGTCTTGAATAGAAATGGCAAGCAAGGGCATTCTTGCCCTTAGCTTCTTCCTGATTTTAGAGAAAAAACTTTTCCGTTTTTCACCACTGAGTATAGTATTAGCTGTAAGCTTGTTATATATGGCTTTTATTATGTTGAAGTACTTTCCCTCTAGTCTTAGTTTTTTGAGAACTTTGATCAAAAAGGGTGTGTTGAATTTTGTCAAATGCCTTTTCTGCATCTGTTGAGATGCTCATGTGATTTTAAGTCTTTATTCTGATAATGTGATGTATAACATTAATTAACTTTTGTATATTGAACCATCTTTGTATCCCAGGGATAAATCCCACTTGGTCATGGTGTATGATCCCTTTAATGCACTATTTGGTTTGATGTGCTAGTATTTTGTTGAGGATTTTTGCATCTATATTCATTAAGAATATTAGCCTGTAGTTTTCTTTTCTTGTGGTGTCTTTGTTTAGCTTTTGTATCAGAGTAATGCTAGCCTCATAAAATGAGTTTGGAGGTGTTCCCTCCTCTTCAATTTTTTTTGGAAGATTTTCAGAAGGATCAATGTTAAATCTTTAAAAAATATTTTGGTAGAATTCACCAGTGAAGCTATCTGGTCCTGGGCTTTTCCTTGTTGGGAGTTTTTTGATTACTGACTCAATCTTCATATTAGTTATAGGTCTGTTTAGACTTTATATTTCTTCATAATTTAGTCTTGTATTTTTCTGGGAACATATCCATTTCTTTTAAGTTATCCAGCTTGTTGGCATAGAATTGTTCATAGTAGTCTCTTATCCTTTTTATTTCTGTGGCATCAGTTGTGATGTCTCTTCTTTAATTTATAATTTTATTTATTTGAGTCTCCTCTCTTTTTTTCTAGCATAGCTAATGATTTGTCAATTTAAAAAATCTTTTCAAAAAACCAACTCTTAGTTTCATTGATTTTTTTCCTATTGTTTTTGTATTGTTTATTTCTTCTGTAATCCTTATATCTTTCCTTCTGTTAACCTTGGCCTTAATTTCTTTTTCTAGGTCTTTGAGGTATAAAGTTAGGTTGCTTATTTGAGATCCTTCTTCTATTTTAATGTAGGCATTTATCACAACGAACTCTCTGAGTACAGGTTTTGCTGAATCCTATAAGTTTTGGTATGTTGTGTTTTTGTTTTCATTTCTCTTGAGGTATTTTCTAATTTCTTTTTTGATTTCTTCTTTGACCCAATGGTTGTTTACAGTGTGTCATTTAATTTCCACATATTTTTGAATTTTCAATTTCCTTCTGCTGTTGATTTCCATTTCTATTTATTTATTTATTTTTATTTTTTATTTTTTGAGACTGAGTCTCGCCCTGTCACCCAGGCTGCAGTGTAGCGGCGCGATCTCTGCTCACTGCAACCTCCACCTCCCGGGTTCAAGCAATTCTCCTGCCCCAGCCTCCTGAATAGCTGGGATTACAGGCACGCACTGTCATGCTCAGCTACTTTTTTGTATCTTTAGTAGCGATGTGGTTTCACCATGTTGGCCAGGCTGGTCTCGAACTGCTGACCTCAGGTGATCCACCCACCTCGGCCTCCCAAAGCGCTGGGATTACAGTCGTGAGCCACCGTGCCTGGCCTATTTATTTTTTTAGATGGAGTCTCACTGTCACCCAGGCTGGAGAGCAGTGGTGTGATCTCAGCTCACTGCAACCTCTGCCTACCAGGTTCAAGCGATTCTCCTGCCTCAGCCTCCTCAGCAGCTGGGATTACAGGCACCTGCCACCATGCCCATCTAATTTTTGTATTTTTAGTGGAAACGGGGTTTCACCATGTTGGCCAAGCTGGTCTTGAACTCCTGACCTCAAGTGATCCATCCACCTTGGCCTCCCAAAGTGCTGGGATTACAGGTGTGAGCCACTGTGCCTGGCCTGCTATTGATTTCTAGTTTCATCCCATTGTGATCAGAATATATATTTGGTATGCTTTCAATCTTAAATTTGTTAAGACTTGTGTTGTAACTTAACATGGAGAAAAATCCATGTGTGCTTGAAAAGAATGTGTATTCTGCTGCTATTTGGTGGAATTTTTTGGCATTTATTTGTTAGGTCCATTTGGTCTATAGTGTTGTTCGAGTCATTTGCTTCTCTGTTGATCTTCTGTGTTGATATTCTATCCGTTATTAAAAGTGAGGTATTGAAGCATATAAAACAATGCTCAATACAATTTTGTCATTAGGGAAATGTTAATTAAATCTACAACACATTCACCATAACAGCTAACATGAAGCAAACAAAATGACGCCAAGTGTTGGCAAGGATGTGGTACAACTGGAACTCTTCTTGTGCATTGTTAGTGGGAAGGTAAATAGACACATTTGGACAATTGATTGGCAAAGACTAATGCCACACACCTACCCTCAGACCCAGAAATTCCACTCCTAAGACTATATCCTATAGAAATGCCTATGTATGTCCTCCAAAAAACACAAAGAAGAATTTTCATAGCAGATCTATTCATGATAGCCAAAAAAACTGGAAACAGCTCAAATGCCAGCAACAAATAGAATGGATAAATAAATTGTGGTATATTCATATAACAATTATACATAGTAATAAAAAAGAACAAAGTACTGCTACAGACAAAAATATATATCTTACAGATATAATAATAAGTAAAGGAATTCAGACACAATAGACTATATGCCGTGTGATGATGTGAATGTGGAAACTCCACAATTCAGGTATTGTCAACGTGATAGTATTAAGAGGTGATTAGGCTGTGAAGATTCCTCCCTAGTGAATGGGATTAGGTGTCTCATAAAAGTGCTTGCTGAGGAGACTTCATCTCACTTGCCCTGGTACCTCTCACCATGTAAGAATGCAGCAAGAAGGCCCTCACCAGACACCATATGTCAGCACCCTGATCTTAGACTTCCCAGGCTCCAGAACTGTGAGAAATAAATTTCTTTACTTTATAGATTACCCAGCTTTAGTATTCTGTACTAGCAGCCTAAGACATACTATATGATTCCACTTAATTAAAGTTAAAGGATAGGCGAAAAACCAATCTTATGGTATTAGAAAATAGGATAGCCCAGGCACAGTGGCTCATGCCTATAATCTCAGCATTTTGGGAGGCCGAGGTGAGTGAACTGCTTGAGCCCAGGAATTCGAGACCAGCTTGGGCAATGTAGGGAGACCTCATCTCTACAAAAAATAAATAAAATTAGCTGAGTGTGGTGGTGCACACCTGTGGTCCTAGCTACTTGGGAGGTGGAGGTGGGAGGATCGCTTGATCCCAGGAGGTAGAGGCTGTAGTGAGCTGAGATCACGCCACAGCACTCCAGTCTGGGTGACAGAATGAGACTCTGTCTCCAATAAAAAAAAAAAAAAAGAGAAAGGGAAGGGAAGGGAAGGGAAGCGGAGGGGTGGAGAGGGGAGGGGAGGGGAGGGGAGGGAAGGGAAGGGAAGGGAGGAAAGGAAGGAAAGGAAGGAAGAAAGAAAAGAAATCAGGATAGTGGTTTCTGATTTCTAATGGGGCAGGTGGGTATTTACTCCGAAGGGGCATGAAGCAGTTTTCTGGGTGTACAATTGTTCCACATCTTGATGTGGTTACATAGATATTACATACACACACGCACACGCGCACACACACACACACACACACACACACACACATACATATGTTAAAAAGAAAACTATTCCAGTACAGCGGTACACTTCTGGTTTGTGTACATAACTGTATGTATGTTATACCTCAATTTTTGAAAAGACATGGGCTTTACACCTGAAAAATACAAAGCTTATAGGGAAAGAGAAAAAAGAACCAAAAAGATAATAAGGGGTGGTAGATGCCATGATAGAAACAGGTTCCCAGTACAGGTTGGGAGAGGCTGACTCCTGGGGGTGGGGAGGGACGGCTCACCAGCGTAGGCTTTAGAGATACACACACTGGGCTCTGAAGGATGAACAGGATCTCACCGAGCAGAAAAGGGGATGAGTGGGAGAAAGACAGAAAGATGCTGGGGAAACCCTAATTGTGTGAGAAGGTCCAGTGTGGTTAGAGTGTTGGGTGTGCAGAGCATAGTAGTGGGGGGTGGGGCTGAGGGCATGAATCAAATCAGCTTTCAGATTTGTTTATTTAAATAAATTCCCCATAAACATTTTTTGAGTGAACAAATGAACCTTCTCACGGTCATGATACATCTGATGTCTGGAATGGTAGGACAGATGTGTTAGGATGGCAGCAAGTACTGAATGAAGAGATGTAGTACTGGTGTGGTTACAAAGTCCATTTCTTCTCAAATTATTAATCTCTCTAAAATCTGATGTCTTCTAGGCCCCAGAATGCCAAACCGTCCTCACTTGGTTATGGTACTGACTCTCTGCTGTGAAACTGCAGAGTTTTTCGCATTCAACCTCTCTCTCCCAATTTCCTTCCACCCCATCTCACAATTTTTGGTGGTTACCAATTTTTGGTGGTTCTGGCAGTTGCTTTTAGCATCTTCAAGTAATATACTTAAATTGCGATTTTCTGATCTATCAACTTTAGACAGTGTCTATTCACTTCCTACTATGAGCAATAAAATTTGTCCACATTCTCTACTTTCCACTTCCTTCCCTCCTGCCCACCTTCAGATTTTTGTTATATGTTATTGCTTTTGCATAACAATTACATTCTCATCGACAGTATAATTAAGTCTACTCTATAGGATAATTCTAAAAAGTGAAGCTAGTTAACAACATCATTATGAAGATATCATTGCCTGCGAAGCCACTCAGTATGAATGGACCCATGAGAAAGGCAAGTGGTTCCACGTTACTGAAACTTGGTCACAAGAAGAAAAATGGATAGCTTCCTTCACTTCTTCTTGAACCTCATTTAATAATTATTTTGGGTTCCTTTTTTGATTGATGAAATAACTCCAGGAGGTTTTATTTTCTTCCAGAAAATATAGGTGACTGAGTGACAAACTTTCTGAATCTTACACATTTAAAAAACTATTTTTTTCAAAGTTTGACAGGATGACTCTTAGTTTATCCTCCAGAATTGTGAAAGTACTCCACTGTACTGGAGCATCTTGCATGACTGGTGAGAAATTCTGAGGTAATTTTTGAGTCTCTCTGGAAGTTTTTTGTTTTTTATCCTTGATGTTCTGAAATTTCACCAAGATGGGTCTGCATGCTCATTTTACTAATTCCTGCCCTAAAGTCAGTATGATCTTTCTAGTTTAAAATCTGTGTGTGTTTCTTTTTTTTTTATTTTTATTTTTAAATTGAAATGGGGTCTCACCATATTGCTCAGTGTGGTCTTGAACTCCTGGGCTTAGGCAATCCTCCCACCTCAGCCTCTCAAAGTGCTGGATTATAGGTGTGAGCCACCAAGCCTGGCCGTGTGTATTTCTCAACTGAGAGGAAATTTCTTTGGCTATATCTTTCACTATTTCTACCCACCCCCTGACTGTCTGTGGCTTCTAGTTCTAGATCTCCTAGTTGATGGATACTGAACCTCTGGATCTATCCTCCATGGGTCTTAATGTTTTCTTCTTGAGACTTTGCTCTGCTTTCTGGGAGGTTTTCTTGGTTTTAACATTGAAATGACCAATCTGGTCTTCATGCATATCCATTGTGTTATTCAGTTTTTCCACTGAAGTTTTTTCCATAATGATATTTTACAATTTCAGCAAGTATTTCCTTTCCTCCAATTGTGCTATCTTCATAGCAACCTGCTCCTCTGATATTATAGGTTATTTCACTTACAGAGGTGAATGAAAGAACCTCTTACTTACTGTTAAGGATACTACTGATAATTTAGTTTTGGGCTTTCTTATATTCAAACTGTTTCCTTTGAAATAAGCTCTTCCTTTTTTTTTTCTTTTTTCCATTTTAGGCCTTCTCTTTCATTCTATTGGTTTGCTTCCAATGTTTGGTGATTTTGGTTATCCAATATATTTATGAATGAGGGATTATGTTGTAAAGTTAGGATATGTATTAGGATACAGGTTCTAGCTCCTATAACAAGGACCTAACTGCAGGAGTGGCTTAGACGAGACAGTTTATTTCTGTCTTATGTGCAATCTGAGTTTAAGTGGCCATGGCTGATATGGTGGCTTCACCGTGTGGACATCTTTGATCTTGGTCTTCTGATATCCACAGCACATGACTTCCATCTCCCACCATCACATCCACACCCTACTCAGTGGGAACGATAAAGGGGAGGGCAGAGCTGGGAGTTGCACTTGTCATTTCAGCTCACACGAGCCCATGGCCACTCCTAGCTGCTAGGAGGGTGAGGCAGTGTAGTGTTTAGCTGAGTGGCTGTGTGCCCTGCTAAAATTTCCATCACTACAGAAGAAGAGAAAAAAGATATAAGTGGAATACTAACTACATAGGGCTTCCCGTGAGGTGTCTCGTCTATTTCTCTGACCAGTTCAGTCTTGAATGTGAGGGTGGCAGTCATGGAAAGGTTCCCTGCAGGAGGGTGAAGCAGTGTGGCAAGTCTCCTAGTAATAACCGTGGACAGGAAGTGGCCAGGGAACTCCCACAATTGCCAAAAGAAGGACTTTTCTCCATGGTGGGCATAATGCTATACTTCACCCTGAGACGGAGCTGCCAATCCTTCTTCTGGCTCCCTGCCCCACATCCAGTCTGCTAGAGAGGTCTGGAATGCCCTTGCTCAGCTGCTGTCTCAGACTTTCCTTAGAGAGCATTTGTTGGGGAATTTGGCGGCCACTGGCTGCCTGCCTCTTTGTGAAGAAGGCGGGGAGGGGTCCAACTGTACTTGCTCTTCTGAAGGGCTCTCAGGGGAGAACACTGCTAACCCATTCCTTTTCTGTGCTTTGTTGGCTCTCAGCTTGAACTATGCTTGGCTCTTCTGAGACAAAAATCACTGAGACTTCTGGAATCCTGGGCTGCAATGTTTTCTGCTCTGATTGCTCTGTCTGTGCAATCTCATGGGCTTTCTATCTTCCTAAGATTTAGGAATGTTTCCGTCCCACGGATGACTTCCTATCTTGTTTTCTAATGCTGTTATGATGTCATCCTTTCAAAAATGGCTTTCAGCTGGGCACGGTGGCTCACACCTGTAATCCCAGCACTTTGGGAGGCCAAGGCGGGTGGATCACTTGAGGTCAGGAGTTTGGGACCAGCCTGACCACATGGTGAAACCCTGTCTCTACTAAAAATACCAAAAAAAAAAAAAAAAAATAGCCAGGTGTGGTGGTGCATGCCTGTAATCCCAGTTACTTGGAAGGTTGAGGCAGGAGAATCCCTTGAACCTAGGAGGTGGAGGTTGCAGTGAGCCTGGGCAACAAGAGTGAAACTCCGTCTCAATAAAAAAAAAAAACGGTTTTCACTGTCATCATACCAATTCCTAGGGAAGAGGTGGAGGTGGGCACTTGTGCTCCAGGACTTAGGAAATCAATGCATTCATGACTCATTGGCTGAGGCCAATGTCCCTTCCAGGATGTGGACACCGGAAAGGAAGATGAACCCTTCCCATGCAGGGCATCATCTCAGAACTCCATGGTGTCTGCCCTTAGGGGGAACACTTCTGATGTTCCTGAACCTGGGCCCCCACCGATGCACAATGCCCACCTAGTTCCACTGAGGGTAGGAACAGCCAGCCCTGTTTGCCTGGGCAGCCTAGTAGTTCATGGACACCAGTCAATGACCCGACTGCCTAAGGGCGTGCAAGCCTCCGTGTAGGCACCTGGCAGGCTGTGTTTGCCTTTGGAGGTGGATAATCAGCAAAGTCCCTGTACACTGTCAGCTACCACAGCTGAGATTCAGCGAGCTATCTACACTAAGTGTACCAGGAGAAAGGGTTCCACCCCATCCTCTAAGGTTGCTCAAAGGCTGTCTCCAATCCATAATGACACCCCTTTTTAAGACCCTTCAGCCTCCCCACTAGTTTAGGCCCCACGGCATGGCTCTGGAGGCCTCACCTCTCTCATTCCCTCCATCTGTGTGTTCCAGCCACATGGAGCTGGAGAATTCTCAGAACACACGCCGTTCCCAATGGCTGAAATGCCCTTTCCCTCCTAGACATGTGGCAAACTCCTCAATGTCCTTTAAACCCACCAGTGATGGTTAATTTTGTGTCAAGTTGGCTATGCCATAGGCCAAGACGCTTGGTCAAACATTATTCTAGATGTTTCTGTGAAGGCATTTTTTAGACAAGATTAACATTTGAATTGGTAAACTCTGAGTAAAGCAGACCGCTTTCCACAATATGAGTGAGCCTCATCCACTCGGTTGAACGCCTTAACAGAAAAAGAGTGCCCTCCCCAGAGGACAGGGGAATGATGTCTGCAGACTACCTTTAGCCTTGGCTCCTCCTTCCTGGATCTCCAGCCTGCTGGCCCATCCTGCAGATTTTGGACTTGAAAAGCCTCCACAACTGCATGAGCCAATTCCTTAAAATCTCTCTCTCTGTATACACACACACACCACACACATACACAATTGGTTCTGTTTCTCTGGAGAACCCTAATACACAACTTCAGACATCAAATCCTTCAGCGAGCTTTCTATGGCCCCCTTACACTCAGCCAGTCACCTCTGTACCTTAGACACTTTGCTGCTATCACATGTCTTACACCTTGTGGTAATGTATTTGTTTACAAGCTTTTCTCCTCCTACAGGACAGGGTTCTTTTAGGCCAAGGAGCCAGTCTCATTCACCATTACATCCCTAGGTGGGTGAATTTGTGAGAACAAGAGAGTACTGAGGCTGATGGCCTAGGGGAATCCTACTGGATGGTGGGAGGGGCATTCCCATTGAGCCTCTTGAAAGGCATCTGGTAAGACAGGCCAGAGAGGGACGGTTCCTGCAAAGCAGGCTAACAGCACTGCTCCTGAATATCAGTCACTGGTGGGGCAGTGGCCCACAGCCTTCTTCAGCTCTGGTGAGGAGAGGACCCCACAGGCCATGGTACCACCTGTCCAGCTTCTCCAGCTCCACCCAGGGAGCCCGGTTTAATTCAATAAATACTTACTGAATTCCGAGCGCAATTTCTTGTGAGGCATTCGCACTCTAGGTCCTGATCTGACCTCCAGATCTTCCTTTTTTGACAACATCTGAGCTCTCAAAAGCACTCAGGGAATGTACTGTTTGTGTGCCTGAGGGGAGCAGTCATCATCCTCAGCCTTCTTAAACTTGCCCTGAGACCCCCCAAGCTCCCACTCTGTGCTCCCTGAACAAGACGATGTTGTCAAGTATGATTTCGTGGGGCTGCATTTCCAAAAAATAAGCTCTTGCAGTTCATACAGGCTTTCTTCCATTCAACCAGGTGAACTCTGAAAATCCCACACTGTGAGAAAGAAGGCCGTAGGCTCAGGGTGTGGGGGCAGAAGGGTGACCCTTTGAGAAAATTACTAGTGTATGTTACACTCCTGTTCTAAACAAAGGTCACGGGTTGTCCAGGGAATTATGAGCAAATGAATGAGTGAATGGATGAATAAACAAACGCTAAGTTGAATGGATGATAACGTAACCCAGGCTCAAGTCAAGAGCATTTAATTGAGGAAACAGGAGAAGAGCCAGAAGATAAGCTATACACGGGCAAAGGGACTTCCTTAAACCAAAGGTGGTTTAAGGAAGGCAAATTCCATCTCGTAACAAAGACACAAACTGTGGAGCAACTGGGATAATCAATCATAAGAAATGCTGATGGGGACAGAGCGCCATGTGCCAGGCTCTCTGCCGAGAACCTGACATGTCCTCAGTCCTCAGAACGAGCCTATCAGGCCGGCAATGTTTTTACATCCATCTCACAGATGAGGACACAAAGGCACCGAAGGTTCCATCATGCGCCCAGGGGCACACATTCAACAAAGAGTGAGACTGCAAGCCAAGGCAGGCAGGGGGTCTGCAGTGTGTGTCTCAACCACTTCCCCATTTCACCTCCACATGTGGCTCTAGCAGCCTTTAATCAAGGAAGCAAGGGAAAACTCGAATGTTGTTCAGGCCTGGGGATCTAGAGACCCACCTGGCTTTCTCCCACTGTCCTGGGCAACCAGGCAAGTCCTCTGTGAGATTGTGCTGCCTGATTCCATATCGGAAAAATATGGTATTCACTAGAGTTGGGTTTCGGGGACCTTTCCCGCCCTGACATTCTGGATGCTTCTCCCTAGCCTGGGAACTCCGGTTGCCTGAGGTCGGCTCACCCCAGAGCACCTGATTCTGGCCCCAGATGAACCTCCTGACTAGGTCTGTGAAGATATAAACTCGCCCTTCTTGATGGCCCAGGCTTTTTCTACAGGACCCAACCTCACCTCACCTTCCTGCCTGGCAGTCTGGCTATTCCACCCTGTGATCCCACCTCCACTCCTCCCGCCTCCCCACCTTCCTCCTCCCACTCCCACCCACCTGTGCCCCAGCTCCTCTCACCCTTTCTGCCTCCTGCCAGGGTTCAAGCCCCTCCCTTGGCCTGCTGCCCGGTCCCCCATCTTCCCTTCTTTGTTCAGCCAAATCCTTCTTGTCACCACTGCCAGTTTCTCCCTGGGACCTCTTTCCATCTCAGACAGAACCCATTCTGCCTTCCCCTGGCCGGTGTTTACACCCCTGTTTCAGATGGATCATAATCCCAACAATGCCGCCTTACGTTAGTGCAGTGACTACAGCTCACCAAAGGCCCCTGTAGCCACTGTCTCATTTAATTTCACCCAAGTTCCTCCTTGCAGACCTCCTGTTCATGGCTCCAACTGCCCCCTAAGACTGCAAACACAATGTCTAACATACTTCATAACTAAGAATTTCCTCAAAACAGCCCTCTGGGAAGGGGCTTATCACTTCGTTTTGCAGATGAGGAAACAGAGGTTCAGAGAGGTGGAAAGTGGCTGGGCTGGATCCACAGCTCAGGACTCTGATTCTCCGTCCCATGGTTCTCAAGGATTCATGGTGTTCCCTGAGTCCTGCCTAGGATCAGACTCATTTCTGTATTCCTGAGCTATCCTTTGCTTGGACAAATACGGTATCCTGAACTCAGGGGACCAGGAGGGTTTGCTGGCTTAAAAAATGAATTCATCAGGGCCTAGAATCATCACCGTCCTAAGTGCCTCCTTCAGGGTACCACAGTGCCAGCCCCTGTCCCCTCCCTTCATCTTTGCATGGAAGAGATGGGCAGAGCTGGGCCCTTTAGGGTCTGAGGTACAACTGAAGCCTCAGAAGAACCGATAAACCATGTTTCTTGTTTGCCACACAGAAATGGGGCAGTCTCTGCCTCTCATTGTCCCAACCTGGCCCTGGCAGGGTGAATGCAGCACCTCCTTCCAGGAAGCGCCCAAGGAAGCTCCAAGGGACCTGGACAGGGCAGAGGATTCCCTGGGCAGGGAGCAGTGGAGGACAGCCAGGAGCACTGGGCGCGGAGTCAGCCGCTAGGGGCTCACTGCCTGCAGGGACACTCCCTCCATTCCCAAGAGCTCCAAACCCTTCTGACAAGCTGCGTCCTCTCCAAATGGGTTTCCCAATAGGCTTTGGCCTGAGTGAATGATTTCTTTCCAGAACAGGAACACACCCCTGCCTTCCAGCCCAGGCCACTCACAGCTCCCCTCTCCAGAGGCAATGACAGTTGTCAATTCTTGACTGCTTACTTTGGAACGCGTGGGGCGGGTCTCGTGACATTTTATATTGTATTCCCTCACTGTACTAATCTTTTCACATGCCCATCTCCCCAGCTACACATTTTGGAGAGCAGGGGCTGTATTTTAAACACCTTCATGTTCTCTGTGCCTGCCACATAGTAGGCACTCATGGGTATTTGTGAGTGAATAAATAAATAAATGAATGAACAAAGTTAAAATTGTGGAAAGCTTCAGTTAATAGTTTGCAGAAGTCACTTTAATTCCTTCTGAAAAAAGGGGTGTATTAATTTGCTAATGAGTAGAATTGTGTAAACTTTGAGTATCTTTCTCATAAACATAACTCTTTAAATGCTGTCTAGTCATTTGATTATTCAAATATTGAGATACAATTCACATACCATAAAATTCACAGGGTTGTGCAACCATCCCAATGATGTAATTCCAGAACACATGTATCACTCTGAAAAGAAATCCTGTACCCATTAGCAATCACTCCACATTCCCTTCCCTCCAGCCCCTGGCAGCCACTAATTCATCTAGTTTCCATCTCTATAAATTTGCCTTATCTGGACATTTCATAAAAATGGAATCACCCGCCATATGTCCTTTTGTGTCTGGCTTCTTTCACTTAGCATAACGTTTTTCATCATTTGCACTAAAAATATCAGTGTTTCCTGGTGTTTCTCACAGCACCCTGACGCCCAGGCCACAATGCCTGTGAGATCACGCAGGTTGGAGCTGGCCGCTCTGAGCCATCAGGGCAGTGTGGCGTCCGGCAGCAGATGTCTGTGACTGGGCAGTGCAGGGACTCAGATGGGAGAGGTAGCCACAACATGGGCAGTCTGAGGTCAGCAGCAGAATCAGAATGGTCAGAAACAGATAGCACATGGGACGGCACTCAATATTCCTCCCCAAGGAACAGCTGCCTGAAAATATAATTATCTGGTGGTGAGAGAGGCGTGTCAAGGGCCACCAGCCCTGAGTCTAAAGGCTCTGAGTCTGCAGGGAGAGTACCATTTCTGAGATGATCTCAAAGCTCAACAGAGGGTGCAAGTCCCAAGGGCTTAGATGGTTCCATTCTAGGGGTGGAAAACAGGCAGTGGCCATCCCAACTGCTTTGCCACCCTTTCTGCCTAAGGCAAGCCTCCTTTCTGCAGGGCTTCAGTTCCTCGTAGGAAGTCCCAACAGGCTGAGCAGAGCCAAGCATGCTTTGGTCATGTACAGTTTGTGCACAGATAGATTAACTCATTAGTTAATCCCCTTTTTGTCTTTTTGCAATTTTAACTTGATTTATTCCACAGTAGATTTGAGGTAATTTACAAAAACAAAATAGGAACACAAATTTAAAATGAAAAATCAACCCAGGGGAAATGAAAGACCAGAAGGGATGGAAGAAGATGGGTAAGTCACTTAGAAGGCCCCACATGGTAGCTCTCTTGGGGCCATGGATTTAGTATACAGCAGTCAGAGGAAGAAGGGCAACACAGTTAGCTGCACAGTCTCCGTGTTCTGATGATACGCTGGCCAGTTCCTCAGAAAAAACAAAGCTCTTCTTGGCACTAAGATCTGAAGGAAATTTCTTCCATGCTGTTTTAAGTAGGGAGCCCTCCATGAAGTCATCCTCCCAATACTTCCGGGGCTCTGACATCCAGCTCTGAGCTAGGCAATTGGCTCTCCCAGCATCTCAGAAGGCCAGGTGGGCCCCACCCTTTAAGTCATTAGCTCCTGTTTGGGAAACGTTGTGCCATTTGGTGACCACCGTTACAAGTTTTCTCAGAAATAATGCCATCGTATTGTATTGCTATTTATGTAATAGTTTAATTTACTTTGACTTGAATTGGACTTGTTTAAAGGTTACTTCTTCCTAAGCAATAGGGACCACAGGAGAAACTGCCAACTAGTATTTTTTACTGAATTAAATAAATAATTTTACCAGTCAATTAAAGAACTTCCAGCATGTTCTCCCAAAATCAGCTCATCTTCTACTCATGGTTTATGTCCTGAACTTGGGAAATCGGCCCGTCCCTCACCTTGGGATGCACTGGGGCTGCCCCCCATCTCCTCCACCTGGAGAACCCTCAGCCTGGCTTCCCCATCACACCACGCAAGCTTAGAGCTAGAGGGCACTTAAGTGGGGTCTAAAGTCCACGTTTGACAGGTGAAGATGCTGGGCCCAAGGAAGAGAAGGGATTCGCGCAAGACCACAAGGCCAGTGACAGGACAGGCACCAAGACTGCCCAGAAACAGTGGCAGGGCCGGTGGACATTTAGATGTAACCAAAGGCTGAAACTCACCAAAAGAGTCTAACAGGAAAAGACTGTGGGCAGAGAGGCACAGGGCCTCACCCAACTCAGGGCAAGCCCGGTGGGGGCAGGGTAAACCCAGAAAACAATCATGGGATGGTAATCCCGAGTTCAGGATGACGGTCACTCCTGGGAGCACAGGAGAAAGGGACCCACATTGTGGAAGCGATGCAGGGCTTCCACTGTATTTGACAAGTCTTTTTTTTTTTTTTTTTTTTTTTTTTTTTTAGCAGGGTGGTGAGTTCACTAGTGTTATATTATCATGCATAATATTGCTGCTTGGATGAAATATTTTGAAAATATTTTATATTTGTTAAATATATTAATAACTCCAAGACTCCTTTAACAAGTGTGTTTTCTCTCTGCTAAGATGACACTCTCTACCGCATCTCAAGTGGTTTAACCAAAGGGGAGAAGAAATGACTGATTTCCACAAGAGACATGCCCCAGGTGGGGAGCTTCTGTCACCTCTCCCTCCACTCCCAAAGCCTGTGACATGTGGTGGGTGGATCTGAGCATCATTGTACCTGACCAAGGTGGAGTCCATTTCAGACAGGTCATGGTGTCATGGTTGGCATGGCTCATACAAACCCATGGGTCTAGGAGGAAACTTAGAGCACCCCAAGTGGAACCATGTGGGCTCCACTGATGAATGCCACAGCAGGGCAATGGGCAGTGCTGTAGAATTAAGCCCCCAGCCAACATCTTTGTTCCCCACCTGCACAAAGGACGTGTCTTGGCATGTATATTTTTGCAAACAGCAGACTATCCCGTTCAGTTAAAGGCAGGGTAGGATGTACTTTGAGATTTCTAAGAGGGACGCACAGAGTCTCAGAGTCTCCGGGTTGAAGGGACTGCCAAGGACACTGACCCAAGCTCCCATTTGAGACTCCAGCCTTCCTTAGAGGCTGCTCTCAGGAGGCCACTCACTGCCTGAGGCAATAGCAATTACTTTTTTTTTTTTTTTCAAACAGGGTATAGGAAGTGGGGAAGATGGGGAGCCTTTTTTTTTTTTTTTTGAGATGGAGTCTCACTATGTTGCCCAGGCTGGTCTCAAATTCCTGGCCTCAAATGATCCTCCCGCCTTAGCATCTTGAGTATCTCAGATTACAGGCTTGTGCTACTGCACCTGCTCAATTTTTGTTTTTCTAAAAATGGTATCATCCTATGTACATTCCTCAGCACTCGGCCTTCCTCATGGACAGTCTTTCTAGGCTACAGGCCAATAGGTTGTGAGCAGTTATCCTGTACCAGGCACAGTTATAAGCACCTCACATAATTAACTCAGTTACTGCTCCTAACAAGCTTAAAGGACAGGCACTATTGCAATCCCTACTTTACCAAAGAGGAGTGTGAATGGCCAGAGGGTCAAGCAACACAGTTTGTAAGTGGTGGGATCCGGATTTGAACCCTGGCTGTCTGTCTTCAGACCCTGTGCTCCTAACCACTCTACCGTACTGCCTTTCCAAACAGAGACAGGATCTGTCTCAATCTTGTTACAGCTGAATGATGGACCATGGTTTGGATGGAATACCTTTAAATTTACTGTTAAGTTTGTATATTTTTTGTAAGTTTTCCTACTAGAATTTTGCCATAAACATCCTTTATACACATATCTTTACAGACTGATGCATTCATTGTTCCATAGGCCGGATTTCCAGAAGTGGAAACATGGATCAATGTGTGTGTTTTTGGTTAAAATACCTATGGGGCCTATTGTTTGGGCCATCGTCCTAATAATGAGCCATGTCATTTTCACTCACTGGTTTTGATTCTGTCCCGAGGACCACACAGAACATCTCTGACCCTTTTTCTCCAGACAACCCCTGGGGTGGTTGAGGACAGCAAGTCTGTCTCTCAAGTATTCTGTTACCCAGTTTCTTCAAAAGTTCCTCTGACAAGGGCTGCATGCTCCTGAGGGCTGGTCCAGATACCTCTTAAAGTGCGGCACCGCCTGGGGTGATCTGGCTTATGCCCCTTGCTCCCCATTCAAAGACACACAGAGAGGGACATTGACAGTGCACAGGAGATATCAACAGTGTTTCCTGACATCCATGATGCACGGGAGAGAACCAAGTAGGTAGGATTCAGACTTCTCATCTTCACCTCTCCCAAATCACACACATGCCTTCCTGAGAAAGAGACCCTTTGTGAGATATTAAAGACCAGCCAAATTCTACTCCCACATCATAAGAAACTGGAGTTCACTCTTTAATTAGAGAAGATGCCAATGGCTTTGGAACTGGACAGGCTTCTAAGCATCTTTTAGTTCAGTGTCTTCTTTTACAAAAGAGCCCTGGAGGGCAATGACCGCACCAGGCTCACATGTCATTGGGTGTGTGGCAGCATTTCCCTAAGCTGAGACCAGGGTCACTGGTGGGTGCATTTCCCCAGCTCTCTCTGCCTGCTGGTTCCTAGGAACCATCTTACTAGAAAGGCGTAGTGTAAATATTTTGCTAAGCAGCCAAGAGAGGAAACTTACCCAGGCTGAGCTGCCCTGTGCTGGGTGCTGGCCATGGACACAATGCTCAATGAGGGCCATTATCTGGGAAGGGAGGGCTGTTTGTTCCGCTGCGGGATGGTGCCAGAGCCCGGAGCCACCAGGCTTGCCACTCTGGCTGCCACACAGAAGAGTCTCCTTGCGCTCAGCAGACTCTGCGGTTATGCAATGCCGGGCCAGGAGGTTAACTCTCCCCAGGCCAGGAGCCAAGCCTTGTTCCTTCCTGCCTAAGCATGTCCATCTGAAAATGCTGAAAATTGAGGGCCTCAGTGTTTGCAAAATGTGCTCGGGCCCTGAACCTGCTGGTTTATTCCAAAGGGCGTAGTGTTGAGGAGCTGGTGTGCCCATCCTTGTGGCTCCTGGCAGCCTCCTACCGAGGCCCAGTGCTCTGACAGCAGCGTCTGCCTGCCATCCTCGGGCACCACTCATAGGCCTTGCAACCCTTTGCCTGGGTGCCCCTGTCCCGTTCTTTCCCTTTCGGTGGTGTCTGGTCTAAGTCCTTTCTTAAGCCCGAGTTCTACTCACTTGTTCAAAGCCTTCCCTGACCACCCCAGGCCCCAGTGACCTGAGCTCAAGGATGAGTTTCCCAAGACAAAAGGGACCTTGGAAGTTATCTATCCACCTGGCCCATTTTCCAGATGAGGAAACTGAGGCTTGAAGAAGTTGACTAGTCTGAGAGAAGACTGAACAGATGTGTCAGCCTGGCTCCCCTCTCAGAACTCTTTCTCTTATACCTCACGTCCCATCTGTCAGCAAATCATGTTGGCTTGACCTCAAAATGGAGCTGGAATCAGACCCCTTCCCATGGCCCCCGCAGTTGCCACCCTGGTGTGTGACTCTATCACCTCCTGATCTGTCACATCACTGCCTCCTAGCTGGCCTCGGGCTGCTGCCCCCGCCCCCTCCAGGGCAGCCTCCACAGCCTCCTTCGGCAGGACAGCCCACTCCTCTGCTCAGGCCTCCCAGGGCTTCTGGATGTTGTGCCTGCCTCTCCCTTCCAGCCTCCTCTGCTCCTGTGCCCCCACCCCCACTCCTCCAGCCACACCAGCTTCCTTGCTGTTCCCAGCAGGCTGATCTTGCCTCCGCCTGGAATACTCTTTTCTGATACCCCCAGCACTTGCTCCTCGCCTCCCTCAGGTCTTTACTCTCCACCCGTCCTGACTGCCTGATTTCAAAACCTTGACAACCTGCCAGCCCCGTGCCCCCTATTCCTTTCCTGACTGCCACCTTGTCACATACTATGTATGTTACTTAAGAAGATAATATATTTACATTTATTTTACATACACTTATGTTTTTAAGATCTCACAAAATATACAGTCTATAGAGAGTGTGCATGTGTGTGTAGTGACGATATGTTTGTCTATTTCCCTACCAGAATGTAACTCCAAGAGGCAGGTGTTTTGTGCTTTGTCACCCAGAATGGTGCTTGGCCCCTTATGTCTAAGTAGGGCCGAAGGTAAGGATGACCTACCTCTTTGAGGATGGATGAGGATGGTGATGGTGGCTGGGGTGTCACCTGACTGGTATGGGTGTTAGGAGTGGGGGAAGGGATGAGTTTGGTGGCATATGTAGGCTCAGCAGAGGGAGAGCCAGGGCTCCAGGGAGGTCAGCTGGGAGGCTGTCCGAATGCTATATTTTTGGAGCCATATGGAATAAACACCCAGACACCTGGGCCTCAGTCCCCCAACCCCAACCAGCCCCGGTAGAGCAGCTCCAAAATAGGAAATTCGCAGAGGTAGCCCCAGAGAGGCTGCTCAGATTAGGCTGCAGTGAGCACCTAGGCATGGCTGGCCACTCCCTGCTTTTAGGCATCCTGAATTTGCACGTCTAGGAATCTCCATCTCCATGTTTCAAGCTCTCTAGTGGGTGACTCACAGGCTCTGCAGGGGTTTGGGGGCTGCAGCTGAGTTCCTTTGAATATCTGTTGAATGAATAAAAGAAATGGAAGGAAAGGGGGAAAGGTGCTAAGGCAGACACAGGAGAAGAGGACAAAGGCTTGGGAGCACTGAAACGACCCCAGGGAGGCATGCCAAACAGAGCCCGAACAGAGGCAAGACAGCAGGGCTTGTCCTGACAGGTGGCACAGGTGGGTCCAGTTTCCACTCGCTTTCCCACACCTGCAGCTACGCTGGCCAGGAGCACAAACCTCAAGCAAACAGAAATTTTTTCTCGTGATTTCAGTTTTAGTTTGATTGACATTTTTATTTACCCATGACATAGTTTCTTTTAGGATAGCTGGCTTTATTCTAAAGAGCAGCCCAAACTAAGTGGCCTAGGTGATTTGGCTGTTCAAATCTCCCTTTTCTGATCCTCCTGTCCTGCCCTACCTCTCCTCTCACCTGTCTGAGCACTTCTCTGACTCTTCCATCCAAGCTTTTTCTTCCTAGATGCCTGTACTCAGTCCTCAAGCTTTGGTCTCTAATCCCCTGCTTTTCTCTCTCTGCACTGCTCACCTTGACTTGGTAGCAGCTTCCACAGCTGCACACATCACCTGCCCCACCCAGCACGCCCCAATCCTGCATTTCCAGCAGCTCTCACATTCAATATGCTTAGTGCCCCACTCATCTTTTCACCCCTCTGTCTCTGGTAAACCTTCAGGCTTGCGACACTAGTGCTACCTCTAAACTCCACTCTCCTTTGTCCTCATAGCACCCATTCACCCAGTCACTCACCCTCCACTCCTACCCTTTCCTTCAAGCAAACAGAAACCCTGATTGGTTCAACAATTACTGATCAACCACTACTGTGCACCAGGCAGTGCTGGGTACCGGAGGCATTTGCCTTGGCCTGTTCTTCTTCCACCTGCGGCACCTCGAGGACCACCCGAGGCCCTGAGATTGGGAGAGGAAGCCTGTTCCATAACTGGTCAGCCCCACACCTGCAAGTAATTGACAGTGTGACCCTGGGCAAGTCACTTGCCACGTTTGAGCTTGGGTGTTCCCAATTGCCCTTTGGGAGGATTATTCATTCCCGCCTCACCTGTCCCCAGTCCAGCTGGGAAAGGCATCACCCGGCTTCCTACAGGTGACACCAGTCTGAATAATACTTGTGGTGCACCCATAGCCATGGTGCAGCCTCTTCCTCCCACAGACCACGGCCTTGACCCCCTTCAGCCTCCTGGCCCCCAGTATGGGACAGAGCCCTGGAATCTGCATTTTAAAGAAACTCAAGGTAATTCTGTTATGGGAGGGTATGTGGACACACATGGAGAAATTCTGGCTCACAGGATAAAGTCTAAGCTTCCTCACCACCCCCAACTCATTGATGAAAACTTCGCCCTGCTTTCCAGCATTGGCCCCCTCTGTCTCCCAAGGGAGGGCCTGCAGCCGTGGCCAGACTGCTCTGTCCACTCCCCACCCTGAGCTCAGCAATGAGCCTGCTCTTCTTCTTCTTTTGTTTTGTTTTGTTTTTCGAGACAGGGTCTTGCTGTGTCCCTCAGGCTGCAGTGCAGTGGTATAATCACAGCTCACTGCAGCCTCCGTCTCCTGGGCTCAAGCCATCCACCCGCTTCAGTCTCAATATTTAGGACTACAGGAGTATGACCACCACATCTGGCTAAATTTTTTATTTTTCTAGTTTTTGAGATGAGGTCTCACTACCTTGCCCATTCTAGTCTCAAACTCTCCGGCTCAGGTGATCCTCCTGCCTCAGCCTCCCAAGTAGCTGGGATTACAGGCCTAAGCCCCCAGGCCTGGTCAGCCCTGCTCTTCTCTTATGACTTCCCCAACTTGGAAAGACTTCCTGACCTCCCTATCTCTGCAAGTCTCTTTCCCACCCTGCAACATCCAACTCAAATGCCTTCACCTTCCTCTATCAAGCTCAGAATCTCCACTTGACATCAGTTAGGGCCAAACACACAGACCATCATCATTTCCTGCCTGGATTGCTGGCTGGCTTTTGACTGGCTCATATCCTAGCTTTCTAAGCTGACTGTGAGCTCCCTGAGGCCAACCATCCATCTTGCAGATCCTTGGGTTCAATAACAAATGCTTACTGAGCACCTGCAGAAACCTATACAGCAGCACCCTGCTGGGTGTACAGAAGAGGAAGGCCGAATCCCTGCCTAGAGGGGAGCCCCTCTCATGGAGAGACAGATGGAACTTGCATATATGACCAGGGTAGAAATAAAGACAGGGTACCACAGAATCCCAGAGTAAAGGTCCTAATGCCATGGGGAAGGGGCACTCAGGGGGCAGGGAAGGAAAACTCAGAAAGAGGGAGCAGCACACGCAAAGGATTAAAGTGTGACATGTTCTGCACAAGAGCAGGGGTGGGGGAGGAAGAAGGATGGAGATAACGGGAACAGGCTGAACTGGGAATGCTGAGCTAAGGGTCTGGATTCATCCTGTAGGTCAAGGGTTGGCAAATCCAGCCGGCTGCCTGTTTTCGTACATAAAATTTTACTGGAACACAACCACGCCCATTTTTTACATATTATCTGTGGTTGCTTCCAGGCTGCAATGACAAAGTCAAGAGAGACTATATGCCCGGCAAAGCTTCAAATACTATCTGGCCATTCAGAGCAAAAGAATGCTCATTCCTGCCATAGACGCTGGAAGCTATGGGTGGATTTTAAGCAGCAGATAGCAGGGTCAGATTTGTGTTTCACGTTTCTATCACTCTCGGATCATGCTGGGATGTGCTGGAGCAGGCAAGCCAGGGGAAAGGGAAGGTGGCTGGGAGGCTGGTACAGTTTTCCAGGTAGGGGATGGAGATCAACAACAACATTGCTGTTTTTTATTAAGAGATTCATTAAGAGTTGCTATGTGCCCACACTGGGCTGTGCCCTTTACACATATTCATTTAATCTGCAGAGTAACTGCTGGATATAGCTAGAGTTGTTATCTCCATCCTACTGATGAGGCACAGAGAAGTGAAGTCATTTGCCCAAGGTCACGCAGCCAGTATGAGACAGAGCCCGGATGCAAACCCAGTGGTCCAAACCTGAGCTGGGGCCCTCAGTGCCAAGCTCCAGGGCTTCAGTGTCAAGCATGTTTTTGGCAACAGATCCCTTCGAGCCTCCCTGGGAATACACAGAACACAAATCCTCTAAAGGAGAAAATCTACCCCAGCCGAGTCAGGCAGGAAGTGGGAGGCAGCAGTGTGGCTATTTTGGAGAAGCGACACGAGAAACCACGAAACTTCCTACCTGTCCCGTTTTGCTCCCATCTGTCCTCAGAAACAAGGCTGCCCCTCTCCAAGATAAAAAGGTGTTTCTCCCCACACAGTGGCTCTGCCACTGGTGGTGGGAGAGAGAGCACTAAGCTTAGCACACACTTGCTATTTTTAAAGGGCTATATAAACAAACAGGGCTATGTAAATAAGAAAAAAATGAGGTCATCCTTTTAAAACCTAAAAATGTCCCTTTTCTATGGGGTGAGCAGCACAACCTCAGAAAGCACAGGGGTTTTTCTATCCCCTTGAGGCTTCTCTAGCCCATGGCCTCCAAAAACCACCAGGCCTGGCTCTCTTCCTTGCACCCACTGAGTGAAGGGCAGGTGGCCTGGGAGTCAGGACTCCTGGGTTTCATTCCTGGGTCTGTGGGCTTTGCCTCAAATGCCTAAGGCCAATGTGCAATCCCAGCCACCACCATCCAGGGAACCTGACATCCAACCCCACGCCGGTCTCTCACAAACACGGCCCATGCTCCAGGCCCTCCTCCTCCTGTGCCAGCCCTGGTTTGGCAAGCTGATTCTCCTGGCCCCTCGGGTATCCTTTTTCCTCCCCACTGCCTCACACCTTGACCTGTTGAATGGCCACAGAGGCTCTCTGCATGCCGATCAGAGTGACGTGTATGCTCCCCACCCCCACTTCTCTGCACACATGTTTACCTTGCTCCACGCTCTTCTGCACCTTTTCTTCAAAGGCGCGGGCCAGAGGTCATTAAAGCAGCCCCAGGAGCTGAGTTTGCTCATCAACAACTGCTAGGAGACTTCCCAAGCCTCAGCAGAAGCTCACATGGCCTCCCTGGGTTGCGAAGAGTACTATTTCCACTACTGACTGCACTCTCCACAGCATCACCTCAACTTCTCCCCTCCCCATCTCTCCTCCTTCCTCCTCTGCCTCCAACTCTCAGCATCCGTGGCCCCTCCATTATCCTCCAGTACAAAAATGAGAACCACCAATATTTGCTGAAGGGGTAGTCTCCAAATTGTGTTCCATGAAAGTGTTTCAGAGGCTCTCCAAATGTTCCACGAGCATGTTATTCTAAAAGTACAGTTTGACTCCTATTCTAACAGAAAACGAGCACGTACACACATTCAAACATGCTCTATAGCACATGGGAACACACTGAATATAGCCAACAAGTGCTGCCGGTTTAATTTGGTTTGTGCAGACCTCAGATGAAGGTCTGGGTAGATCTTGACCTTCACCGTTGAAATGTATCTTCAGTTAGGAAGAGTGGAGCTCTTCACTGGGTATCTTTGTGTTGTCATTTTTTAAATTCAGGACTCTATATGCGTACACAAAACCATACAAGCAAGTACACTCTGAAGCTTTCAATGACAAGACAATGTATTATGTGGATTATCATGAAAATATCATAAATGATTGTGGGGCTTCCTGTCTGACTTATGTGTGTAATAGGAAGGAATTCAAGCAGTTGTTGGATATTGTCACTGATGCAAACCAGAATTCCCTTCTACTCCTCCCCAAATGCCCAGATAATGTTGAACTGAAGACCATTCTGTGGCTTTAAGGCAAGCTGTTAACAATCTGTCACCATTCACATCATGTTATGGATGTTGATTTAGAATTCCTTGGCCAGGCGCGGTGGCTCACGCCTGTAATCCCAGCACTTTGGGAGGCCGAGGTGGATGGATCACAAGGTCAGGAGTTTGAGACCAGCCTGGCTGACATGGTGAAACCCCATCTCTAATAAAAATACAAAAATTAGCTGGTGTGGTGGCATGCGCCTGTAAGCCCAGCTATTTGGGAGGCTGAGGCAGGAAAATAGCTTGAACCTGGGAGGCAGAGATTGCAGTGAGCCAAGATCATGCCATTGCACTCCAGCCTGGCTGACAGAGCGAGATTCCAACTCAAAAAAAAAAAAAAAAAAAAAAAAAAAAAAGAATTCCTTAATACTTTGCAGTCAAGCCAAACGAAACAAGAAAGAAAAAGGAATATTAGATATTGCAGCTGATAAAGCAAGCAATACAATGATGATCTAGGGCAGAGGTCAGCAAACTTCTTCTGTAAAGGGCCAAATAGTAAGAACTTTAGATTTTGTGAAACAGACAGTCTCAAGCAGCCATAGATAATGCATTTAAAAAACGGTGTGGCTATGTTCCAATAAAACTTTACCGAATCAGGCAGCAGCCTGGATTAGGCCCACAGGCAAGTTTGCCAATTCCTGATCTAGAACCTCAGATTTCAATGTGTTTGTGCATCAAAACAGAGGTGTCGCTAATAACATAATAAATATAACGTTCATAATAAATAATAAATAAATGTCAAAAACTAGACAGCCAGGTGTGGTGGTCCATGCCTGTACTCCTAGCTACTCAGGAAGCTGAGATAGGAGGATCCCTTGAGCCCAGGAGTTTGAGGCTGCAGTGAGCTATGATCACACCACTATACTCTAGCCTGGGCAACAGAGCAAGACAGTATATATCAAAAATAAATAAATAAAGTCTTTTGCATCTGACTTAAATTAGACTAAGTCTAAATGGCAATAATTTGGAGATAAGAAATAAGAATAAAAATGAGAATTTTTAAACAATGTTAAAAATTTGAACTTAAAAAATAATGTATTCATAAACCATCATTTTAACCTGTTTTATATATTGACATTCCATGCAAGATTTGGCTTTTAAAAATAGCTTCTAAGACTATAAAAGTTTGAAAACTGCTCAAGTTTCTCATTGCTGAGAAATTGCTTCCATATCCATTTTCAAATGAGATCTGTCCTCTAGCTTCTCATTCAGAAAGCACATTTATTCTGGAGAAAGCCCCACTTCAGGCCCCTTCTGAAGAGTGGCTGTGACTCCATGTTTCCCTGCCCTCAGTAATTCCACACATAGCTGTGCCCAAGCCTCTGATGGTGCTGATGGGCCACCCCGCCCTCCCCAGCACCGGGGCGTTTGCAGCACTGCACACCTCTGTCTTGTTCGGATGCCATATATCCCAGCTCCTCCCTGGTGGCTGGGAGGGCCGTGCCAGCAGTGGCCGTGATCACCTGGACTCCAGCAGCACCAAGTCAGCACCTCATTAATCACAGGCACTTTCTTCCCCAGGGAGAACACAGGCAGAGGCAGGAGCCAGGTTTCTCGCTGGAACTGACAGCTCATTTCCCTCTGGGCAAGTCCCATACTCTACAGATTCTTCCAAGCAGCTGGCTGAGCCCACACGGACAAACAAAGAGTCTGGGCACGAAGCGGGGGGAGGGGAGGGAAATGCCAAGTCTGCAGAGGACCCCCCATCTGTACTCCCTGGACAGTTCCCCCATGTATCTGGCTTGCATCTCTCAGAGGGCTCTGCTTCTGGACTAGTTCAAGTATCTGTTGTACACCTCATGGAATGAACCCAGATCCTGTCCTGAGACTGCTCATGAGACCCCTAAATGGCTGTGATAGGCACAGAAGGAAACAAGTGCTAAGTTGAGGTACCAGGAAGTGCCCCAGGATGCCGAGCCAGGGGCATGCTGGGGCATTACAGCATGATCGATTCCTATGAACATGTGGACATTCCTGGGGAAGGGGTCATCCTTGGAGCTGTCATTGCTCTTCTTCAGGAAGCATCTTGGTGGAGAAAAAAGTGCTGGGTCTTTTGTAACCAGAGGCTCTGCCCCTTACCATCTGTGTAGCTGTCTTTAAACTACTGAACCTCTCTGTGCTCAGTTTCCTTATGTGCACAACAGGGGCAACAGGACCAGACTCACTGAGGTTTGGGAAGGACTCGAACCTGTCTGTAAAGTACCAACCATGTGGGCAGCAGCATCGGTCCCCGTGCTTCAGCCTGACCTCAGGGACACAGCACTGGGGCCAGAGGGCAGGGCATGCAGATGGCACAGGGCTGCAACTGGGAGAGCAGGGTGGTGGCCCAACTGCCCACACACGCCAGAAGGGTGACTCACGTTTGGGAGGTCCTTGTTAACGTGGCTGGCAACATTCTAGGGGCCTTCCCCAGCAACCCTGCGAGGCAGGTATCACTACCAGCCTCATTTTGCAAGTGAGAAGGATGAGGCAGAGTTGGAGCAATTTGCCTCTTAAACCAGTAAGTGCCTCACACAACCACTAAGAGTCGGGGCTGGGATTTGAACTCAGGGTGGGTCTACACTGTTAAGTACCACAACAAACATCCCCTCTTAAAATGAGGCTCCAATGCCCAGTTCTTCCTTGGAATCCAGGGAACGATTCCTTTACCTCCTCAGGAGAACCCTGGTCTAGGCCTAGGGCTGGTAGGCCCAAGCTGTCATACTGTGGGCAGAGACACAGGCTCTAGCCACCCCGAAGTCCAGGCAGCAACAGCGATGCCATCTCTGAGGGCTGCCTGTGGCCCCATCCCCTTCTCTATACAGTGAGGAAACTTCAGCTTTCAGAGAAGCGAAAGAGTCACTGCTCCTGGCATGCCAGGCTGGGAAATGTTGCCTTGGAAATCTCAGCTGGGCCCACAGACCCAAACACAGGCCCCCAGAAGGAGGCCCTGGAGTCCCCAAGCCTTGGCTGCATCAGAATCAATGTAGATTCCTGGGTCCCCAACCCCCAAGAGTCTGATGCAGAGGGCACAGGTAGGCCAGAGAACTCCCTCCCTCCGTCCATCCCTCCCTCCCTCCCTTCCTTCCTTCCTTTGTCATACCAGGCACCCTCTTTCTAATCCCCAGCTCTCTGGGTGATTCTGGCTCTCCACACCAGAGAAAACATCCAAGGACTTGTTCTTGACCCAACAAGCTTCTAACACTGCACACCTAACCTGTACTGAAGCCTGAACATCTAGCCAGAAACCACAGCACATACCTGAAGATCTAAATGCATATATAAACATAAGCTGATACCAGGCCTCTCCCCAGGCTCATTTGATCACTATTTCGGGAGCTGGGGCCCTGCTATTGAAATTGCTGAAATTCCAAGAATCATTGCCCCAACCCTGACATCTTTTCAATTCTTCACAACTTGGGGGCAGGTGGGGTGAGAAAGGGGACTGAAGACCTGCTGCTATGTCTCTAACTCCCGTGGTGCTCCTCTGACTAGGCATTGGGTGGGCAGTGGTGGTCTTCAGCAAGAACCATTATGTAGGAGAAGAGGGTAGACCTCTGGCTATCAGGAGCACACAGTTGGACTGGCTTGTGGAGGCTGTGGCCCCTGGAGAGGGGGCTGTGGCCCTTTGAGAGGAGCTGTTGTGTCCTTTGCCAGGACAGAATGGAAACTGAGGTACTGGGAGGGGGCGGACTGCATTTCATGGGAGACAGCATGGGAAGCAGTAGCCAGTTGCTGGCACTCAAGGTCTCTACTCCTGACCAAGGAAGGTTGAGGACTTTCACAACAACTTTCACAGAGGCACCAGAAAGGCAACGATAACACTAATAATAACAATAATACATTTTTCAGAGGAAGAACTAAGCAAGCTCATGCAAGACAGACCAACATGGCGCCTGGCAAGCATATTCAGCAACAGCCCCCATTTCCTACCTGTGCTGAAGGCACCACTTCCGATGACCAAAACTGAAACGCTGTTCTCTCTGAAAGCCAGCATTCATGTCCACTCCTACGGCAGCCACCCTCCACCTAGGCGCCGCTCTTCCCACCAGAGGGGCGGGCTTGCTTGGCCAGGACCCCGCGAGGCTCCTCCATGAACTAGGTTGAGGCTGCTGGGTTTGTGCCTCGAATCCTGCAGGAGATGATTGAGAAACATGGTCAAAGAACTTTCTTGGTCAACTTTTTTAGACACAGAACAATCCCTGCCTGGTCCCTGGAGGACACACCCCCCAACTACTCCCAAGCAGCTTTACTTGGTACAGGGCCTGATCCCCACATCCCCCTACTTTGCATCCAACACTTAACTTCTCTGAGCCTCTATTTCTTCACTAGTGTGGTAGGCAGAATTCTAAGATGGCCCTCAAGATTTCCGGTTCCCCTGGTGCACAGACCCTGCAAAGCCCCCAGGACTGTGAATAGGATGGATGGTTGGGTTATGTTACAGGGCACAACTGACCTTAAGAGAGGGGGATTATCAAGACCTGGCCTGGTATGAAAGCCCTTTAAAAACAGAATTTGCAGGAAATGCCATTCTGGTCACCAGCCTTGGGAAAAGTATTTATGGCTAAGTGCTCAAAAGCAATTGCAACAAAAACAAAAATTGGCAAGTAGGCCTAATTAAACTAAAGAGCGTCTGCACAGCAAAAGAAACTATCAATAGAGTAAATAGACAACCTACAGAATGGGAGAAAATGTCTACAAACTGTGCATCCAACGAAGATCTAATATTCAGAATCTATAAGGAACTTAAACAATTCAACAAGCAAAAACCAAATAATCCCATTAAAAAGTAGGCAAAGGACACGAATAGACACTTCTCAAAACAAGACATACAAGTGGCCACCAAACATGAAAAAAATGCTCAACGTCACTAATCATCAGAGAAATGCAAATCAAAACCACAATGAAATGCCATCTCACACCAGTCAGAATGTCTATTACTAAAAAGGCAAAAAAACAACAGATGCTGGCGAGACCGTGGAGAGAAGGGAATGCTTATACGCGGTTGGCAGGAATGTAAGGTAGCTCAGCCACTGTGGAAAGCAGTTTGGAAATTTCTCAAAGAACTTCAAACAGAACGACCATTCGACCCAGAAATTCCATTACTGAGTATATAACCAAAGGAAAATAAGTTATTCTGCCAAAAAGACACACGCATTTGTATGTTCACTCCAGCACTATTCACAATAGCAAAGACATGGAATCAACCTACATGCCCATGAGTGGTGGATGAGGTAAAGAAAATGTGATGCATATACACCATGGAATATTATGTAGTCATAAAAAAGAACAAAATCATGTCCTTGACAGCATCATGGATGCACCTGGAGGCCATTATCCTAAGAGAATTAACACAGGCACAGAAAATCAAATGCCATGTGTTTTCACCTATAAGCAGGAGCTAAACATTGGGTACACATGGACATAAAGATGGGAACGACAGACACTAGTAACTACTGGGTGGGGGAGAGAGAGGGAGGGACAAGGGCTGAAAAACTACCTAGTGCGTACTATGCTCACTACCTGGGTGACAGGATCATTCTACTCCAAACCTCAGCATCACATAATATACCCAAACCTGCACATGTACCCCAAATCTAATAGAAAAGTTGAAATTATTTTTAAAAAGCAGAGTTTTCTCTGGCTAATCACAGGAGAGGAAGTCAGAGAGATTAGGGTCTGGAGAAAGCTTCATCATACCCTCACCGCCTTGAAGATGGAGGGTTGTATGGAAAGGATTGGCCCGCAGCTTCCAGGAGCTGACAGCAACCCCGGCTGATGACCAGCAAAAAACAGGACCTCAGTCCTACCATTGTAGGGAACTGAGTCTTGTCAACACCTTGAATGAGCTTGGAAAGCAGAATGTTCCCCAGAGCTTCCAGATGAGAACCCAGCCCACCAACACCTTGATTCAGCCCTGAGCAGAGAATCCAGCCACTCTGTACCAGACTTCTGCCCTACAGACCCGTGAGCTAACAAATGGGTGTTATTCTAAGTCACTAAATTGGAGGAGATTTGTTATGCAGCAAGAGAAAACTAATACAGCCTGGAAAACTGACTCATATTCAGGCATGGGTGGCAATGAAATACAGTAATAGACATAAAAGCATATTGTATTCCCCAAATCACAAAATAAAACAGGCCAAGAGAGGCCTGTTTCAGGGCAGGAGCTCAACAGTGATTCCTGAATGAATACACAAATGAGTATTGGTTTTTAATAACTGACTTGCCAGGCTGTTGTAAGGATCAAATAAGGAAATATAGAGGAAGATGCTTTGTAAACTAGAAAGCCGAAGTTGTTTCAGTCAGTGGTGGCGTGGCGTGTCATATCCACGCCGTGCTCTTTGGAGGATGCTCTGGTTTGCCCGCTGCAGGCAGTGTCGTGGGATGGATGAGAATGTGGCTTCCAGGGCCAGGTATACCTGGTTCAAATCTAGCCCTTCCACTTCTGACGTCTGCAACTTGAGAAAGTTGCATTGCCTTGCTGTGCCTGGCAAGTGGGGCTAAGAATGGTGAGTGCCTTCCAGGGCCCGTACTTTAATGAGTCCGTACATGGAAAAAGGTTGGAACAATGCCTGGCACGGCCCACGTAACTGCTCTGAATATTATCTCAGAGTGGAACCCAATAATCTGGGTCTGGAGTAACCCGCACACAGGCCTGGGGCACTGTTACCTTTCTCCTCTTGGGCACCCTGCTTTTTATTCACACAGCCTCAGAATCACGTTTGGCAACCATATCGCACTGCTGATTCCTACAGAGCATACAGGTCACCGATGCCCCCCTGCTGTCCCCTTCCCAATGTACCTGCTGCTATGAAACCCAGCCAGCCCCCTCCTACCCCCAGGGCAGCATCGCAGCACCACACAGTGGAGAGGCTTGCTCTGTGGCTCTATCAATCAGTTCCTGATTCTGCCGTCCGAACCAGCCCAATTTCTCACTACTCTGTGGGTTTCTATCCTCCCTGATCTGACCTCATGCCCTCCAATAGATTGCAGTTATTAATCAAAATGGCCGTGCTCTCTTCCTCCCAGTGTAGAAACACTCACTTCTCAGAACACGCTATTCTACAAACACAATCTACAGTTTCCTACCTCTGAGCCTTGGCTCAGGCAGCCTCTTCTGCATGGGATGCTACTCACCTCCCTCTGCAATCGTGCCCACCTTGCTGAATCCTGCCCATCTTCCCTCAGGAGGTTCAGCTAGCTCCCATAAAACTGGACCTAAGTTCTGCCTCTCCAGAATACCCCAAGCACATTTGCTGTGCTCCTCCTAAGGTAAATAACAGCATCCACTGTGCTCAGCCACGGCTTAAAGCCCTTCTAGATTGCATACAACTCAGGCAGGGTCATTCTGACTCACTCCCTCACCCCGAGTATGGCCTGTCACACACAGTCAGTGTGGAACAATTCTCTTTAGCGCCCAAGTTGGTTGTTTATTCATTTAACAGATGTCCACTCAGTGCCTATTTTGGGTAGAGCCGGGTTGTAGGTGCCAGCGTTAATAGATGGCAAAGATTTAATCTCTATCTTCAAGGGGAGCACGGAGTAGGGGTAGTCAATTTTGATGGTGTCTGAATGTGTAAGAGAGAGAAAAAAGAAAGAGGATATTTAAAACAAAGGGAGTCATGTAAGAAAAGACAGATCTCTTGACCTCGTGATCCACCTGTCAAGGCCTCCCAAAGTGCTGGGATTACAGGCATGAGCCACCACGCCTGGCGGATCACGGGTTCAAGAGATCGAGACCATCCTGGCCAACATGGTGAAACCCTGTCTCTACTGAAAATACAAAAATTAGCCAGGCGTGGTGGCACATGCCTGCAGTCTCAGGTACTTGGGAGGGTAAGGCAGGAGAATTGCTTGAACCCAAGAGACAGAGGTTGCAGTGAGCCAAGATTGTGCCACTGCACTCCAGCCTGGGTGACACAGCAAGACTCCAACTCAAAGAAAAAAAAAAGAATAAAAAAAAGATAAAAAGAAAGGACAGAGGACCCCCAAATGGCCAGAATGTTCAAGAAAATTGCATGGTGTCCACATGGCTGGAGGTGAGGGGCAGCGACAGTGGGAGGTGCTGTGTAGGGGCCGGGACATGACGGTTTGACAGATGAAGTGGCCTGGATGTGGTGGTGCTGTGAAGTGAGGTCATTTTCATCAGTGAGGTCCTGCAGCCAGGGTGAGGGGTGTGGCTTGAGGAGAAAGGATCAGGTGGAAGGAGAGAGACTTCTTCTGGCTGCGGTCGTGAGGCTGGTGTCACTGACTGTCCCCAGTCTCCCCCTCCGTGGCAGGTCAGAGGGCTGCCCACCACACCCGTGTCCAGGTCACCAGAAAAGGTCACACACACCTGAGGGCCTAGATGGCAAACCGAGCCCATTTATCTCCCTCTTCTCCCCCCCGCAACACCCCTCAAATAAAAGGAGAAATGTGCAAATAAGAACAGATCTGCAGTAGCATCAGCTGGCCAGAAAGTCCGAGGGAAAACAGACGAGAGGGAGTGACAGGAAATCTAATCAGAGCGAAGCTAGCCTCACCCAGCCGGGCAGTGAGGGCCCACCTGCCAGGCACCCCAGGACTTGCTCAGAGCTCCTCCATGGCAGGGCGGGCTGGAGTGGGGTCCTGAAATCCCCCCCAAAAAGAGTGGATCCTCTCAGTTTCCAAAATGACCAAAGTGAGAGTTGGGCAGGGAGGTACTGGGAGCAGAAAGTACCTCCCCACACACCTTTCTGCCTTCAACTGCATGACTTTATTATCCCAGGAGCCTCTCTCCCTGGCAAATGGCTTCACTGTTCATCACAGAAACCTCCTGAAGGACCCATCTACTCTTCAATCAACAGCTGGTGCCCTACGATTCTCTGAATCCCTTGCCTGGCCTCAAAATCCCTCACCTCATGGCTTCCACCAGTCCTGGACTACTGTGTTCCTTACACAACCCTAACCAAGCCCCCACATTGACACACCCACCTTAAAGAGAACTGCTAGGCTTCAGAAAACCCAACCTTGCCTCCTTCCTCCCAGACAGGCCAAAGCCCTCTGGAATCAGCACCCTCCCTTCGGCAAGTGAGTAATAAACTCAGCTTTGCCTTACCAACAAGTTTGTAGATGATATCTGGGGAGCTGGCATTTGACAGTCTCTACAAAAATGCTTGGAATCAAATTGACATTCAATTTGGTATCTGCATCATTTACAACAGGGCAGACCTCCGAGCTTGGAGGAAAAAGGGTTAAAACCCTTAGATCCGTTACTCAGCCAAGTCTCAAAGCCAGAGAGAAGTATAAAATAGTGTGACACCCACCACCCACGCATCTTTTCTTAAAAAAAAAAAAAATTACTCGAGGAATCACTCAAAGGAAATAAGAATTGTACCAGAATAAGTAATTCAAAAAAGGACAATATAGGATATCCAAGAAACAGGGAGAAATAATAAAAGCAGAAAAAGGTGAAGTGAAGTCTAAACAAATGTTGATAATCATGATCCTATCTTGTTGGGAATTAGATACTATTTAATTCTTGACATCAATAGAGAAATCTGTGTAAAAACTAACCATTTCTAGAAGAAAAGCAAGATGCAAACCTTTTAAACCACTGTGTGGGGAGAGGGGAAGGGAGAAACAAAGAAAACTCTATTAATTTAGCCAAGAGTGGGAAAAGAAAAATTAAACAGGAAAGAAAAAGTGTAATAAACAAAAGACATAAAATAAGATGACAAAAGACACAATAATATGAATAAATTAAATTACTTTAAGTTAAGAGACCAGGCTGGATAAAAGGAAAAAAAAATCCAGCTATATGCTGTTTGGAAATAACACACTTAAAACAAACTGACAAAAAAGATGGAAATCAAATAAATGGAAAAAAGCAAATGGTAACGAAAATAATGCGAGAAAGCCAATATTAATATCAGACAAAATGCAAAAATGTTAATTAAATACACTAAACTGGGGCCTTTTATATTGCCGAAGAGTCTATTTCTCCAAGGAGATACAAAAATCACGAACTTTTACTCTCATCATAAACACAGAACCACAAAATGTATAAAATAAGACATTCTTGGAATCACAAGGAGGAGGTAAAGAAAGAACAGGAAATGTCTTGAGCATTATTATTTGAAATTTGGTGGTATAAGTAACCTCCAAAGAAGAATACAAAGGGTTTGAAGATGTAGTTAGTAAGTTTAACTTCATATACATTCAAGAAATAGAGAAAACACCTTTTTCTCAAATGTCCCTGTACTAGACTGCAAGAAAATCTCAAATTCCAAAATGCACGAATTGTACGGACCACAGCCTCAGTTCTTGATGAAATAAAATTAGACATTAACAAATAGCAAAAAATAAAAATACATAAACAAATGATGCACATGACAATTTAAAAATGCTTTTCTAAAAAAACTCTTGAATCAAAGAGGACAGCAACGCTATCGTAGGATAATTATAAATGTACAACATTGAGAACCCTACTTTTCAAAATCTGAGTAGTGCAATCAAAGCTGCATCTAGAAGAAAATACAAAGCTTAGATGTTTTCATGATAAATTAAGAAAGGTTGAAACTAAATGAGTTAAGCACATAACCCAAGAAACTAAAAAAGAATGAAATAAACCAAAGTAATCTAGAAGAAATGAATAAAGTTGAAAATAAAACGAGTGAGAAAATGACAGCAACCACAACTATATATATATATACACACACATATATACATATATAGCTGCATATATACATATATGCACGTATATGTATGTATATATACATACATATACATACGTATGTATATATACATACATATACATACGTATGTATATATACATACATATACATACGTATGTATATATACATACATATACATACGTATGTATATATACATACATAGCTGCAAGCTAAGCTTTCTGAGAAGACCAACAAAATGGACAAATCGGTGGCAAATCTGACTAGCAGTAATAGGCAAAGTCGCAAATAATCATTAAGAAAGGTGATGTAAACATATACGTGAACATTTTGAAAAATCAAAGAGAATTTGATACATAACTGTGTCAATGAATTTACAAGTTGGTGATTTTCTAGAAAAGTATAAATTGTAAAACTGAAGAAGAGGGAGAAAACCTAGGTAGACTCTAATAACTATAGAAGAAACTATAGAAGAGAAGGCTGTCGAAGATGGAATTCCAGATTAGCAGAGAAAGAATGGATTATTTAAATAAAAGCACTAGGACAACTGGCTGGCTGTTTATTCATTCAACAAATATTTATTAAGAACCTACTATGTGCTGGGCATTGTTCTGGGCACTGGGAATTCAGCAGTGAACAAAACAGAAAAGGTCTATGCCCTTATGGAGCTGAGAGTCTGGTGAGGGGAGATGAGTAACAAACAAATCCGCAGGTAAAACAAACCACATGGCAAATAGTGGCAGGTGTTACAATGAAAATTAAGCAGCAAAATGGGTACAGAATGAGGAAGGGTGGAGAATGCCATTTTAAATAGAATACACGCACCATAGACACACAGAAATGTATATGGATTAGAGATATAAACATCCTATAAAAGCAAGTTCATGAAAATACCAGAACTATTAAAATATTTCTATACTTTAGTGTTGGAAAATAACTTTCAAAGCCCGAATTGGACCTCAGTGCTCTTAATGGAAAAGATTAATAAATCTAACTACATAAAAATATTAAGCATTACATAAAACAAAAAACCCCAGTTAATCAACAGTTAAAAAGCAAATGACAGATTGGATAAAAATATTTGCAACATATATGAAAAAGTGTCAATATCCATAATATGTAATAAGCATCCACAAAACAGTAAGACATATAGCCAATAAAATGGAGAAAGAAAATGAACAGATCATTGCTTAAGAAATAAAAATGTCTAATAAATATATGCAAAATGCTGGCCTCGTTAATAAAGAATATATTTAAAAATGTGGATCACTTGAGGTCAGGAGTTCAAAACCAGCCTGTCCAACATGGTGAAACCCCGTCTCTACTAAAAATACAAAAATTAGCCCAGCATGGTGGCACATGCCTGTAATCCCAGCTACTTGGGAGGCTGAGGCAGGAGAATCGCTTGAAACCGGGAGGCAGAGGTTGCAGTGAGCCGAGATTGTGCCATTGCACTCCAGCCTGGGCAACAAGAGCGAAACTCCATCTCAAAAAAAAAAAAAAAAAAAATCGGTATCACCTTTTCCCATTTGGTTAGCAAAGAGGAAAGTGATTGCTACCATCAAGTGGTGGAGGGAGGAGTCGTCATCAAATACTTCTCAAATACTGCTAGTAGGTATAGATGAGGAGAATCTTTTAACCGTGTCTACCAAAATGTATGTTGACTCGGCAGCTTTGCAGTGTGCACACACATCATCATACACAAACATACACACACATGCACACATAGGGATGACCACTGTAGCACTATTTTAACAGTGAGGATGGATGCAGCCTTAATGACCATCAGCAGGAAATTGGTTTAATAAGTAAATGATGATAAATACACACAATGGAATAGTCATGGGAACATAACTTTTCTTAAAGATAAACATATACTCCTACCAATAACAGAGATTCATTGTGGCTTTGTCTATGTATCAAGCTTTGTCTATGTGACGTACAAGCTTCAGCGCTTCTCACAGGTAGTCTCCCTGCCCCCCTCCCTCAACAGTCTGCCGGGTGGAAGGTGCCACTTCTGCCCCCATTTTCCATCTGAGGCCTACAGAGGCTAAGGCCTGACCAAGCGGTGAACCTTGGTCTGTTAGACTCTGGAGACTGCACTCTCAGCTGTGACACACACTTCCTCTCAACGGGATGGTGAAAAGCAAAATCACAGACACACATCTATCTGTGTAGCTGTGACGGATGGAAAGGACCTGGGGGATGCAATCTTGTCCTGGAGGGCACTGCAGAATGGGTGGGGCTTGAAACATGCGTTCTTGTTTCTACATTTCCATACTGTTCTTTTTTTAAGCACTAAGCATGTATCACTTTTGTAATTTGAAAATGATATAAAAGTATAGAGACAGAAGGTAGAATAGGGGTTGTCCGGAACTGGGGCAGAGCAGAATGGGGGGTCAGTGTTTAATAAGCACAGAACTTCAGTTTTACAAGATGAAAACAGTTAAGAGGCCAATATCTTAAGTGAAACAACTAAGAAACAGAAAATCAAATACTGCATATTCTCACTTATAAGTGGAATCTAAATAATGTGTACACATGGACACGAAGTGTGGAATAATAGACGCTGGAGGCTCTGAAGTTGGGAGAGTGGGAAGGGTAAGGGATGAGAAATCACTTACTGCATACAATGTACATTATTTGGGTGACGGTTGTACTAAAAACCCACACTTCACCGCTATGTAATATATCCATGTAACAAAATTGCATTTGTACCCCTTAAGTTTATACAAAGAAAGAAGAGAAAGAAAGAAAGAGAGAGACAGAGAAATAAAGAAAGAGAGAGAAAGAAAGAAAGAAAGAAAGAAAGAGGAAGGAAGGAAGGAGAGAGAAAGAAAGGAAAAGGAAAGAAAGAAAGAAAGGGAGAGAGAGAGAAAGAAAGAAAAAGGAAAGAAAGAAAGGGAGAGAGAGAGAAAGAAAGAAAAGAAAGAAAGGAAGGAAGTAAGGAAGAAAAGGAAGAAAGAAAGAAAGAGAAAAGAAGAGATGGATGGTGGTGATGGGTGCATAACTTTTTGAATGTATTTAATAACACTAAACTGTACATTTAAAAATGATTAAGATGGTAAATTATGTTATGTGTATTTTACCATAATAAAAATTGAGAAACTGATATAAAAGTGTCTTCTTTTTAGAAAACAGTTGAACAGGGAGGGGGCTACTAGGGGTAGAGGGGCCCATCTGCAAGGTGGCACCCACCCAGGGCAGGAAGGACCAGGGCCAGCTCCTCTGCTGGCCCCACCCAAAATCATGAGGAGGGAGGGCCCTTGCTCTCCACTCTCCACCAACACATCAAAGCAAGGCCTTTGCCAGCAGCTGGTAGGGGCCGCATCCGGTCTGGGCACTGGGGGTTGGCATCACTGCAGCTGACAAAGGGTTAAAGAAAAATCCTGGATGCCTGGCAGGGGCCAGCCTCACTGGGTCATAACAGCTGTTTTCCAAGGGCTGGCAGGGAGGCAGGGGGGCTTTGGACTCTGGCACTGGGCCTCACACACTGATCCTAAAGAAAGTGGAGAAGAAGGCTGGCCCTGAGGCCCCTGCCACCCTCCTGACACCCTCCTGACACGTGGCCCTTCCCTCCACTCTGAACGGAACGTCTGCAGAAGGGGCCGGCACATGGAAAGTCAAATTTGATCTGTGTGGGGCAGGGAATTGTGGGATGAATCTTTCTATTTTCAGTTTTATTTGTTATTGTGGTCTGTGATCAATAAGAAAACATGAAAATCTAAGACATGGGTCACACATGGCAGAATCATATGGAATAATCCTGGTGGTTCATGCTGGGATACTGGCAAAGGGGTGGATGGGAGGGGAAGAGAGAGAATTACTGGCATGCCTCATTTACCCAGCACCACAGAAGTAGCATGGTATAGCATAGCGAGTTGGCCTTAACATCATCAGAAAGACATGGGTTCAGACCCTGGTTTCATCCATTACTAGCTCACTTTCCTCATGAGTCAGAAGTGAAGACTCTCACCCCCTCCCTGGGTTTGCCACGTGGATCAGATGCGACAAAGTGTATGTGAAATGAGTATGAACCCAGTATACAAAAGGCACTCAATAAATGCCTGTGCCCTTCTTCAGTTATGGTGGGACACCTTCCAAGTCTCTCTCCCTCTGTCAATCTCTCCTCCTTCTGGCTTCTGTTTTGGGGTTTGGGGTTGGCTCTGTGACCCACCTCCCTCTCTGTGGTCAGCCTTCCGGCTCTCACTTTCCTGAGGGGCTCACCTTTGTTTCAGCGGAGTGCGCTCTAGTCTGAGAATGCTGTGACATGCAGCTGACAGCCTGGAGGCTGCCTTGGGAACCTTCCCGGTCCCCAGCTGTGTTCTCCAGACAAGAGGCTTCTCTCTCACATGGTAGCTGACTCACGGATGAGTGAGGCGTCCCCAACAAGGAGAGTGGGCAGAGAGACAGGCAATGGAGCCCAGTCATTGATAGCGACAAGACCTGCTTTGAGGATACCCAGAAATGTTTTCCAGGAAAGACAGGGCATTTAAAAATAGAGAATGGTGATACTTTCCATTGTATGAAGGAGCAAAAAAGAAGAACTTCAAGTACAAGATAACATATTCCATTTAGTGGCAGGTAGGAATATACTGTCTCATAAACTCTACACTGGGATTTGGCAGAAGAAAAGTTCATGGTTTTCAGGCACTGCAGGGACAAGGAAGGGAGGTGTTGCTGGTGTATATGGGGAGCACCCAGCCCAGGAGTCGAGGAGAATACCGGAGTGGCGGGAGGAGGAACAGACGAGACTGGAGGAGCTGCACTTGGAGATGAAGGTTCTGAGAGCTGCTGGGGCGGGGGTTGGGGGGCGGGGGAAGGTAGGTGTGGGAGGAGCAGTGAGGTCGCTTCCTGCTATATCAGGCCACACCTCGCAGCCCTCTGTCACAGAAAGCCCCCTGGAACTAGGCACTCTACACAGGGGAGCAGAGAAGACACCGTGTTCCCTCTCTGGGTGCAATAGAAATCCCATGAGGCAGCCCCACATTTGAGGTCCAGCTGCACCCAGCTAAGTGACCTTGGACAAGACACTCTCCATCACTGGGCTAGACCCCAGGGTGCAAAGGTGAAGAAGACCTTGTCCATGTCTCAGGCTGTGATGGATCTAGCAGGGAAGATAGATAAGAAAATCAGTGGTTCTGGCCCTTTCTCCCAGGGAGCCCAAAACCTGAGCTGCTTCCCCGCAAGAAGGCTTCTAAATCTCCCCGGGTTGTAGACACAGAAGCCAGAGGTAGAGGAAGAACCCAACATTTGTTGAGTGTCTTCCACGTGCAAAGGCTGTCCCTGCATTTTTTCACAGTCATACTAATGCTACGGTCAGGCTCCATCATCACCATCTGACAACTGAGGAAACTGAGGCTTTGAAAACAGAGAGATGTGGACAGCCTTGCACTGCAGGAGGGCCCAAGGCTCTGGCATTAAATAAAACTGGACATTACTGGTCTTAGACACTGTGTGGCCTTCTTCGAGTCCTTGACCACCTGTGAGTCTGTTTCCTCACCTCTGAAACAAGAGCAAGAGTGCACGCCCTGGGCTGGGGTAAGAACAAAATGGTACGGTTGGCTTCCCAGAAAAATCCACCTTCTCCCTCTTCCTCTTCTGGTTACTTCTGATCTTTTAGCTTTACTTATGTTTATGATTATTTCATCTTCTAAAATAAGAAGATACCAGATCCCATAACAAGATTGCTGCAACTTATTCACAGCAAAGCAGGTGGAGGCCTCGGGAGATCCCGGGGACTACAGAACCTCCACCACTGGCCCACAGTAGGACAGGGGCAGGGAGTAATTCATGCCTACTAGGAAGACTGTGATAACAGGTGTGTGTTTTTGGAGGCAGAATTGCTTTCTGCCCACACGACAGCTGCCCCCTTAGCTAAGAGGGGAAGCCTGGTGACCCAGGGTCCTCCGGGGACCCAGCCAGGCTTCTGGTCTAGATCTCAACCTGCCCCACTCCTGCCCAGTGCTACCCCATCTTCCACCCCATCCCCACCTCCACCAGTTCAGAGATTCAGCCAGACAGAAAGGCTGTGCCAAAGGAAATTGTGTGCCACAGGGCCCACTTGGTCTGCTGTGGTGTTCTTCCTTTTTTTGGACTTTGTGGCTGTTTGAGTGGGTACCTTTTTCCATAGAAAGTTTCCATTGCATCAGTTATTTACATTGTCACCACCTATATGTGGGCTCTGGTTTCGAGTCGGTGAACCAGAGCAGGCCCTGTGGGGCCCAACACTGCTTACAGGGGGTGACAGGAGCCAGTTGCTACGGCAAGAGGACCTGCAGCTCTGGGTCAACCCTCAGAGCCACCCCCAACCCTGGCAGGTCCACTCTTAGTGTGCTCAGTCCCTTTGGGATGCCATTTTTAGGGTGAGATTTAAGAGAATTTAAGAGCACAGGCTACTAGGTTTGCATCCCGCCTCCTCCACCTCCTAGCTATGCTCTGAGTTATTGACATGACATCTCCGGGCCTCCGTGAACTATCATTTGTAAAGTGGGAATGACAGTGGCGCCTACCTGGCTGGACTTTGAGAAGGACTCAATCAGGTAGTGCACATAAAGTGCTTAGAACAGGGCCTGGCCCAAAGCCTCAATCCATGTTAATGAATGGACAAGGATTTCCTGCCCCCACCCTGGCTCAGACCCTACTGCCCATCCTCTCTTGTGTGAACCAACAGCAACAGCGTCTGCACTGTCCTGCCCAGCCCACCGATCCATAGACCCAGACAGACTGTCCTGATAGCCAGCTCTCACCAAGTCACTCCTCGCCCCAAATCCCAAATCCTTCAGTGGTTCTCCTTAGAGAGTAATGTCTGCACTTTACAAATATGCCAGGCTGCCTCGGCATCAACACTCCCCTGCAAAGCCCCGCTCTTGCCAACTGCCATGCTCCACATTCATGCCTCTTTGCAGTTGTCTCTGTCTGGAATATTTCTCTCCATTTTAACGTGGCTAAATCCAACCCACACCAGCCTGGGTGAGCCCACCTCATAGGCCTCCTCCTCCACAAAGCCCTCCATGACTCTACTCTCTCTCTGGCCAGGAATGATCTTTCATTTAAGGATTTGATCTCTTTGTCGTGGTGTTTACCTTCTCTACCTTGTATGGGTGCAATATAATACATACAAATGTGTGTGGGCATCACAGACAAACCATCTGATCTCTGAGGACAGGACTGGGATGTGTGTGATGCATCCGTGTCACTCACAGAGCCTTGAACATAATTGGTGACTGTGAGTGAATAAATACTGAATTCTCTCAATTTACTAACCCCGTCGACAGGGAAAGCTATTTGGGTGTGTGTTGGTGAAGATCAATCTGCAGCCCATCAGTGTCCACATGATCCTCTCGGTTCTTCTTGAGGGACCCGGCAGACTGGGGTGTCAGCCAGGGGCCAGGACCCCTAGGGGCTCACAGCTACTCAGACTCTGAGTCTCAGCATGGGACCTTGCATCTGAGGCATGTGTGGAAGTCCAGGAACCATCACTGACTTCTTCTCCCTCTTCCTCAGCCTCCACCTTCCATATGTCACCAGGTTCTCAGTGAATCAGCTCCCTAAGTTCCTACGCCCATGAGCCCCTCTCCACCCTACCGCCACCGTCTTGGCCTAGGCTTCAGCATCCTTGCCTCCTCCCTGGTCTCCCCATGTGACTCCCATCCTTTTCTGGGTCTTCTCTCCATGCTGCTGCCCCAAGCGGTACTTCTGCATCACAGCTCTGATTAGGCCACAATGCTTCTTGCCACTTCTGATGCCTGCTGACTGCCATCAGAAACCCAGATCCCCTAGGAAGGTGCTGGAGTGTCTCTCTTCTCTAACGCTTCTAACCCTCATCCAGAGCTTTGGTGTAACATCAATCACACTGTCCAGCGACATTTATTCCCCTGCACACGGGTCTTCCTCGCAGACAGGGAGTGCCTTCAGGGCAAGAACATGTCCCGTCTGTACCCCCAGTGCTTGGCATGCAGTCAGCCTGCTGTGAAAGCATGCTGAACAGACGAGTGCATGAATAACAATGAATTAAACACACCACCACTGCCCTGCCTTCCAGTGTTGCCCTGACACCACCATATTCAGGACCTCATTTTTGGGACCAAGCAACAGGTGAAGTTACTAAAGTGACAGATACACAGTCTGCCTGGACCAAAGGTTGCCCCAGGGCACTTGACATCCCTCTGTCTGTGCTGCAGCTCCCAGAACCCCTGATGGCCTAATGTCAGCAGGGCAGATGCTTGCCCTGGTGTTAGCTACATGGCCTAGGAACCTGGAGACGGACAGAGGTCTTAGGGTGTTTCCAGAAGGAGGGGAAGGAAAGTGAAGGGCGTTCCACCTCTGGTCGCTCTGTACCAAGACCTTCCATGTTGTTACCTTCCCCTCTGCCCACCCCCCTCACCCCCTCCCCAAATTGTGTCTGCCTTCCCATCCTCTTTTTTTTTTTTTTTTGACAGGGTCTGGCTCTGTTGCCTAGGCTGGAGTACAACAGCACAATCTTGGCTCACTGCAACCTCTGCCTCCTGGGCTCAAGCCATTCTCCCATCTCAGTCTCCAGAGTAGCTCGGACTACAGGTGCGTGCCACCACACCCAGCTAATTTTTTTATTTTTGTGGAGATGAGGTCTCACTATGTTGCCCAGGCTGGTCTCAAACTCCTGAGCTCAAGTGATCCACCCACCTTGGCCTCTCAAAGTGCTGGGATTACAGGTGTGAGCCACCGTGCCTGGCAAACCTTCCTATCCTCTTATTCCTCACCAGGGTCACCTCCCTGTTTCCCTGTCAGGCTGTGGCCACCTATTGTGCCTGAAGTAGCTAAACTCATGGACCTATGGGACAGTACGTGTGGTGAGGAGGTGGGTGAACAGGACCTGGGATCTGACCACACCCCTACCATTAACTGGCCACGTGACCAAGAACAAATCACATTCTCTTCTAGGCCTCAGTTTCCCCTCCTCTCAAACCAAAAACCTGAACAAGTCTGTCTCTAAGGACCCCTTCTGTTTAACTCCCTGTCAGGAGGTTGATTTCTTTACCAGCCAGAATAATTCTTTCTAATTAAAGGAAACAAACAGAGAGAACGATGTGTCTTTCTCTGCTGCTCCTGAAAGCCAGGATGGCCTCTAACTCTCAGAATATAAGTCAGATCCCCTTTTGATTACTGAAGGAATGTCTCCATTTGGTGGCAATCTTCATGCCCATATAACCCAGGGATTTAAAGCACACTTGCATATCTGTTCTTTTTTTTTTTTTTTTTTTTTTTTGGATGTTAACAATTGGGTAAGCTAGGCCTTTATCATTCTCATTTTGCAGAGTGAGGCTCAGGGAGGTGAGGATTATCCAAAGTCCCCCAGCAAGCAAGAGGGAGAAGAGGAACTGGCTCCCAGGATATTATACCACAGCTGGCCCAGGTCGTTGGCCTAGGAGCTGGCCTCACCCAACAGGCAGGCAAGATACTTTAATAAAACAATAGCACACATCTCCCTGTATTTTTATACAAGCTTTCTTCATGCATGCAGAAACACTCTGACGCATGGGTACCCAAAGCTTCACAGTGAGCTGGTGGGATGCCTAATTCCTAGAAGCCAGGCTCCACCCAGACCCAACATTCCAGAGAACAGGCAATACTGAGAACCATGCTTTGTCCAGGCAGAGAATCCTTGGTTTTGAACACTCCAGCCCCTGCTGCTATCCCAGGCCTCCAAGCCCTTGAATCGAATCCAGGCCAGCAGAAGCTCTGCTGCACAAGACAGGGCAATGCCTTGTTCCTCTTGGACCCCCAGGCCCTGCTGGCTGCAGGGCTCCTTCTCTGAGACTCCCAAGGGAGGGCTGACTGCATGTGATCTGACCGCCACACAGGGAGGGAGAGAAGATGAGGGCCTAGGGCCCTAGAAGAGAAGGAAGTAGGGTTGCAATTCTAGGCCCTTCTTCCAACCTGGCTCTCCCTCTTATTGCTCATGGTCTTGTACTGTTACTTTAAGAACATATTGATCCTGCCTTCCATATTTTACTGGGAACTCCTTAACAGAGTCTCCACAGTAGGTCCTCCACATGCACCTGTGCAGTGCACAGCCTGCACAACCATTCACAACCTATGGCTTCTGGCCATCCCCTGCATAGTATGTATCACCACTGTAATTAAAAAACTAATTGCATAATTACTTATTCTGCCTTCACAGAATATAAATCCTCAGGGGAGCACCAGGCCCTGTTTGTCTTGTTCCCAAGCTGTAGCCCAGCCTCCAGCACGGTGTTAACAGAGAATAGGTGCTCAGTAAATACATGCTGGGCTAATGAACCCAACCAACCATTCGTTCATGCATTCAGTTTGAAAGAGAGTGAACCTGCCCTGCAACTGAAGGTGACAGGCCTCTGTTGTGGCCCCAGCTCTACCAATGTGTGTCCCTGAGCAAGGCATTTCCCTTTCTAGGTCTGTTCCCTCATCTATAAAATAGTGTGGGGTTTACTCTCCATGCCACATTTGCACGACCCCGAGGAAAAGCACCTCCTTAAATTTTGCACCCCGGGCACCTTGCTCACCTCACCCATCATGACCTGACCCTGGTTTTCTACATTTTCCTGGTTTTGTCCAGACCTGGGCTTATGGGAGATGCTCGGTGAAGTCAGGAGAAGGGGGCTTCCAGGCAGCATTCAGGGGATGCCAAGGTTGGGAGAGGAGTTTTTACTCCTGGGCTGTATCTCTGGGAGAGAAAAATAACAGACAGCAGTACTTCCCCAGGAGAGCAGTGTCTTCAAAGGCCTTCTTCATCAGCCTTGTTTAACCTCCAGCCTATGGAGAAGGAAGGAGGGAAGGGTTGGCTCAAGATCCAAGTTACCAAGTGTCAGGGCCAGGGGCAAACCCCAGGCACCCTGTGTTCAGATCCAGACCCTTCAGCATGCGGACACAGCCTGGCTCCCATGAGTGCGGGGCACAACCAGTTTCAGCCGGCAGAGGCACACACAGTAGCAGAGGAAGGAGATGTTCCTTGCAGGAGATGGGACGGGAGCCTTGAGAAACAGGAGGGCTTATGGAGAAGGATGGGGTGGCATTCCTGGCAGAAGAGATGATGTCTGCACAGTGTGCCTGCAGGAGACCATGTTCAAGGGTCTATGACCACTTTCTTACTTGCAGAGTGGTCTGGCCAACGGGGACCCATGAGGGTGAGGCACAAGGCAAAGCTCAGATGGAGATAAAACAGAAGAGCACGACTACAGAGTCCTCTGCCTCCAGGGCACTCCAAGGACCTCTTCCCCATCATGGCCTCAGCCTCCCTGTTGTACTGCATACTTTAGTTTTGTAAGGCTTCTGTAACAAATTATCACCAATTTAAGCCAAACTTAATGGCTTAAAACAACACAAACTTATTATCTGAGAGGTCTGGAGGTCACACATCCAAAATGGGTCTCACTGGGCTAAAATCCAGGTGTTAACAGGGCTGCATTGCTTTCTGGAGGCTCCAGGGAAGAATCTGTTTCCTCCTTTTCCAGCTTCTAGAAGCTGTACTCCTTCTTTGGCTCATGGCCTCCTCAAAGACATCAATGGCCAGGTCAAGTCTTTCTCACACTGCAACCTCCTGGCACTGACTCTTCTGCCTCTGTTTACCACACTTAAAGGCCCTTGAGATTCCACTGGGACCTTGTGGGTAATCCAGGACAATCACCCTACTCTAAAGCCAGCTGATTGGCAATCTTAATTCCATCTGCTACCTTCCCTCCCCTTTGCCCTGGAACCCACCATACTCATAGACTTCGAGAATTAGGATGCACACACCTTTGAGTGGGGCATTATTCTGCCTTTCACACTGTGTGAGGCACATCTCCTCCAAATGGGGTTTTGGAAGGAAGGTGGCCCAGGATGAGAGAGATGGGGTGGATGGTGTGGGCAGGAGAGGGAGGCAGGCAGACACACACTCACCCTCCTGGCTGCCTGCTTAGCACACATCACCATTGAAAACTTTGTCATGTTTCCATGCTGAACCGGGCACAAGCTGTTTCCACAGTGACTGCAAGAGCAGAAGCAGAGCCAGAAATAACCCCACTGACATGGAAAGCCTCCCCTTCCCTTGGTACTTTGCTCTCTCCTTCTCCACTCTCCCCATCATAGTATGGGAGGTTCCAGTGGGTTCTAAGTTGGAGGCCCTTCCAGGGCACGCTGAGGCCTTGGGGAACACTCCTCCTGCAGCCTGGCTCCAGCAGGGGGAACATAGGGATCTGACTGTGGGGCTGGGCCTGGTCACCTCATTTCCACACCACTGTAGTGAGCTTGGAGTCTCCTCTCCTCAGCCTCACTGCCTCTGAGCCACAAGTCCCTACAAAGTCCCAATCGCTCCTTCTTGGATCTCTTGCCACCAAACACTGGGATCCGCAGAACACTCTTGGTCTCTTGGGCCAGAAGCCCATGGGATGTTCTGATCTGGCCCCCTCCTTGGGCCTCTGGGAGGCCCCTGACTGGTGAGGCCCTGCCTGGTGGGCCTGGGACCCACTCTCACAAGCCCTGCCAGCCCCCAGCCCAGTCCTTGCTACTGGTGAGCCTTGCCAGCCTGCTCAGTCTCCCTGCACCAGGAGCCCTATCTGGGAAGCTGGGCTCAAACCCTACCTTCTCCAAAAGCCCCTCTTTCTACAGGTTTTTTCCTTAGAACAAGATCTCACCCACTGCAGGGGCTGAAACATTTGCTGAAATATATAGACCAACGAATGCCCGGGCCTCACCATCCATACCACTCCCTCATATGGCATTGTGTCTCTATGGCCCTGGGAAATGTCCTCCACGACTGTTTAATTTCTCATGTCTTTCATCCTAGTCCGACAAAGGAAAATGGAGTTAATGCACCTCCTACCTGCTGGGCACTGAGCAAAGTATTAAACGAGCATGCATCGGCACATTTCATCCCTCACCTCCACTCAACCATCATCACCACCATCTTACAGAGACGCAACTGACTTGCCCAAGGTCACATAGCCAGAAGGTGGCAGGGCCCAGACTGGACCTCTGTGTGCCAGACTCCAAAGCCTGAGGCTGCAGCCACCATGTCCCACTAGGGGGGCCAGGGGAGGAGACACAGAGATGATCAATAGCAAATGCTAAACGAAATGTGTCCAATTTGCCTCCTAGAAAGCCCTGAGCAGCTCAAGGTGTCTCCAATTTTTGTCTCTTTGTATGTATTGGGATTTGGCCTAAGATTTTATTTGGGTTTTCAAAAAGTTGGGAGGATATGGAGGGGGGTTACATGAATTTAAAAGTTCGGAGGACATGGACTGTAGGCCAACCCCATCCTTGTACCAATGGCAAGACCAAGGCATGGAAGTGGAAGTGACTTGCCCAAAGTCATGGCCTCTGCCACTGAAGCCAGTGAACTCCACTTGTTTCTCCCACCCATTCCTTGATGGAGAGGACATCGTATGCTCCACTTAGCCCTTGGCACTGCTTGGCACAGAATTTAGAGTCCAATGTGGTATGGGTCCTGGATCCTGCTTTAACAGTGCTGCATAGTTGATGGCTTGGTAGCTCAAGTGCTCAGAGCCTCTGCGTCCTTGTCTGCACAGCAGAGCCTGTGTGGATTTATTCGAGAAGGCATAGACCTGCTTTGGATCATATAATATTAGGATCACGGGTAACAGAGCTGGGCCCTGAGCCACTTCTACGGGAAGATGGAAAGAGCTCTATATTTAGACTCAAAAGCCTCAAGTAGAGTCCCAGTTCTGATGCTCATCACTTTGTGGCCGGAGCCTCCCACTTGACTTCATTGAGTCTTACTCTGGGAGACAAAAATGTCTCCCATAAGGGGTTGGTATGAATTGAAATGAGGTAACACATGTGGAAACACTGGAGGCATAAGAATCCTCTGGGTTGCAGAATCCCAGGCTCCACCTTCTCCCACTGTCTGATTCTACAGCTGCGGGGCAGGGCCCAGGAATCTGTATTTCCCCAATCCCCTCATTCCCCACCATGATTCTGTTGCAGTTAGTCAACAGGCCACACTGCAAGAAATCCCTCTAAAAAGGGCTCAATATGTGTTTGTTAAATACACGAATCCTTGAACATCTGTTGAGCTGCATATGGCTGCTAGGAGACATGGGCCGAAGGAAATAAGTAATTTTCCCCAAATACATTTCCTATGAAATCTAAATGATGGGAATTGGGTTGGGGCTTCGAAGACTAGGAGATGATGCAATAATAGCTTCCTTCTCCAAAGAGCTCCTCCCCTTAGATGGGGAGAGACCTGGCTGGAGGGTCATGCCCAGTGGCTCAGGATCAAATGCGGGGAGGGGTGCTCTGGAGACGGAGTCCCCTGGGGATGAGTTCCAGACCCTGTTCTCTTCAGCATCTTCATGAAGACAGGAAAGAAATAACTGAAAATATGCTCATTAAATCTGCATCTGGCACCCAATTTGGCAGGGTTGCCAAAATTCTGTAAGACTAGAATTAAATTAGCAAATTGCAAGTAAAATGATTTTAAGCAGGCATGATGGAATTCATCAGGGCCAGGTGGAAGCTCATGGGGGAAGGGAGTCAGGAAAGCCCACATCCCCGGGGGTGGGAAAGCCTGGCCGGGAACGGAAACGGAAAAGAAACAAACCGGCAAGCAGAAATGACCCAAATCCTTAAGATTCACCCTTGGAATGTGGTGGTGACAGAGGCAGCCCCACACTGCAAGGTGGCTAGAGGCTCCTTCTGGGAGCCAGGAGGTGTGGCTGGGCAGCACCCGGTTAAGGATGGCAGCTCTTCAAAAGAGGGTCAAGAAGAAAGGACCCGAGGGACTGCTGGGGAATGGGAGGGGTGGGTCCTTTAGACTGGCGGCCCCACAAGGGCAGACACGTGGGCGGTGACAGAGCAGTGGCATGTGTTGACACTGCTGAAGCACCATTGCGTGCTTACTGATCTCACAGTCAGGGAAAAACACTGGCATGGGCATGGCGGGGGCAGGGGAGGTACAGACTCTGAGGAAGGAAGAAGAGGCTAGAAGCATTTCCTGGGCGCTTGCTAAGTGTCAGGCACTGTGTTAAATATTTGTCAAGTATTATAATCTCATCTAATCATCACAATAATCCTGTAATGTAAAGAGTCTTCTTTTCTCTTTATTTTCTTGGGTTTTCTTTTTTGTTTTCTGGGTTTTTTTTTTTTTTTAATGAAGAGATATTTAAAGTAAGAAGTAGACAAGTCCTGCTTCATCCTCTCAAAGCCTATTTCCCAGATGAAACCACCAAGCATAGTTCACTGGGCTTGTTCCCAGGCTGTTTCTCTGAGCGCAGAAACATTTCTACATGTGCATACACAGACTTAACTGTTTAACTTTTCCTGTATAAAAATGAGATTGTCCTAAACATATTACACAGAAACCTTTTTCCAGTTAAGAATACATTCTGAATATCCTCCCACGTTAAGACCTGAAGGATCATTTCTTTCTTTTGAAATGGCCACAAAGTATTCTCTGGCACAAATGCACCATAAATTTTTTAAGCATTGTCTCTGCTGGACACTGAGGTCATTTCCAATTTCTCTCTATTTCAAACAATGCTACAAGGGAGTACCTTTGTACACATATATTTTTGAGTACATATTTTTCTATAGCCAGGGAATTGCTGGACCAAAGTGGGTACAGTCAGCTCTATCTGTGGGTTCCACATCCATGGATTCAACCAATCGAGGATCAAAAATAGTTGGAACAAAAATTCCAGCTGGGCGCAGTAGCTCATACCTGTAATCCCAGCACTTTGGGAGGCCAAGGCAGGCAGATCTCTTGAGTTTAGGAGTTCGAGACCAGCCTGGCCAACACGGTGAAGCCCCGTCTCTACTAAAAATACAAGAAATTAGCTGGGCATGGTGGCACACGCTTGTAATCCCAGCTACTTGGGAGGCTGAGGCAGGAGAATCGCTTGAACTTGGGAGGTGGAAGTTGCAGTGACCCGAGATAGCACCATTGCACTCCGGCCTGGGCAACAAGAGCGAAACTCCATCTCAAAAAAAAAAAAAAAAAAAAAATCCACAAAGTTCCAAAAAGCCAAACTTGAATTTGTTGTGTGCCAAGGACTATGTGATCCACATAAATGAAGTGATATGTAGGCAATGTATTAGGTATCGTAAATAATCTAGAGATGACTTACATATACAGGAGGATGTGTGTAGGTTATGTGCAAACACTACACCATTTTATATAAAGGACTTGAGTAGCTGTGGATTTTGGAACCCTCAGGGCATCCTGGAACCAATTCCCCATGGATACCAAGGGATGACTGAATATGCATTTATAATTTTCATTGATACCAATTTAGATTCTCAAGACCCTTTGGCCCTTGCCAGTACTAGATCTTCTCTATTTTTTAAAAATTTTTTTACATTTTGCCACCTCTAGGCAGTAACAATCTCATTTTTAATTTACAATCTTTGGTTTTTTAGTGGCTAGAGCATTAGTCATATATTTATGGGCCATTTTTATATCTGTGTACTATCTGTTTATCTTTTGCACATTTTTAAAAACTTGGCTATGTTTTTAGTTAGTTGATAGAACAATAATTTTCTAACTAATAGTTCTTTAAATAATAACTAATACATAGCTTTCTATGCACCTGGCACTCTTCTGGGTTCCTGACAAACTTCACAGCATTGACTCAAAGCCCCGAGAGGTGGTCACAGCAGTCCATGTTTATAGCCAAGGAAAGGGAGGCTCAGAGATGTCAAGTAACTTGTTTGAGGTAACACAGGTCAGATAAGAACACGCCAGAGTCTGAAGGACTAGCTAAGCCAACCACTTCATCACGAGTTAGTTCTTTCTGAAGCCTTCCCATATGTCCCTTGCCATCTAATCCACAGAGAAAGAAAATTCCCCCTTAAAATTTCCCTCTCTGTTATTTATCCTTTGCTTCATTTGCAAAGCCTTTAAAAGAGTATTATTCTCATATGCCAGGTAAGAAACTGAAGTCCAGTTTCCAACGAGAGGCAATCATAGCATGGAATTGGCCCCTAACCCTGATATGCCTGGGGACGTGCCTGGAGGAGTGAGGAGAAGGATTTGGCATGGGGCAGGATTTACACATGGGGCCGAGGATCAGGGAAAGTGGAGGCTGAGGCAGGGCCCAGGATGGCAAGAGTTTTAAAGAGCAGGCCAGGCAGTCTACAGGACTCACCCTACGAGCAACGTGGAGGGGTGAAAAGCTGGGACAAGGAGTCAGGTGAAGATCGGCCTAGTGAGAAATCATCATCAAATCAGAGGGTGTCCCCACCTCACCGGCCATTTCCACTGACCAGGCACACTGACCAATAAAGAAGCCTGCCCTGCGGGGTAACAAACACACCTGTGTATATGCAGGTGCTGGCAACTCTATGTGTGAAAGCTATACATGACAAAAGGGTTTTTGGTCTTTAGTGGCATTTTAAAATAAGGTTCTTTTTTAGCTCCTAAACACCAATGTCACATGTGGGTTTCTGGGTTACAAACCCACCATTGATTTGTCACATGAGCTTGGTTACCCTCGTCTCAATGAGCACACACAATACTTCTGCCTCCCATGAGCACCGCACGTAGGGAAGGGAAAAGGATCATTTGCATGCCATTTTTCTTCTGAGGATAAAAGAAATTAAGCTAACAAAGTGGGAAAAAATGTGAGAAACTGACATGCTGAAACTAACATGCAGAAATAAGTTTTAAGTCACTGTTTATTCACTTTAATTTTTTTAGCTTTGACCTCAGATAACCTTAGCATTTCCCCAAATGTTTTTCTGTGGAACTCTTCTCCAGCTATTCTGTATGTGTCTAAATGTGTGTGCGTGTGTGTGTGTGTGTATGTACATAACATATATATATAACATATATATATATTTGTTCTCTGATCAATTAATCTTAAAAAGCTGCACACAGTACCCACCTCTACACACACACTCACATTCACAACCCTCACACACACATACTATTTTGCAGATACCCAATGCACTTCTGCATATTAAAGACTGAGAACTCCTGCAGGATAAGGGTCTTTAAAGTTTCCCAAATGTACTTGGCCATTGGACTTTCATTTTCTCCCTGTAACACATCTTTACACCCCATGGCACTTGTGGTCTACAAACACACCATGGGAAAAGCTGGACTTCTTTATTTCATAAGATCAGAGCTTGCTTAAAATAAAGAGCCCAGATATCCTACCCTTTTAAAAAACAGATGGGTTCTAATCAACCCATGATGATGATGGTTTCCTGCCCACCTGGGCATCTGGTGCCTCTCCTAGATTTCAGGGCGACACCAAATGTTCGCATGCCAAGGCAAGAAACCGTTAGGAGGCCAGGTGTCCTGCACAGGCTAAGCTGTGTGGCTCAGCAGTTGAAGGGTGGGTCTGGATCAATCCCTTGCTCAGTGGCTTTCAGCCCAAGGGTCCCCAGAGACTCACCTAAGCCAACTCACTTGTTCTGTGAATGGAGAATGAGGCACTAAGCCTCAAAATCCCCTGGCCCCTGTTCTCTTTCATCCACTCCATGAGACACCTCTCCCTGGGCCTAAATATTTTCTACTGCAAAAAAAAAAAAAAAAAAAAAAAAAAAAACCAGATTACCTTTAAAGGCCTTTCCAGCCCTCTGACTCTTCTGACTCTGTTCTCCTTGCACCTACTCCTTCCCAGCTATCGTCACTGCAATTCATTATATAGATATATAGTCACTTGATATAGCTCTACAAGTAAAACTATGTTTCTGTCTGTTATAGCATCAAGTGAAATTGAGTTGGTGAACTTTCACTGAATACAAAGGGCATACTTGGCCTAGGTTAAAATGTAAGTTATACGGTATACATGAAATTCACGTGGGGGCAGTCCCTGGGGAAGGAATCTCCAATAGAAAATTCCTCTGCCAGTGTTGTTACAGGCACTGGTTTATAATTTTGCTCCTTCTCACACAGGCAACTCAGGATAGTTGCTTAGGATGACCAGTAACAGAGATTTAATTACTTAATGACTCTTTATGGCTTTCCTAAGCAACCCTTAGGAGGACAGCTAGTGGAAGTGTATATGGATTCATTCATTTATTTTTAAATAAAATGTTCATTTTTGGAATAGTTTTAGATTGACAGAAAAGTTGCAAAGATAGAACAGAGACCCCATATAGCTTCTACTCAGTTTCCTTCCATGTGAACATCTTACATAACAAGGTATATTTGTCAGAACTAAGACATTAACATTGGTACATTACTAGTAACTATTTCACCAGTTTTTCCACTAATGTCCTTTTTCTGTTCCAGAATCCATTCCAGTATACAACATGGTATTAAGTTGTCATGCCTCCTTCATCTGTGGATTTATTATTGTTTTCAAGAAATAGACACCATTCTCTACTGCACGCAGGGAGGTATGCTGGGTACTACAGTGGATCCCAGCTGCCCTGCAGGGAGAAACACAGTGTCCAGTGGAGAGCAAGTCTGGGTTTGAGTGTCCATTCTGCCCCTCATTTCTGACACAGTCCTGGGCTTGTCACCCCACATCTATAGTTCTCAGGTTCCTCAACTGCGGTCTGGAGATAATACCTTCTAGCTTGTGAGAGAGCTGAATGAGACAGTCTACATGGAAAGACATTTTGAAGGCTTAAAGCCCTGTCCCATGCAGCTATTATTATTATTAAAGTTGCTGTAACGATTATCATTAAGCATATTTGATACACTGTTTCCAAAGCAGGACAGCCCAGAGTCTGAGCTGTCTGACCGAGCCGACCCTTCCAGCTTCAAATGAGATGTTTCCATAGACCTCCACGTGCCCCATAGAGAAAGGAAATTTTCCTTAGTCTGTTCAGTTCTACACTTCCTTTATGGCTCCATTCATGGGTCACCATATCAGTGATACCTTCTCTGACCATCCTACAGCAAAGAGCCTCTGAGGCCGCGCGCGGTGGCTCATGCCCATAATCCCAGCACTTTGGGAGGCCGAGGTGGGCAGATTACTTGAGGTCAGAAGTTCAAGACCAGCCTGGCCAACATGGGGAAACCCTGTCTCTACTAAACGTACAAAAATTAGCCAGGTGTGGTGGCGGGCACCTGTAATCCCAGCTACTTGGGACGCTGAGGTGACAGAATTGCTTGAACCCAGGAGGCGAAGGTTGTAGTGAGAAGAGATTGTGCCATTGCACTCCAGCCTGAGTGACAGAGTGACACTCCATCTCAAAAAAAAAAAAAAAAAAAAAAAAAGAGAGGGAGAGAGAGAGAAAAGAGCCCCTGAATCCCTCCCCACGGCATTCTCTAACTTCCCACCCTGCTTCATGCTTCTCCATGGCACTGAACCCATCTGACACATTCCCTATTGCCGTGTTCCTTTGTTCACGATTGGCCTCCCTCCACTAGTTTATGAGCTCCCTGAGAGCCCCAGTTGTGGTCTGTTTTGGTCAGTGCTGTACCCCAGTGCCTAGAGCAGCCCTGACATATAGTGAGGGCTCAACAGATGTCTGCTAAATGAATGACTATATGCTTGGTTTTACTCTGTAATCTCTTGCTTCCACCCTGGTAACTTGAAAACAACTCTTTACACCCAAACATACTGTTGAATTCAAATCAGAGCAAAGCTATTTGGTAAGCAGGTGGCTCAGAGCCCTTTGGGTCTTCTTTAAGAAAAAAAATAGGGTAATGCCTTTCTTTTAATTTAATTCAATGTCATGAACGTTTCTTTGCCTGCCTCCTCTCCCATGAGTGGCTCTGCCAATTAGAAACCACAGTCTCTTCCTTGTCCAGAGCCTGTCTGCTGGCCTCCTCACATAATCAATTCCAACAGAGTCCAGGCTAGAAAAAGCTGGTAAAATCCCCACAGCCCCACACGCAGCCAGTTCACTTCCTTACTGTATTCACTCAGCACTTGCACATCAAAGGCCCATGGACTTCTCAGAGCAGGAAGAAACCCAGGGGATCCCTCAGGCCAGCCTGCAGCTGAGGACATTGTGGTTCAGACAGGGGAGGGAACTGGCAAATGACACACAGTAGTTAGTGGCAGTTCCAGGAACAGAACCCAGGACTCCCAGCTCCATACCCTGGCCCCAATTCCTTTGTGGGCTGGAACCATCTCCCCATGCCCGCCTTTCACCAAGGAACACGTACGTGCTTATTACCTGGAGCTCTAATCTGATTGTCTGCCCACCCCTGACCATTCCTGGGTATTTGAACTTGGGCACTGATGGGCTGAGATGACTCTCCAAAGCAGCAATGCACCAGGCAGCAGAGTTAAGAGCCAGACAGAAAGGAAACGGGGGTTGCATTTGTTCAGAGCCAGGTACTTTACATGCTCATCTCAACTAACACTCACAGTGCCCTGAAATGAAGGCATTATAACTACATTTTATAAATGAAGAAAATGAAACACAGAGAACTTAAAAATGCAGCAAATTACACAGTGAGAAAAGGGCAGGACCAGCATCAGAGTCAAGTTCCTCCTGGTAAGGAAGCCCTTGTTCTCCTGCCCGACCACTCCATCAGAGGCCCAAAGGCCTAGACAGCACTCCAGAGCCTGTTGGGCTGGGTCCCTAAAAACAACAAAATATTCCTCTGGGGAAGTAACCAGAATGATCCCATTCTAGAGATGAGGAAACTGAGATCTGGAGAGGAAATACAACTTGCACATGGCCACGTGGCTTGTGGGTGGTAGATTTGCTCAACTCTGAGCTTCTTGGGGATGCAGACTCTCTCCTAGTGCTTAGCCCAGAGCTGAGCCCCCAGAAGGACCAATCCACTGTTGAATAAATGAATAAATGACAGCGTAAGGTGAGAAGCACAACCTCCCGACACTCCCACAAGCCGGGTGTTTACACCCCAATTGACCCACACGGTGGCCTCAGGAGCAAGAGACCAGGCTGATGCAGGTGAGCACAAGCCTAAACTCACACTGATATCCAAAGCTCACATCCTCGTCTCTGAGCCCATCGATGTCAGAGGCATGGGAAGTGATGCTGGCCCTGGTCCCCATTCAGCCCTCAGCTCTCCATGGAGCAATGGTTATGCAATGAAGAGGTTTAGGAAGATGGCGGAGCTGGTAATTCTTTCACCCAAAGACTGATGTTTATGGCATGGAATGTACCTTCCTCCCAAAGGCTGGTGTTTGGGGCAAATTGGTCTATTTTGTTGCCCCCTTTGGGAGCAGCTGATTCATTCACAAATACTGCAGTTTTTATTATTCTCAGTAATTTTTCATCCTAACAACTGAAACTAGTTGTTGTTTATGGTTCACCTACTAAGTGCCAGGCACAGGTATCTAATGAGACATCTGTCACCCTGTAGGTAAGTGTGAGCATTCCCACATCACAGATCAGGAAGCTGAGGTTTAGGAGAGGCAAAGCAAATAGGAAAGGCACAGGGCTAGAAAGCAGGAGATATAAACTCCGGTCTGTGGGACGCCATCGCTCATGCTCCTACCATGTGGCCTTTGCAGGTCCGGGACAAGGGGGTCGGAGCCACAGCCAAGGACAGATGGAAATGGGAGGCAGATGGAAGGCCTGCCTGACTTCCTGGGCCTCCTGCTGGCTGGGCTTCTCATCCCAGGCAGAACATCTAGCACCAGGGCACTTCTCCACATGCCCACATGCTGTCCCCAGACTCTCTGATCAGACAATCAGGGTGGAACTTGGAGCTCTTCTGTTCAAAGCCCTCAGGTGACAGCACCTGGCACCCCTGGTTAAGAACCACTGCTGTCAATTCTCAGACCATTTTCTCACAACTACACCCTCTTCTGGAAGGTTCGAAAATGTTTCTTAAGAAATCTGTTAATTGGTTTACAAAGAATATCACAACTCAAAACCGCTGAGACCTTCCAATTCTAAGATTCTCAACCAAGCAACAATAACTCATCCACAAATGCATGTGAAGGTTTGTCTTTGTTAATGGCAATTATTCCCAAACAGCGTGATGTTTATAAAAAGGACTTTGGAGCCCAAAGTCCTGGGTTTGAGTCCTAGCTCAAACCAGTTATTTGACCACAGGCAACTCAACTCAACCTAATAGTTATTAAAAGCCCACTATGGACCCAGAGTCCTGGGCTGGGAAGACTAGGGACACAGAAGCAGACAAAAAAAAGTCATGATCCCTCTTAGCTCCGAGTTCCTCATCTGTAAAACAGGAACCAGCAGTTACCAAGTGCCTGCTACACCCCCGGGCCTTGAAAGTGCATGTTCTCACTTCACCCCCCCCATGAGCCTCGGGAGGCAGGTTCTCCTGTGATCCTGCTCTGCAGCGGAGGAAGCAGGGGCTCAAGGGGGTGAAGTGGCCTGGGTGAGCCTGCGGCAGTGTGTGGCAGTGTCTGCACTCTTTCCATCCCATCCCCCGCTTGGCAGATTAGTCCACAGAGTGAACAGGATAATAAGGGAGAGTGCTCTGCAGCCGATCAGGAACCGCACAGATGTATGACATCATGGTTATTAATAATGGAAGCAGCACAACTAATTCACAATCCTTCCAGATGGACCACCTGAATTGTCTCCTAAAAACCTCCTGCAAACAGAGCATCGAATTCTATAACGGTAGAGCTAAGAGGGTCCTTAGAAGTCTGACCTTTTCCTCATTTACAGGGGTTGGGGATGGACAGATCTAGAGGGCAGCCCCGCCCCACAAAGCCCAGGATGCACTGTTGGGCTTTAGTGATTGAACCAGGAAGATAAGTAGGTCTCAGATCAAACACCAGCAGTTACCCCCTCCAAAGGGTGCTGGCAAGAATATCAGCAGCGAACTGCAAGTATGGCCTCTTCCTGGTCCCTAGCCCAGCTCCTTTCTGCTACAGGGCCTTTGTACCTGCTGTTCTTCTATGGCAAATATTCTTTCCCCAAAGCTTTGCAAGGCTGTCACTTCTTTATTACTCAGATCTCAAGATAAATGTCAGCTCCTCAGAGAACTCTCTGGGCCCCCACGTGTAGCTTCTCCCATTCCTCCCTGGCATTCTCCATCACACAGCTTTGTTTGAGTTTCTTCAGAGTGTATATGACGACTTAGCTTTATCTGATCCATTAATATTCATTATTTCTCTTCCCACTGGAATGCAAACTCCCTGAAAGAAGGGATTAAACAGTTTTCACTGCTGTAGTCCCTAGAATGGTGCCCAGGGCCCAGCAGGCACTCAGCAAACATGTTCATCAAGTCCCCCTGGATGTTGGCCTGGGTCATGGCCATCCTAGCATCTGGCAGACACTCATTCAATAAATGCTATTGACCCTCTCCTCTATGCCAGGCTCTCTGCTAGATGCTGCGGTCCTTGCCCTCACAGTGCTTTGACATTGATTAAAGCAAACAGCACAGGAGACGCCAGAGCTGTGGCTGTCCCATCACATGCAACCAAGCAATAGTCGGCCAATATCCACAAATATGGCAGAAAATGGAAGAAACTGGGAGACATGGAGGAAATGCGGCGTTGGGTTGGCCCTGCAAAGCACTCCCACATGCTCAGTACTCATCTTGGGGAGCTAGTGCCAGGCACCCCCTCACCAGCTCTGGGGACACGGGGACAAGGGGACATCCCCATTGCCACAACTACCTCATAGCTGCAGCCTAGAACACAATGGGATGAATGTGTGTGTGTGAGAGTGTGCGTAGGAGCAGATGTGTGAGTATGAACAAGTATACAGGATCGCATAAGTGAGAGTGCATGGGAGTGGGTGTGTGTAGAGGAGCAGGGTTGTGTGTGCGAATGAGTGAACAGGATGGCATGTGTGAGTGAGTTGGAGTGGGCTGTGGGTGTGTGCACGTGTAGGAACAAACTTGTGTGTACAAGTGGGTGTTTGAGTGTGTAAGAGTGCACACACGTGTGTATGTGTGCATGTGTGAGAGATGACTGTGGTACCATTACCAAGCTCTTCACCACAGGCTCCACATGTGGTTGAACTTTACATGCTAAAGTCTTCAAAATGAAAGGCACAGAGTTGGTAACTGGTCATCACTTAATTCATTCAACAATAAATCATTTGACTCTTTATGTTTTTTAAACACATTCTGCAAAGTGTCCATACAAAGCAGCAAGACTGGTTCTAGAGGAAAATTCTCAACTTCTGGATGTCATTCAGTGAGGTGAGAGCACTGGATGGGGAGTCATGTTGCGGTCCGTGCTTTACCACTAACTACTGGGTGATCTTGGGCCACTGTTTAGCTGTGTGACCTCAGATGAGCCTCTTAACTGTTCTGGGCTTCTGCTTACTCTCCATTAAAACAGACCAATTAGAATTTAGCTCTCAAAGTTTGGTTGCAACTGTACAACACTACATCATCTCTATGGGTAGCCCCTGAAGCACTGTTTCCTTGGAGAGCAAGCCTACTAACTTGAAAAGGGCCCGCAACTAGAAAAAAAATGCTGGGTTGGACAAAGTTAAAGAGTCTTTTATTGCAGGACTTCTCAGAGCCTTTCATTTGCCAGTATGGATTGTAATTGGCCAAAAGGGTAATAGAGAGCTTGCACAATTTGCCATTCTTACTCTAACAGGGAAACCTTTACTGGTGGAACAGCTTTCAGAACTAACAATCCACTGAACACACTGGGAAAATCTGCTACTAGGCACACAGGACACTTATTAATGACCCCTTTTTTGCAGATGATGGAACAGAAAGGGTGTTCTAAGTCACAGAGCAGAGCCATGACAACTACCAGCCCAGAAATCATCCAAACCACAGTTACTGGCACGTGCACAAGGCTTTACATCTACAAAACATTTTTTACTTACGTGATCTCAATCTTTCTTAAAAACATACCTCTGGGGACACTCATTCCATTTTTGATAAAACATAGCCTGAAAGAGACGAACGAGTCTGCCCAGAGTCACTAAGGGATAGACCCATAATTTGGCTCTATCAGTTTCCCCTATGTCCTTGATGAAACATCAATCAATACATTATATTTTTATAGATAAACAACTGTGGCCACTATGCAGAGATCCCTGCAAGATGCCAAGGCTGATGCTATCTGCACCTGTTTTGCAGCCACCACCACTTCTGTCTGAAGCCCAAGCACCCTGCTCTGATTAAGGGGGGTTGGGGAGGGTGCTCTCAGAAATGCCCCTGGAGTAGAAGCCGCTCTGGAAACATCCAGGCTGTGAAGTGGGAGTAGATCTCTCCCAGTCGCCACACCCTCCTGACCATGCCAGGTACAACCCGCTAGGATGTACCCCCAGTGCCAGCTGTCATTATGCCGGGAGGAGGGGCTCCTCGGAGGATCCAGAGCAATGCTAGTTTAACTCACTCCCAATGAGCCCCGAGGAGCCCCAGGCTGGTGGGCTCTGACAGACTGAAACTGCATGGCCTTGGGGGAAGCTAGGGCTGCCAAACCCATTCAGCAGCTCCCGCCGGGTGTGCCGTGTCCCACGGTATGCGTGGGTGCGAGGGGTGAGCGCCGCGCCGGGGTGAGAGTCTGCGCTGGACACAGGAGGCTGTGCACGCCAACGGCCGTGCCAGGCGCGAGTGTGCCAGAGAAGTGTGTGAACGCGGGAACGCTTGTGTCGCCCTAGGGTGGTGACAGAAGTAGTGTCTGGAAAACGCTGGCTGAGAGCGCGTGCATCAGGCCACCGCAGGCTGCGAAGAAGCCGGGGCCCCTCACTCCAAGGGTCCCGGGAGTTGGCACCGACGCACTACTGCAAGCGCGCCCGCGCCCAGCCCTCTCCCACCGACGCGGCTCCCTCCGGTCCCTCTGCCGCCCGCTCGGCGGTGCCCGGTCCCTGGGCTGCCAGGCCGCGGCGGGGGCGCGGCGCGCGGGGCGCTCGTTGCTTACCTGCGGGCGGCCGAGGCTCCGCTGCTCTGGGCTGGGCTGCGCCGCGCTGGACTGGGCTGCGCTGGGCTGCGCGCCCGGCCTCCGCGCGGCTCGGCAGCGCCCGCGCGCTCGGCTCCGCCCGGCTCGGCTCCGCCCGGCGGTGCCCCAGGCGCTCGCTGGCGGCCCACGCGGCGCGGGGTGGGCGCGGGGCGGGCTGGCGGGCGGGCGCCGGCGGCGGGCGCGGCTCCGGGCCGCCCCGCGGCCGCTTGGAAGCTCCTTATTTGGGCAGTGATGTCAGGGGAAGTCGCAGGGGCCGGACCACCCACTTCTTTCCATTCACTCCCCAGAGTTTCCTGTCGCCGAGCACGGGGACCCCGCCGCCGGCCCGGGGCGCCTCTCCCGTCCGCTCGGCCTCACTGCTGGCCACCCCGGGATGCCTTCGCGGCCGGGGTCGCAGATGGGCCCGGGCGCGGCTGGCGGCTGCCAGGGGAGGGTCTCCTCGCCCGGGGAATCCCTGGCTGCCGGCGGCCGCGGGGAGGGTCTGCGCGCCGGCCTCCTCGGTGACAGGCCGTGTCACTCCGGGCGCCGCCCCTCCCTCCGCGCCCGCCCCGGCTCCGGCGCTGTCTTTTCCTCCTGGGCCCTCTAGGGAGGGCAGACAGGGAAGCCCCTGTCGCCGCCGCCGGGGCCCTGCCACTCTGCGCCACGCCTTGGTCGCACCCGGGCCCAGCGGGAGTCCATCGCCGTCCCCAAAGTGTGCGCTCCCCGCCTTCCCCCTGGGTGCCAGCCGGGCTCCGGGAAGCCCGCGCCTCCCCAGGCGGGAATCCGCTTTAATGAGCTCTGGGCGGGGCGGGCCTGCCAGGGCCTCCCTGGGCTCAGGCCTGGGGTGGGGGCGGGGGACACCCCGGGGCTTCCCAATGGCTTGACTTTACCAGAAGCTGCTGGATCTCGGGATTTGGGCCTGAGTCACTCTGGTCCTTGCTCTGGCCAGGATCAAGCACACTTGAGCCAGTTCCCAGCCAGGCCTCCACAGGTCTGCGGGAAGGCCAGGACCCTGAGATCTCTCTCCGTGATCTGTTATTTCACTGATGCCCACCAGAGGTTATTTGGCAGAGGTCAACCCTCTGCCACAGTGGAACCAGGGCTGGCCCTGGGTTTGGCTGACTCCAGGAACAGCCTCAGGAGGAGACAATGGAGCTGGGGGTCGGGGGTGTAGAGTGGGGTTAAGCCAGGACTAGAGTGAGGTAAGTTAAGTGCCTAGGATGCAGAATTTAACCAAGCACTCCCTTTCAGGGTCATGAAAGTTTGAGGCCCCACAGGGGAACTAAGCACTATGCTGACCCAAGTTTCCAGGGGGATCCTTGGAGGCTCCAGGTTTCCTCTGGCTCCAAAGTCATGCCCTCAACTTCTCTAGGCCCAAAGGGCGGATTAGTGACCTTGGGCATTTGTGTGCCTTTATACAACAGCCTCTGATAGAGCTGCCACCCTTCCTCCAAAGCCAGATCAGAGCAAATAGACTCCTCCCAGACCCCCAGCTTTAATGGAGGGAACCCCCACCTTCTAAGAGGCACTACATTCCTAGGGGCAGAGAGGAGGAAGCTATGGCTCCAGGGCTTGCAGAGAGTCAAGGCAGGTGTGATTGCAGCTGGACATGGGTCTGCACACTCACGTACACGATTGCAAACCCACTGACCAGCTGCCAAGCTGCCCAGCTGTTCTGTGGATCACCACCACCCCAGTCTCTCTCAACTTCCATCAGCTCCCAGGGCCCAATCCCAGCTCTAATTGGGTCATCCTCCTTCTGACAAAGCCCCAAAGGGAAGGACCACACTTCCTGATCTGGCATGCAAGGCCCCACGGACCAGCTGCATCTCCCAGAGCTCAGCCCATCCTGCCATTTGCCCAGCCACCACCCCCAACACGCACCACTTTGCACCAGTTTCCACTTCTTGAGGTCTTCATACAGGCTTTCCCTTTGAAATGTCTTCTCCACCCCCTCCAGCTGTCCTTCACACCCTGAATCCAAGCCTGCCCTTGATACAGGTCCTTCTCTTGAGCAGGGCAACTGGGGTGGGGTGCCCCCTGGGACAGATTCCTGCTCCTCACTCCACTCCTGCCCTGCCCCCACTGTCCTGCTTCCCGTTTTCTGTCTGAAAGCAACTCCAGGCAGAGGAGGTGGGTGCCTTGTTATAATTCATATGCCCTGAGGGGTGACTTTCTATCATTCACACACACAGGCTCAGATGACAGCCTTGCTCCTGCCCCAAGTTGAATGACATCCTCCTCCCCTTTGAGAGGTGGCCTGGCCTCAAGGGACCCTCCCAATGGATTTGGTCACCTTCCATGATGCCACAGGCAACTCAATAGTTCCTGCCTCTACAGACTTGCCCATCACCTCACATTGAAGTCAGTTATTGGGGGCCTCCTCTTCCTCAGACTGGGAGCTTCAGGGAACTTTCCATCTTGATCCCTCTCCCCTCCCAGGACTGATAAGTTTACAAATGTTTGTTAAGTGAATGAATGGTCCTGAGGGGCAAATCCTAAGACAAACTAACCAGAGGACGGGGGAGAATTTACCCAACCCAGAACAGTGGCTGATGTCCTAGGGTCCCTGGCTGGGGGCTGGGATGAAAGGCGGGGTTCTCAGCTAGACTGGCTTGAATGCTCAGGAGACTGGGATGGCTTGGGATTTGTCTCCTCCTTTCTCTTGACAAACTCCTCTGCAGCCATCAGGGAGCCTGGGATATCCCCATGCCAACCCCCCAAAACACGGAGTCCTGAGCTGGCCCTAATGAGGTGGAGGGGAAGGATGAAGGAAAATGCAATTTGTCAAGCCCTTTCATTGTACCAGACACAGTCAGACTGGATGCCCCTGAGCCTTCCAAGCCATGCAGGCCTTTCCAGCGGTAGTCATTCCCCAGGCCAGGAGTGTCAGCTGGGGAGCCCTCACCTAGCTCCTCCCACAACCATCTGTCCCCACTTCAAGACTCAGCCCCCACCTCAGTTCTGGTGCCAATTCTCACTGGAAGCCAGAAGGTCTTCAGGACTCCAGCCTCAGAGCTCAGAGAAAGAAGGTGGGGGCAGACAGCCCTGCTTCGAGGCTACCAGCCTGACCTCGACTCTACTCTGTGAGCCCCCACCTGCAGACCAGGCCTCCACCAGTCTGCAGAAAGGCAGAGTTGAGGTGCAGGACACCTTTCCCACCATGTATCTGAAAGGCAGGTGGTACCAGGTGCCAGTTCCTTCCTATCAGCCCCATCCCCTGCAAGTAACTGGGCCAGGTCTTGAGAAAGTCCCAGTACTTGGCCCTGGGGGCCTTCCCACATTCCTGCATTCCTCAAACATGAATCAGGCACCATTTCTGTGTTGGGAACATGTAATACACAAGCCTGTGTTCATGGATGGAGACTGACAGGTAAACAGATATCCCATTGCTAAATGTTACACTGCTGTTTGACAAGGTTGGAGAGGGGTGGAGTAGGGGCATACAAGATGGAAAGATAAGATTCATTCTACTTCTGGAGCTACAATTCAAGAAAACTGTGATCCAGGTGTCCCGGGCTAGAATGCTGAATGCTTGTTTCCACGGAAATGTTATACACACACACACACACACACACACACACACACAGTCTGGATCTGCTGTAAAGCCAGCATCACACTGTAGAGACTTTACAAGCTAAAAGAGATTAGAGCAGAGGGCAGGTTTGGCATCTGATCTGCCATCTAGAAAGCTATCTCTATGGAATTTTGTTTCCAGCTTATAACAACAAAATTAGACACAATTTTGGAACCCACTGTTGCTCCCAAGGAGCTAGGGACCAGCACAGTGTGTTGGGAGCACTTTTAAGGTGGGGTGGGGCTGAGCAACCAGGCCCTGTGGGCCTTCTGGGTTATTTATGTTTAGGTCTTACACTGACTTAGCAACCATCCCCTCTCCATCCTCCATCCCCATTGCTGTGCTTTCCTGGACTCAGATGCTTTGGTTGTTTTCCTGTTTGGGGTGTGTGTGCGTGTGTGTGTGTGTGTGTGTATGTGTGTGTGTGTGCATGTGCACATGTATGGTAGGTGCTCTCTTCATAGACCTGTTGCACACATGAAGCTTCTGTCCTGGGACAGAGACTAGAGTTTGCATTTTATGGATATCACCTTCCTGAGGTCCAGTCCTCCAGACTCAGTTCCCATCCTTTCTCTCCAGCCTGAGAACTGTGTTTCCAGCTTCCTGACTTAACTTGATGCTGTGGATAACAGCATGGGCCTTGGAGCCACATAGACCTGGGTTCAGGCTCCAGCCCCACATTTACTGTGTCACCTTGGGCATGTTACTTGATGTCACTGATCTTGACGTTCTCATCTCCAAGGGCTGCTGGGAAGTTTTGACAAGACACTGCAATAGAACTCTTCAGTGTACAAAATAGTAGGTGCTCAATAAACAGTAGCATTGATTACTGTCCTCCCATATGGTGACTCAGAATCCTCCTCCTCTCATACTGCTCATCTTCATGGATGTGGGCATCAATCTTCTCAAGCCCGAAGCCAGAAGCCCTTCTCCATGCCTGGTGCCTCAATTCAGGCCACCATCACCAACAAGTTCCAACAGCCTTCTCCCTGGCACCGTGCCCAGCTTACCCCTGCAATCCATTCTCCACACAGGTAGAACTCTCTAGGACACCTTCAAGTGGGTCCCTGTTCAGCGAAACCACCCGGTCTATTAGGGCCTTTAACAACAGAGCCTCAGTTTACCAGTCCAAACCTCCCTCTCTCTGCACTATCCCCATCCACCCTATGCTCCCACCATACAGAATCTCTCACTGTTTCTGAGCCTTCCAAGCACATTTTGCACATGCAGTTCCCTATACTTTTCCCCTCACCCATCTGCTTGGCCAGCTCCCACTCAGCCTTCCAGGCCAGCTCAGAGGCCACTTCCCTTGTGAAGGCTTCCCTGGCCCCCAGGGAGTGTTGGCGTTTCCTTTGCCATGAGCCTCCAGCACTTGATACAGACTGTCCTGGCTTGTGCCCCACTATGAGAGTCATTTCTTCATGTGTCTGCTGCCCCCTTAGATTCTGCATCTCTGTGCATGACCAAATCTTAGCTCTAGGAATGTCACAGATATTCAGAGCATGCTGAACTGTTAACACACGGCTGCTCTGACCATCCTGCCTGGTAACCAGCAACTACAGGAGGCCAGTTGGCCTCAAGCTCATGGAATAGTTTTCCCCAAATGACAAAAGCATCCTCTTTTCCTATACTTCAGACTGAGACCTGGGTCTGGCCTAAGCTCTGAGACTGCCTCATTCTGGCTTTTCACCAGCATTTTGGGGGACTCCCACAGGGCTCAGCAGGCCCCAGGTGGGGAAGGCGGGGCCTTCAGTTCCAGGAAATCAGAAGATTAGTCAAGCCACACTCCCCTGGCAGCTGTGAGAACAGGTTTTCCCCAAGCCAAGGGACTTGCAAGATCATCAATAACAACAAATATTTACTCTGCCCATGGCTTTGTGCCCACCAAGGGAGGTGCATAAGTACAGCATCAACTTCCACAGCTTGGATTAAGATGGATGTGGGTGCATGTCCTGGTCCTGACACTTACTGGCTGCTTAACTCCCCTATACCTCAGTTTTCACAGCTGCTAAATTGGGAGAATAACACATCCCAGGAAAAATTTAGAGGAATAAATTAGAGCAGATAAAATTAAAAGAGAAAATGCATTTAAAGTATCAATAACAGAAGCAATATGTATTAGTCACTCAATAAAGAAGCCCCCCCCAAGCCCCCCAACTCAAGCTCTTTGGGGGATACTATGATGAACAAGACCTAGTCCTTGCCAATAGCTGATGAAGTGAGGGAAGGGGGACATGAGAATTAAATCAGACCCTATAAACATGAACACAAGGTAAACAGCAACAGGAATGACAAAAAAGAGTTCTGGGAGTAGCAGAGGGAGAGAAGAATTCTGAGATGCCCTTACATTCTTCTTCTCTCCTGAGACTTTCATCCAACTGATTGATATAATCCATGTGGCCAGCCCAGGGCGAAGGGCTGGGTAGGGCAGTGGGTGGGCAGGAAGGAATCCCGAGGCAAGACAAATGAGGCCTGAAGGATCCTGTGCTCAGGCAGCTCACAGTCTGGTTCCGGAGAGGCCTTGCACACTACAGAAAATAACTATGACAACAGTGGATGAAAGCAGTGAATGCTGCCGAAGACATGGGCGAGAGAGATGAATACGGGAGGGGTGAGGCCTGGTGCAAAGGCTACTTTCAAAAGCCTGCATCCACAGCAAAGGACTGTGGAAGTGGCCTCACCCCATCCCTGCTCAGGCTCTGCTCCCACTGCAGCCCTTCTGACCTCTCAAGGCCAGAGGTGAGAACCCCAATCCTTCAGCCTTGCAATCTTCCCACTTGCAGTCATGCCCAGGAAGGGAGTGGCCTGGGCCAGACAGCTCACTAGTCCGTAAACATAATGTGAATTTGGATACTCCACTTTTCCCCATGCTGTTCCTTCTACCTGGCATGCCCTTCCTCCTCCTATCCCCCATCCACCCTTCCCTCCAGCTCCCCTGTAAATTCTCTTTGCCTATTTAGTGAACTCGTCCTATAAGCTCTCCTTCAAAAGTCCTGTTTTTCTTATTTTTTCCTGACTTCCACTCTCAGCAGAATTGAAAGCACCCTTCTCAGTGATGTTCTGGTAATTAGCTTTGTATATACCATCAAAATATTTCTCACATTATAGTAAAGTATTTGTGTCTGGTGCCCCTACTAGGTTAGGAGAGCTCTGGGGTCAATGCTTGGTACCTACTAGGTGCTCAATAAACAGGGCACCTGGAAGGCTTTCTCCTGAGGCTTCCCGCAGCTGGGGTGGAATATGGCAGCCTCTGCTACTCTGCCTGGGAGTGCAGAGGAAGCTTCCATGATCCCTCAGGAACTCCAGACTCTTAGTCCAGTCAGCCATGTACCTTCCGGCCTGAAAACAAGCCCTCTGAGAGCTGTCTTCCCCAGGATTTTCTGCTGATCTCTTGCAACTTGCTCCTCAAACCCACCCTGAACTCTGACTGGATTAGAATCCCAGCAAGGGTCCTGGGCACCTGGCTGTGTCCTATTTAGAAAGGGCTGAGTCAGGCGAACTTATAAGCAGAGGCAATGTCCCAGAGGGTGGCAGGGTGGAAGCGCTGAGGGGAGACCTGGGGAGGGGAAGGCAGGCCTGTGAATTTGGTGGGTCTTGGTTTGAAGGTGAAAGATCAATAGCAGTCTGGGGGTGGGAGGAGGGTGTGATGGTTAATTCCATGTGCCATCTCGACTGGGCCATGGGGTGCCCAGACATTTGGCCAAACATTGTTCCAGGTATGTCTGTGGGGGTGTTTCTGGGTGAGATGAACATTTGGATCAGTAGACTTAAAGCAGATTACCCTCCCTAACATGGGAGAGCTTCATCCAATCTACTGAAGACCTGAATAGAATGAAAAGGCTGAGTGGGAGGAAACTCCTCCTGCCTGACTGCTTGAGCTGGGACATTGGTCTTTTCCTGCCTTTGCACCAGAATGAAACATCGGCTCTTCTTGGGTCTCAAGCCTACCCACTTGCAGAATGGAACTTATACCATTGGCTTTCCTGGGCCTCAGGCCTTCAGACTCAGACTAGAAATACACATGGGCTCTCCTGGATCTCCAGCTTGCTGACAGCAGATCATAGGACTTCTCAGCCCCCATAAGCACATGAGCTAATTATTTACAATAAGTCTCTTCCTATGTCTATATCTACATTTATCTCTATGCCTATCATATTGATTTTGGTTCTCTAGAGAACCCTTATAGATGTCTAAATCAGGACTTCCCTCAGATACCAGGAGGACCCCATATTCCTTTTTGGGGTCTCACATCTCCAACAACTCTGAAGTAAGTGAGCATTTCCTTCTTCCTCATAGCTAGCAGAGGCCTCACTCCCTGGGAGGGCCTCTTTGCAGATGGGCAGAAGCCGTCAGTCCTCTGTGGACTCCTAGCACTCAATATGGGTCCTGGCACCCAGTAGGTGCACAGTGATATTGACTGAACGAATGCATACCTCACACTTATTTGGGTAGCCCTTTATGGTTTGGGGCATAATCACACCCATGTCCTCATGGGTGTGATCCCAAGGCTCTGTGAGGGGCAGGGCAGGGACCATCAGCCCCAGTTAATAGATGAGCAAACAGAGGCCCAGAGAGGACCTAGAAGCAGTTCCAGCAGAAGGACCCTATCTCCAGGGCATTGGCTTTCTCTGGAGCAGCCATGGCCCATGTTTAGCAAAAACAGGATGCTGCCCTGAGCCCAGGTGCCTCCATCCCCCCTGAATTCATGCACTCTGTAACACATGTTCAGCCACTATTGGCTGGGCCCTGTTCTAGGGACTTAGAGTGCATCAGTGAACAAAATGAACAAAAATCTCTGCCCCATGGAACTTATGTTCTAGGGGAAAGAGACAGACAGTAAACAAGAAACAGAATAAGTAAGTAAACTATAGAGCATATTAGCAGGAGGTATGGACTATGGCAACAAGGCAGAACAGAGTAAGGGAACCAGGAATGCAGGGGTGGGAGATGAGTCACAAGTTTAAATAGGGTGGTTAGAGTCAGCCTCATTGAGAAGGTGGCATTTGAGCAGCAACTTGAAGCAGGGGAAGAATTAAGCCACGCAGTTACTAGGAAAGGCCTTTATAGGCAAAGGGGCAACCAGTGCAAAGGCCCTGCGTCGGGCATATTACACAGGGCCTGGCAGGCCACCGTGAGAGCTGTGGCTTTCAGAGAGATAAAAGAAGGCCCACACAGAGGCCTCCAACAGATTCTACCCTTCCTGGAGTGTGGGGCCTGCTCAGGCAGATAATAGGAGAGCCAGAGGATGCCTGAATGGAGGTGGGAACGGTAGACAAAGAAGAGGTGGGAAGAAATTTTCCCTGATTATCATCCCTTTCTGCTTCAACCAGACACCCCCAAGCAAAGGCAGCTCCTGCGGGTGGGGGACAGGCCCCTCCCCACCCTGCCTCTCCTAAGCCTCCCTCTCAGGGGACTTGTGAGGAGTTAATGAAGTTGAGCCCAGGAAAGCACCACAGGTAGACTGTAGAACGCTGGGCCCCCAGCTGGCTATCACCATCACTGCCCAGCCTCGACAGGGAGGCAGGGGCTTCGCCTTTCCTCTGCTACACACTGGCAGATGCAAGAAGCAGATCCGCTCCGAAGCCTAGATGAAGTCGCAGTTAGCAGCCTAATTTTAGACTGAGCATCTGCTCTTCCGTCCCAGAGATGCAGCTCTGTCTGGGATTTGCTCCTTCTGGAATTGCCGGAGAAACGAATCCTGCTCTCGGGGGCAGGCACTGGTGGTGTCCAGATCAGAGCTGACCAATAGGCCCTGCCATGGGGAAGGCCTCAGGAGCTGTGCCACCCTGGCCATCCTGTGTCCTCCTAGCTGAGCTCCCATCTCACACTGACATCTACAGAGTCCTATAGCTTCCATCTTGGAGTCCCACTCTGCCTTCTCAGAAAGCCACAGGTCAAATGAGGCTCCGCCTCACGCAGAACAGGGGACCTCCTGGACAGGAGTGGCTTTTATCCATCCCCACACCCACAGCTCCCAGCGCAGACCCCGAAGAATTCATCCCAGGTGAGTACGGCCCAGTCAGACTAAGACTAGGAGAGCACAAAGGAAGGACCAGTTGTTTGCAAATCTTCCCAGGAAAGCTTGTCAGAGGAGATGAGTTTTGAGTTGGATTTTGAAGAGTGGGTAGGTATTTATCAGTGGAAAAGCCAGGAAAAGCTATGGAGGCAGGGGAAACAGCTGAAAAGAATATGAAAGTTGGAGAATGGCCTGAAGGGAGGGAGAAGAAAGTGGGGAGACCCTGGTGGGGATTGGGCAGGGGCTGGGTGCAGTTGAGTTGGGCCACAACTCCAGGCTAAGCAGTTGGGGTTGTATCTGCAGGTGGGAGAGTCTATGGGGGCCCTTAGCGCATGAGTGTGCTCTGACAGATGGCTGTGGAAGACTTCCAGGTGGGAAGCCCATGCCCCTCTCACCTGGGAGAGCCACTTTCCCTGTTGACTTCCTCCATGGTTTGCCAGGTCCTTTGGGGCCCTCCCCACCTCCCTGGCACATGTGGGGCAGGCCCCATGTGCAGAGTACACTGTGGATACTCACTCCCCTCCCAGACCCCCACCTGAGCTCTGCCCACACATCTCCTGGCATCAGGCCCATCACCTCCCACCCTTCTGACCGCTGCAGCCACTGCTTGGTCCTTGTCTGAATCCCCAGTTCCCATGGGCAGTGTTCTTTTGCTTCTCCGGCCTCAGCTTCTCTGCCCTGGGGCTGTTATCTCAAGATTCCTCAAGAATGACTCTGCAGTCCCACGTGCCTCTCCCTACCTTTCTGTTTGTGGGCGGCAAGCCCTGTTCTCTGAGCTAAGGACTTTCTACACATCACCTTGCTTTATCCCCCAACAATCCTGGAAGATGTTTATTATTTATCCCTTTTTACAGGTGAAGAAAAGGGTTTGATGAGCTTAATTTGTGATTGATCACACAGCCAGGAAGTGGTAGAGTGGAGGCCGTCTGCCTCTCAGTCCTCTCCCACCAGGTTCCCCCAGCCTTGAGGGCAGGGCTTGAGCAGTGATGCCCAGGCCAGAGGCAGTCAAGACATCTGGCCAGTTCAGGTGGGGAGTGAGGAGAGTGAAAGAGGAGGAAGACTCAGCCAGGGACCATGCCTGGATTCCCTTGAGAAAGAATGAGTTAAACACTTACGTAAAGAGATTTGCAAATAGATTCTACAAAACAACATTTGGATGATTTAAGTGTTAAGGAATCAGAACCATATGGATTAAATGTCCCTGACGTTACGTATGGTTTTAAAAATTAGAAGGAAATGTACCGGGAATATACACATGTATAAAATATGTAAAGCCAGGCCACATTTTTAGCTTTGTGGACATGGAGTTATTTGAAAAATACGGCACAGCTTCTCCCAGGCTGGCGGTCCCCCTGCCCCCTCCCCAGGCCTTGTCTTCTCCCCCACCAAATGGGGCTCAGCTCCCTCCCTAGGGGCCCAGCCTGAGAAAGAGACTTCCTGGAACAGCCGGCTAGCTGCTCTAACCACAGGACAGTTGGAGCCAAACAGCTGGGTCAGGAACGACTGGGGTCTCCCAGAGGCCAGATGGGTGGTCTCAGGTGCAAAGAGGCAGTGAGAGAATGCAAGTTTCCCAGGAGGACCTTTAAGTACTTTATAGAGAAGATGTTGAGTAGCTCAGGAGAGGCAGACAGCATTTTCAGTTCATTATTGCTTTTGAACCTCACTCAGTTTCCCCAGCAGCCACAGGAGGAAAAGGTTATTACCCCCATTTCATAGGAGGGGAGGCTGAGGCTGAGGAGGGCTGGCTGCTCGGCTTAGCTTACAGGCAGTGCACCAGACCACGACCTGGATTTCCTGGTTACACACCCAGAGCTTCTCCTCACTGTATCTCACTGCTTGAAACAAACCAAAACCGCGAGCCTGAGTCCAATTTCTTGAACTCTAAGCATTTTTTTTCTTTCAAGATTGTGTTAGCTTCTCAAGCTTGAAGGTTTATCTGGCAGGGTATTTTTGAGGACTCCCTAAGTATGAATAAATCAAGTTTGGTTGTGAGTCTAAATTGCACATGCTGTTGAGCTAGGGAAGAAGGGATAAAATGTTCAGTTTGGGAAAAACCAAACCATCAGAAATTTCCTGGCCAAGTCCTGGTGGTGAAGAGAGAGGATGAGAACAAAAAGCCAGTTCGTTAAAAGCATCACGTTAGGTGCCAGGAGTGTGGGACCTCCCTGAACCCCCACCCCAGCCCGTGCAGAAGGTGGGGTTGTCTTTCTTCTGCAGAAAAGGAAACAGGCACAGAGAGCTTTGATGATGCACAGCTGCGTTTCTAACCCCTGCCTCTCTGACACCAGGGCGGGGCATTTCCCTAAACCCAGCTGGCTGGGGCCGACCTCCCCAGAGGGGCTTGTCAGATGAAGCCAGAAGCAGGTTTGTCAGGAGAATTGAATGTCACCCAGACATAATCCCCGTGTCGGGAAAGCTGGCCCTGAGTCTGTCTCATGCCCCGCCAGGTCTCCAATGCCCAGTCCAGTGCCTGATGTTTGTTAAATGATCATTAAACAAATCAATGGGTGAAGAGGAAGGAGGCATCAAGGAACCACTACATCCTCCCCTTCTCTTTCTTCCATTCCCCACCCATGCCACTGTTTTGTGGACACAAGGGATGGCCTTCCCACGAATGTATTCATTCTGGCGATGCTTCATCCTGTTCAGTGGCATTCATGCTTACAGCCTGTCCAGAGCTCTCAGGGTGCTGACTGGAACCTGGAGTATTTCAAGGACGTGGGATTCTCAGGGCAGGAACCAGGGGAAAAGGAGAAAGGGCAGAGGAATGAGGACAGAGAAGGTGAGAGACTCCCAGCTCTGGAACTTCCTCCCTGCCCCGTACCCAGGACCCCTCCGTAGAGTTTGCAGTAGATCTGCCCGTCGATGGGTTTCCTATAATGGCCTATTCACAGGTGTCCTTTGTCCAGGGTTATCCCAGCCCCACCCGGCTGCCGGCCACCAGGATGGAATCCTCACGCTGAGATCACATCCAGCCGCCTTTCCACACAAGCACCTCTGAGGAGTCCCTTTGTCTGCAGCCTTTCCCATGGTCAATTACGTTGGGAAAACACTGCCTATTCCACAGTCACCTTGGAGCTCCCCAGTGTACACAGCAATGCACAAAGCCCTGAGAGGGGCGGGTAAAGAAAACAGCTCATCTTTAGTCCACACTTATTGGAACAGAACAGGGACTCCCCTTTTCCCCCACACAGGTCCCATCCTCTGCACCCCATTTTCACAGCCATGGAATTCTTAAAATGCTGGCACAGGCAGCCTAGAAAGCCCCTCAGAGGCCTTCTGCTGGCTTCTCATTTATAGAAC